>NC_000006.12:121434426-121737456 GCF_000001405.40 Homo sapiens
CTTTTTTCTGGTATTTGCCTGAGTGAGAAAAGTGTTAGGAATAGGAAGGCCAGATGAGTTTGCTTTCCCTCCAGAGAATACTGGCCAAGAAATTTCCTGTCCAACCTCAGGAGCATCACTGAAGCCTGTTTATGAGGAATTGTCCTACCACAACACTGTGTTATGGCATTTGGGAAGCCCTCAGAGGAGCTGCCTGCTCTAAGATTGAGGCCACATGACTCAGGCCATTATAAACCCTAATGCAGAGCCCTGAAGAGGGAGAGCATTTGGAAGGGGATAGGGAAGCACATAAAGATGATATGCTCAGCTTTACTGTCGTTGGGCAGAAAACTCTCTAGTGGGCTTGAGAGGGGGAACTGATTTTAAGGAGGGCTGAATAGTTTGGGAACCTACTTAATGCAACCATAGTCTGTATTTTTAAAATCCTCACATTTCACTACAGATTTGGGTTTTAGTGTCTTGGCATAAATAGGGCCTTAATATAAATTCTTAGTTTTCTGGAGACATGGTAGAGGTCAGATATCAAGATTTCATAGGCAAACAAAACATGCTATATATGTAAAAAATGTATATACACACACAGCCTTTTGCTAAACTGAAAGAAAGTAAAAATTCAAAGCAGTCAAGGGGTTGAAAGATGGATTGGGTATGGACTTTTCTTCATCTATGTCAATTTTTGAAATCTCTCTCCCATCTCCACCATTCCCTTTGTTAATTGTCCTTGCTTACATTTAAAGGAAGGGAATTAGATCATCAAACAGGTCACTCACACCTACCTCTAACTTCACACACCTTGGTCAATGTGAAACAAGCTTGAACTGGTTATATGCTTCCCCACCATTTTTATTTATTGTAAGCTACTTTAAAAATTTTAGACAATGTTGTAATAAAAATATACACCTTTTTCCCCCATTATCCCTGGTCTTCTGGTGAAGCAAGCAGTGTAATCAATGATTCTTATGTGTGAGGAGCAACTCCAAGTAGAGGCGTTCATGTCCCTAATGCTTTTTTATTTTTCCTCATCAGCAAATTTAAACTACAACTTTATCCTGATCCCACTGCTGCTCTTTGCCTCTTCTCCCCCCAGCCCTTCCACATTTACCAGCCTCCTCCCTACCTCCTCCCAGCCTTTCCCTTTGCCCTCCCCTTTCTTCTAGCCCCTCCTCCCAGTTGAGTCAGTGGCTTGAAACTTTTAAAAGCTCTGTGCTCCAAGTTACAAAAAAGCTTTTACGAGGTATCAGCACTTTTCTTTCATTAGGGGGAAGGCGTGAGGAAAGTACCAAACAGCAGCGGAGTTTTAAACTTTAAATAGACAGGTCTGAGTGCCTGAACTTGCCTTTTCATTTTACTTCATCCTCCAAGGAGTTCAATCACTTGGCGTGACTTCACTACTTTTAAGCAAAAGAGTAAGTTTTTAAAAAATGAGAACACGTTACCTATTAGTTTCTTTTTCTACAAGTAAAACTTTTCTAAAGTTTTAAAATGTGTTAAATGTAATTTTGAATTATGATACTGTAAATGGATTGATGGATTTGAAAGTGTTTCTATAGTTTTAAAGTTAAAATTTATTGTACCAAATATATATTTTGACTGTTAAAAAAGTTTCTATTAACATTGCAACAGGTGAAAAGGTTCAAACCTTTCCGATTAGAATAAAGGATTAGTTTACTGGATGTTTGGTTTTTCATTTTAGAGTATCATTTTATTTTGTTTTTTTTTTGTAATCAGTAATAGTCTAGGTGCTATCATTTGTTGGGTGGGGGGGGGGCGGTTAGGCGCCTGGGTTGGGGGATTTGACTGACTACATCGGAAAAATCAAAGTGCAAATTTGCTTAGCGTGCTTCCTATAGTATTCTACACTTCATAGAATAAAGTGCTTTTTTCATATGGAAATCTTGATTGATGTTCTATAGCTTTGCAAAGCCAACTTCTTTTGTGACGAAGTGCTTTGTTAAAACATCGTGGTTACTTGACTTCCACGTGGTTCCTTCCTAGAATTTTCCCCATTAAACAAAAAGGTATAAAATTCAAGAGTATTAATATTATGCTTTAAAAATCAACAGTAAATTGTTACTTTGTGTTAGCAACCGCTATGGAAAGATTTGAGACCCTCAGGAGAGACAGCTTTTACTCGACCACGTTGGCAGTTTAGGAGATGAAATCTCTTGAATGGGTGGTGGCTAGTTACAGAGCATTAGAGATCAGACGTTTAAAAAAGAGTGTATGCCAGGGTACTTTTCCAAAACCGTCTCCTAAAACGGGAGCTCCTAGAAAGAGCAGGAAAAAAACTTTCTTAAACAGCGCTTTGGGAGCTCCCCCCGCCAACACCCGCCGCCCCGCACCTTCCCTCTGCTCGAACCTGTAACAGAATTCAGAACTCTGGGGCAGTTCTTTGGAGTTGGAGCTCCTAGGGCAAAGATAACGCTAATGCGTTGTTTAAAAGGGTTCAATTTTTAAAATACTTTTATTGGTAACACCCATTCTGTTCATCAGAAATGCAGCCATGCATTTTTGTGCCCGGTAAAGATTTTCTGTTCTGTGTAAATCTACAAACTAAAATAATTAGTTTAGATTCTTGACGTGACCCTGCAGTGGAAGTATTTGCACCAGTGAATGCTGAAAAGCAAATAAAAATGAAAGCTTTGCGGAGGCCGTGGGCCGGACGGGCGCGGGGCGCCTCCTGCCATCTTAGCGTCTGCCGGGATCCTTCCCGCGCCTTCGCTGCCCGAACCAGCTCGGTCTTGGGACGTTTCCCCCAAATCCTCACAAGTCAAATCGAACTCAGGTCCGAGTTCGTCACTGCAAAGGAACCCGGGGTGCGGGGTGGGAGGGATAGGAGGAGAGATGGGCTGGGTGCCAAATGGTAGAACAAATGGTTGATTTAATTAAAGTTGTCAATCTAATTTCCCATCCCTCTCACACCAGCCCTTTTTTTTTTTCTTTTTCTTTTTTCCTCTTAAACTTGCTGAATCCCACTATCTCCGCGTTGGTAAGAAAACCTGAATACCTTGGGAATTGTGCTTAAATTGCACTTGCAACTCCCCTGGAAGTTCCTGAAACTTCCCGAGAATGAGGCGGGGCGGCTCAAGGGGAAAGGGCAGGGAGGAGAGACCCTCGGGAAGCTGATGACGCGTCCGGGGCAAGTCAGCCTGTTTCCGAGACGCGCGCCTCACGGTCGTAGCAGCGCTGCGCCCACCCTGCCCCTTTAGTGACCCAGCCAGCCTTTGCTGGGGGTTTCTGATAACGCTCATCGATAAGCTCTCCTTGCTCCCAAAAGGCGTGCTTCTCTTTCTCTCCAGGTACAAAGTAGGGGTGGGAAGGGGAGAGCTACACAATGTTGTAAAAAGAAGCGTGGCTTTATTTGGAAGACGGTTGAATTTCTTTTGCTTCCTCGACCCAGTTAGTAACGACAAGAAAGATACTGAATATCGCCCTCCGAAAATCGGGCGCATTTGAACTCGGTGAAAAGTGTCCCTGTGAGGAAGCCTAATGTTTACTTTTGTGCAAGGATAACTGGAAATTAAAGCGTCTAGTAATGCAGAGATTTCATTAAGCGAGCGCTCCCCTCCCCCCCGCGCCAGGAATGAAATAAGCCAGTTAGACAGAAAACACTTTTGGGAGAAGACTAATTACTTCTGGGTAGGCCGAATTGACTGGAAATTATACCAAGCAAAGGCAGTACATTCCATTCCGTCCTGGCGATGTTGATTCTATATTATTAGAACATTGTTCCCCCAGTGTGGGGGTGCTTTGTACTTCCCAAAGTCAGGGTAGACTGGTTACCTGGGAAAATGCAGTGTTAGTGCTTTGCTCCTACTTTCTTCACTGTTTAAACATGTTCCACATTTTTCTAATGCCTTCTGAGGGTTCTCAACCCAGCCACTGAGTTCCTCACCCTTGGCGACTGTGATACCAACAATGCTGTCACCCTCCTTGGGAAACATGGTTGCAAAGATGCTCCGCAGGAGGCAGATAAAAGGCTGTGCTTTCAGATACTGAAGGTTGCTTTGTTACTTAGATGTTTCCAATTCCTGCATAGAGAAGGAGGGAAAACACGGGGTGCATTCTTTCTTTTCTTTTCTCTACATCCAGGGGTGTAGCTTGGTTTGAGCCTTTATATATGATACCCGCAGGGAAGGGAATGATAGGACAGTCACCAGTGATTAATACCTTCCACTCCGCCTTTCCTGTTGTTCTGACTTATCTTCAGGATTCTCAGTTATTTGAAGAGATGTGTGGGAGCTTATCCGCACACACCAGTTCAACTCTGGAGAGAAAAAGTAATTATCTAGTGTTTATTATTAATGTAATATTCTGTATGGATAATTCAAGTTTTAAAAAATCTCCAGAGCATCTCTTCCATGGGAGATTAATGTATATATTTTTTAAATTCTTAGCATAATTGTCTAAACCTCCATCTAAAGTCACCTTTTAACTATGTATGTACAGATTGTCTTTTACCTATTTTCAAACTGTGGTTAGCTCTTTTTTTTTAATACATCAGTGGCTTATACAATTTCATAAATTTCACATTCCAATTTCCCTATGCTTTTAAAATAATATTTTAAGAAAAATATATGTTTATCGTCAGCTGGGCATGATGGCTCATGCCTGTAATCCTAGCCCTTTGAGAGGCTGAGGTGGGAGGATCGCTTGGGGCCAGGAGTTTAAAACCAGCCTGAGCAACATAGCAAGACCCCACCTCTATAAAAAAAAATTTTAAAAAGAAAATGTATGTTTGTCAATCATTTCTTAGTTGCTGTTTTGCTAAAGAAAAGATGAAAAATTTAAAACCAAATGAGCTATATCTAAAGGTCGTCTAAAGAGTAAGAACCAAACTTTACTGAGCTGTTACTAAGAGCATCACATGCATGAGTTATTTATTAAATTCTCATTGAAAAAAATAGACTATCTTAATCAATACACTTGTGAGGGCCCTAAGGGTGTCTTTATATGATTATAAAATAACAAGGCTATTCACTAAAAATAGTCAATTTGGAGGTGGAAGTAAGAGTAGGGGCAGAGGAAACGCCAAGGACTGATAGAAATATATTAAGTTACATCACAATTGAAGAACATGGCTTTTAGCCTCAGCTTCTGACTTGGGATTTTCTCTCTGGTAGCCCTAAATTGATCTTGAGAAACTTGTTTTGGGGGAGAATTGAGTAGTAGCTGTTGAACTAGGGAGAGGATTGTCTTTTATGGGATGCACCATCCTCTCTTTGGATGGAGTTCCTCACACCTCAATTCCCATCTCATCTCATTAAGTGGATGCTAATGTAAGTTCAGTGATGAGGAGGGGTAAGAGCTGGGGAAGGAAGGCTTGTTGGTGTTTTTATGTTGTCCTCCCCTCTGCCCCCAAAATAAGCAGTTCACAACATCAAATACCTACACAAATGTGCAATTATTTATAAATATATTTTTACATACAGTAAGTTTGATACACTATAGTTAGGCCATCTAGGTATAAATAAGGAAGTAAAGGTTGGGTATTATCTGATGAACTGGGAATCTTTTCCATGGTACTTGAATCTAATCACTTTAGTGCCTGCATAGACTCAGACTGTAAAGATGTTACATTAACCAGGGTTAATATCAACTGCTGCTCTTCCCCTTCAGAGCCCTAGCCTTCCCCGATATTTATCATTCTTGAAATAAACACGATTTTAAACAGGCTATTTCTTCTTGTAATAGTGTCCTTGTCTACAATAAAATTGTGTGGTGCAATCGGAGTTAGAACATCGTAGAACTAGGGGACAACCACACAGTTGTGTTTTTTCCTTTTTTTTTTTGTTTTGTGTTTTAAATCTTAACCTGCAACAACCTAACAGTGAACTGAATGTACAAGCATGATACCTGATGCAGTTCTACAAGAATCCTAACCCTCATTAGGATCTCATTTAACAAATTCAGGAAGCTCTTTGTTAAAAAGCCTTTTTTCTTTTTTCTTTTAAGCCTGTCAAATTTAGCAGTGGGGGTTGCAAAGAGCCTTTTTTCTTAATTTAGCTCTTTTGCCTGCTCAGGAATCATTTGAAGCATGTTGTTTCAACAAACAGTTCTCTGTTTCAGCAATTGTCACTTGAAAATTTAACAGTATGAGAATGAGATGATGACAATAGTTTTTTACTGTGAAGTTTCCTTTTTAATTAATTTGAAACTTTAGAAATTTGAGATATAACTACAATTAAGAGAATCCCAAAGAGACAGAAAAAAACAAACTTTTTTTTTTTTTTTGCACAGTATCTTTCTATTTTTTGTGGAAGCCCCATTTAATTCATTTAACATGTAGCTATACCCCAATTAATTAATTCTTTTCTTTTCTTTTCTTTTTTTGAGACGGAGTTTCACTCTATCACCCGGGTTGGAGTGCAGTGGTGTGATCTCTGCTCACTGCAGCCTCCGCCTCCCGGGTTCAAGCAATTCTCCTGCCTCAGCCTCCAGAGTAGCTGGGATTACAGGCACCCGCCACCACGCCTGGCTACTTTTTTGTTGTTGTTGTTGTTGTTGTTGTTGTTGTTTGTCGTTTTTTTCTTTGAGACGGAGTCTCGCTCTGTCGCCCAGGCTGGAGTGCAGTGGCGCGATCCCGGCTCACTGCAAGCTCCGCCTCCCGGGTTCACGCCATTCTCCTGCCTCAGCCTCCCGAGTAGCTGGGACTACAGGTGCCCGCCACCACGCCCGGCTAATTTTTTTGTATTTTTTTTATTTTTAGTAGAGACGGGGTTTCACTGTGTTAGCCAGGATGGTCTCTATCTCCTAACCTCGTGATCCGCCCGCCTCGGCCTCCCAAAGTGCTGGGACTACAGGCTTAAGCCACCGCACCCGGTCTACTTTTTTGTGTTTTTAGTAGAGATGGGATTTCACTATGTTGGCCAGGCTGATCTCAAACTCTTGACCTCAGATGATCCTCCCACCTCGGCCTCCCAAAGTGCTGGAATTACAGGTGTGAGCCACATCTCTTACTCTTTCAAGCACTGGGGATACAGCAGTGAACAAAGCAAACTCCCTCGTATTGTTCACATTCCAGTTAAGGAAGACAAATAATAAATCCTTCTCATGGAAGGAGGTACATAGTAATCAGGCAAATATTTACTATATCAAGTAGAGAGAAAGTCTATTAAAATAATAATTTTTTAAAAACCAGGGCAAAGGGAATAGGAAATGACAGGACTGGGGAAAGGATGTTGCTATTTCATATTTGGTGGTCAGGAAAGTTGGCTGATGAGGTGAGACCTGCAACAAGTGAGGACGTGAGCTGCGTGGATGGAGCAGAGCTCATCAAACCAAGCTGATTGTTGGTTTGTTTTCTCAAGATTGACTGATTACTCGGAGTATAGGTTGGCAAGTAGGGTGACCAGGCTAATGACATGAAACCTAGCAAACTGATGATGGCTGAGATCAAGCTAAGGGTGGCTGTTTTAAGTGCGGAGGAATAGACAACTGAGTTCACTCAATGACATTTACTGGAGGGGCAGAGGTTATTATAAAAGTGAAAGAAAACATTACAAGGGTTTGCATTTGAGTTTTTGGGCATGAATATTTTTGGGTGTTAGTACATTAGACACACACATGATTTCCCTTTCCTCCCAAAAAATCCATTAAATGATTTTATCGGGAACTTCCATAGACATTTCCTTATGTAGGTTTAGACTCTGATTTTATTCTTTCAGATATTAAAGTCCTTCACCTTCTCTTTTCTTTCAATCATAAAAAGATGCTGGATATCAAATTTCACTTTAGTTTTCAATAATCCTATTTACCTTTATTTAAGTCTCCATTCTCAACTCATTACATTTGTCTCTTCTTGAGAAAAATATTTAAAGTCGATAGTAAAATACTTAATTCTAATAACTATTAGTATATTAATGGCATGGAAAGACTTGACTGCAACTTCGGCACATGCTCTAGCAAAAGGCATAGTCAAATGTAATTTAAAATCAAAGCTTTATTTTTAAGAGATCTCATTTGAATTAAAGCGTTTAAGTTCTTCTGCTCTCAGGGAGCTGCAGATGGAGATGTAAGGAGTGACAAGGGGCTGTGGAGCCAAGGCTGACCTCAATGCCGGGTGCCCAGAGAGCTGCTGCTCCTGGTACTCAGCCCCTTGGATTTTTTAGACTGTTCCTTCTGCTTTCCTGACATTTCTCCCACTCCTAAATATTTTGAACAAGAAAGGGCCAGAAATGTCAAGAATAGTAACAAACACCAAAAAAACCTTACTTCCTAGGCCCCACCTCCAGAAATTCAGATTCATTCAGACTGGTGAAGACCAGGAATGTATGTTTTTAACAAATGCTGCCAAGTGACTGTGATGCAGTTCAGGAAAGGGGCCAGAGGAGCCTCAGGCTGGTCACACTTAGTGCCTGTAGCTTTGGGCATCCATCCAGTCTAGGGGGCCATGAAGAGCAATGGAAATGTAATCTAACATGGTGCATAGACGGCAAAAAGCGTGGTCCAGCTGCTAAGACTCTGCTCTTAACAAGAACTTTGCACAACTCCTCTTAGACAGACCTTGGTCTACATATAAAGCACCAACTCAGTATCCTAGAGGTGAAGGCATGAATATATGTGATATGTCCAGCTGCGTTGGTCTTCTCATGTATCAAATAAGAAATATACCTGTTTCCCCCTGGTGAATAAAAGTGCAGTTTATAGTCTGTAGATCAATGCCAGGGATTCTGTAAACATATAATTATGCCCTTTTATTATAAGAGGGTATTAACTTACCATACAAGACTTGGAAAAATGAAGATATTAAACTAGTTTGGGAAGGTGCAGCAGGGAGGAACAACCAGTTGCCAAAATTTGATTCATGGCAAAGTGAGCAACTACCAAAAAAAAAGGGAACAATTTTTGTTACCTGTTTTTGGGCAGCTGTCACATTAAACATTATTTGATGGTATCTATGATAGTGGAGATCGACAGGTAGCTACATGTTACAGGATACTCGGTGTCCAATTCGATAATTCGTATCTTATTAAGATGAAAGAGTATAACTCATTAATGCAAATGACAACTGCATGGGTGCTTAAAGAAAAGACAACTTTGCAATTAAGTTACTAGAGTATTAAAAAAGAACTAATGAAGAGCTGTCTGATGACTTAGTTCACATACTATGGAACTGTGGAGTGTTTTTGTAGAATCTCAAAATTATATGAAAGTCATGTATCATGAATTTTTTTATAGAATGTAAATAAAGACTATACTTTCAGGGATCATTTCTATAGTTTGTTACTAGAATGTAAATAAACTTAGTGATGAATTACTATAAGCATCTACACAATCATATTTTACTTTGAGTAATGATGAAATCCTAGCTAAAATAACTTCTGTTCTGCCTGGTCATATTTCTAGATATGATAGGTTTGTCTTCAGCTCTATCGTTGCATGAATGTGATGAGATGTATGCAAAGTTTATCTTTTTATACTTGATTGTTTTTGTTATTTTTCCCCTAGCAATTGAAATATGTGAGCAAAAGCAGATGACACTGGCAAAATACTGTAATTTTTTACAAACAGAATTAGGGCCAATTTTACACATCATCACATAGAAACTGTCTATTGATATAGCTCCAAAGATTCTGTTTGTCTGACCCTCATGGACTATACTTCTTCATTTCCAGTCTAGTATTTTCTGCTAAATTGTAGGGTTTTTTTTTCTTTCACATTCTCTCACCATCAAACTGTCCATCACGGCTAAATTACTCCCTCACTTCAAGCCTTTCCTTGGCTATTCAACTGTCTTTGTCAGCCTTTCAAGCCTTTGTTCTTATTTGACTGCTGTTTTAAATTGATGCTGTTTTCATACATCAATTTCACTTCCTAACTTGTCACTTCAGAATCTAAAATGACCCTTCCTAAGTAAAAGGGAAGCTCCCTTTCTTATGACCACTGGGGGAGTGTTATTTCTGTGGCCTTCACACCCACCTCCCACTCTTACTCAGCATTCTTTGGCACTAGTCCCTGGGCTGTCATCAAATGTACCCATGATACCGTGGTACCATCTAGCTGGTGCATAGTTTAGCTTTATGGCTCAGCCATCTCTTCTTTGTTCGGTCCAGGAAATCCCAGGTCAGGTGCCCATTTCATTTTTTCTTGTTCTCTATGGCCAGAAGATGCAGTCATTAGACAGAAATGTAATGTTGCTTACTGAGGAAGAAGACTCCCCTGGATTTCATTTACTTCCTACAAGGAGATACAGCTCAATAGTTCAACACCAGAAGAGAAACTCCTTTATATTCAGATAGTGAACATATTTCTAAGAAGCCTAAATAATCCTACCTTTAGATACTCTATTTAGAATTCATTACTAAGCTCCTGCAAAGTCTTAGCTTTGCTTGTTTTTAATTATTAAACAATCTTTGACTAATTTGTCCTTTTCTAAATCCTCCAATTACTACTATGTGCTGAAAATTAGCCTATATTCCCTATGCCTGCCACATCATGTTACTCACTTCTTCCCAGCTTTCAGCCCTGGCTAAGGTTGTGTATATCAAAGCCTGGAAACATTTCTAGCTTTAGCGCAGCCTTACTGTACTTTTAAAACCAGTGTGAGGCATTGAAAAGACTTGCCCGGGGATTGTGAATCTTCTTCTGGCTCTGTCTATAGCTAAATATTTCCTATACCCTGAGAACCTCTGAGAACCTCAATTTTTATCAGCTAAATGGATAATCGGCAATTAGAAGCATAAATTGAACTAGACAACTTTGGGGATTCTTGTTGGTTTCTACTGACTTACATCTTTTTAGTGAGACGGAGTCTCTCTTTGTCACCCAGGCTGGAGTGCAGTGGCGTGATCTCTGCAAGCTCCGCCTCCCGGGTTCAAGCGATTCTCTTGCCTTAGCCTCCCGAGTAGCTGGGACTACAGGCTCCCACCACCACACCTGGCTAATTTCTTGTATTTTTTGTAGAGACGGGGTTTCACCATGTTAGCCAGGATGGTCTGAATCTCCTGACCTCATGATCCACCCGCCTCCCAAAGTGCTTATAGGCGTGAGTGCATTATAGGCGTGAGCCACCACGCCTGGCCAGATCTTTTTCTTATCCTCAGTAATGGAGAAGGCGTGGACTTTAGATAGCTAGATATTGATAAGAAGTTAAATGGGATGTATAGCCTGAGGGTCCAAAGCCCAGTAAGGGAACTTTAAAGTATATAACAATGAAAGATGAAAACCAATCTTTTCTGGCTGGAGAAAACACCCTGAAGTAGGTTTTGTTTGTTTGTTTTTTAATAAGGCTGTGAGTAGTATTGAGACAAAATGAACTTTTTACATGAAGTGTGATGTGTATTTAGTCTTTGTTTTTCAAAGTAGGTTACTACATATAATGACACATTGTAGCAAAAGAGTATATTTCCATACAGCCTACTTTTTCTCTGGACAGAAGGCTGACTTCTGAGCTACATAAGTCACTGCTTAAGAAAAAAATAGTCACCATTGCTTGGGAGGCTAAGGCAGGAGGATTTCTTGAGCCCAGGGGCCTGGGCAACATAGTGAAATCCTATCTCTAAAAAAAGAAACAGAAAAGTGTAAATGACAATAATATAGGGTATGCACAAATTACACTTGATATACCATTGAAAAATCTTCCAGAGGCCAGGCGTGGTGGCTCACACCTGTAATCCCAGCACTTTGGGAGGCTGAGGTAGATGGATCACCTGAGGTCAGGAGTTCGAGACCAGCCTGAGCAACATGGAGAAACCTCATCTCTACTAAAAATACAAAATTAGCCAGGCGTGATGGCACATGCCTGTAATCCCAGCTACTTAGGAGGCTGAGGCAGGAGAATCGCTGGAACCTAAGAGGCGGAAGTTGTGGTGAGCTGAGATTGTGCCATTGCACTCCAGCCTGGGCAACAAGAGGGAAACACCATCTTAAAAAAAAAATCTTTCAGAGTGAAATTAGTAATAAAATGATATATAATAGCATTAAGGTTTTGGAAAGAAGGTTATGGATGTGTGTTTATAGGTATTCTTACCTGGATTCTTGATACCTATGCTTTGAATAACACACATCAGGATTTTGCTTAGCAAACACAGATCTACCAGGCAAAAACTGTCCTCATTTATCAGACAAATAAAAGGAGCAGAGGCTTAGCACAGGTGGCTTCTCAAGTCACACAGCAAGGCAGTGGTTGAGCAAGCAATACACCTTCCCAGGTTAAAGACTGCAACTCATCATCTGTTGCTTCTAAGACTTACTTTGTCTCAACAAACAAAACAAAACACTTGTTAGATCTTTTCTTCGTTGGCAAAAATGGGACAGGAAGAGTTTGCACTTGGTTTTTTGTGAAAGAATGTTAGAAATACGTGAAACCGTTGGTAGTATTTTGACTATCACCTGAAAGGTACTAAATGTTAAACTAGTAATTTGCAATCTGTGATCCTTGAATTGTCTCTTTGTTTCTTTCAGGTGGTGCCCAGGCAACATGGGTGACTGGAGCGCCTTAGGCAAACTCCTTGACAAGGTTCAAGCCTACTCAACTGCTGGAGGGAAGGTGTGGCTGTCAGTACTTTTCATTTTCCGAATCCTGCTGCTGGGGACAGCGGTTGAGTCAGCCTGGGGAGATGAGCAGTCTGCCTTTCGTTGTAACACTCAGCAACCTGGTTGTGAAAATGTCTGCTATGACAAGTCTTTCCCAATCTCTCATGTGCGCTTCTGGGTCCTGCAGATCATATTTGTGTCTGTACCCACACTCTTGTACCTGGCTCATGTGTTCTATGTGATGCGAAAGGAAGAGAAACTGAACAAGAAAGAGGAAGAACTCAAGGTTGCCCAAACTGATGGTGTCAATGTGGACATGCACTTGAAGCAGATTGAGATAAAGAAGTTCAAGTACGGTATTGAAGAGCATGGTAAGGTGAAAATGCGAGGGGGGTTGCTGCGAACCTACATCATCAGTATCCTCTTCAAGTCTATCTTTGAGGTGGCCTTCTTGCTGATCCAGTGGTACATCTATGGATTCAGCTTGAGTGCTGTTTACACTTGCAAAAGAGATCCCTGCCCACATCAGGTGGACTGTTTCCTCTCTCGCCCCACGGAGAAAACCATCTTCATCATCTTCATGCTGGTGGTGTCCTTGGTGTCCCTGGCCTTGAATATCATTGAACTCTTCTATGTTTTCTTCAAGGGCGTTAAGGATCGGGTTAAGGGAAAGAGCGACCCTTACCATGCGACCAGTGGTGCGCTGAGCCCTGCCAAAGACTGTGGGTCTCAAAAATATGCTTATTTCAATGGCTGCTCCTCACCAACCGCTCCCCTCTCGCCTATGTCTCCTCCTGGGTACAAGCTGGTTACTGGCGACAGAAACAATTCTTCTTGCCGCAATTACAACAAGCAAGCAAGTGAGCAAAACTGGGCTAATTACAGTGCAGAACAAAATCGAATGGGGCAGGCGGGAAGCACCATCTCTAACTCCCATGCACAGCCTTTTGATTTCCCCGATGATAACCAGAATTCTAAAAAACTAGCTGCTGGACATGAATTACAGCCACTAGCCATTGTGGACCAGCGACCTTCAAGCAGAGCCAGCAGTCGTGCCAGCAGCAGACCTCGGCCTGATGACCTGGAGATCTAGATACAGGCTTGAAAGCATCAAGATTCCACTCAATTGTGGAGAAGAAAAAAGGTGCTGTAGAAAGTGCACCAGGTGTTAATTTTGATCCGGTGGAGGTGGTACTCAACAGCCTTATTCATGAGGCTTAGAAAACACAAAGACATTAGAATACCTAGGTTCACTGGGGGTGTATGGGGTAGATGGGTGGAGAGGGAGGGGATAAGAGAGGTGCATGTTGGTATTTAAAGTAGTGGATTCAAAGAACTTAGATTATAAATAAGAGTTCCATTAGGTGATACATAGATAAGGGCTTTTTCTCCCCGCAAACACCCCTAAGAATGGTTCTGTGTATGTGAATGAGCGGGTGGTAATTGTGGCTAAATATTTTTGTTTTACCAAGAAACTGAAATAATTCTGGCCAGGAATAAATACTTCCTGAACATCTTAGGTCTTTTCAACAAGAAAAAGACAGAGGATTGTCCTTAAGTCCCTGCTAAAACATTCCATTGTTAAAATTTGCACTTTGAAGGTAAGCTTTCTAGGCCTGACCCTCCAGGTGTCAATGGACTTGTGCTACTATATTTTTTTATTCTTGGTATCAGTTTAAAATTCAGACAAGGCCCACAGAATAAGATTTTCCATGCATTTGCAAATACGTATATTCTTTTTCCATCCACTTGCACAATATCATTACCATCACTTTTTCATCATTCCTCAGCTACTACTCACATTCATTTAATGGTTTCTGTAAACATTTTTAAGACAGTTGGGATGTCACTTAACATTTTTTTTTTGAGCTAAAGTCAGGGAATCAAGCCATGCTTAATATTTAACAATCACTTATATGTGTGTCGAAGAGTTTGTTTTGTTTGTCATGTATTGGTACAAGCAGATACAGTATAAACTCACAAACACAGATTTGAAAATAATGCACATATGGTGTTCAAATTTGAACCTTTCTCATGGATTTTTGTGGTGTGGGCCAATATGGTGTTTACATTATATAATTCCTGCTGTGGCAAGTAAAGCACACTTTTTTTTTCTCCTAAAATGTTTTTCCCTGTGTATCCTATTATGGATACTGGTTTTGTTAATTATGATTCTTTATTTTCTCTCCTTTTTTTAGGATATAGCAGTAATGCTATTACTGAAATGAATTTCCTTTTTCTGAAATGTAATCATTGATGCTTGAATGATAGAATTTTAGTACTGTAAACAGGCTTTAGTCATTAATGTGAGAGACTTAGAAAAAATGCTTAGAGTGGACTATTAAATGTGCCTAAATGAATTTTGCAGTAACTGGTATTCTTGGGTTTTCCTACTTAATACACAGTAATTCAGAACTTGTATTCTATTATGAGTTTAGCAGTCTTTTGGAGTGACCAGCAACTTTGATGTTTGCACTAAGATTTTATTTGGAATGCAAGAGAGGTTGAAAGAGGATTCAGTAGTACACATACAACTAATTTATTTGAACTATATGTTGAAGACATCTACCAGTTTCTCCAAATGCCTTTTTTAAAACTCATCACAGAAGATTGGTGAAAATGCTGAGTATGACACTTTTCTTCTTGCATGCATGTCAGCTACATAAACAGTTTTGTACAATGAAAATTACTAATTTGTTTGACATTCCATGTTAAACTACGGTCATGTTCAGCTTCATTGCATGTAATGTAGACCTAGTCCATCAGATCATGTGTTCTGGAGAGTGTTCTTTATTCAATAAAGTTTTAATTTAGTATAAACATAGCTTCTATATTCCGTGTGATTTGTTTCCCCTGCCGAGATGGAGTCTTGCTCTGTCACCCAGGCTGGAGTGCAGTGGCGCGATCTCGTCTCACTGCAACCCTTGCCTCCCGGGTTCAAGCAATTCTCCTGCCTCACCCTCCCGAATAGCTGGGATTACAGGCACCGCCACCGCACCTGGCTAATTTTTGTATTTTTAGTAGAGATGGGGTTTCACCATGTTGGCCAGGCTGGTCTGGAACTCCTGACCTCGTGATCCGCCCACCTCAGCCTCCCAAAGTGTTGGGATTACAGGGGTGAGCCACCGCACCTGGCCTATATTTAAAACTCATTGACGGCATCTATTTGAGATTATTTAAACACATTTCTATTGGTTATCAGAACTTCAGCAAATAACAGTCATGTTTTCAGGGACAATATTTATCATTAGCTCTGTTCAGTGCAACATAAATTGTAAACATTTTTGGATATTTATTGAACCAAAAGGAAGATAAAGTGTTGAATTTGAAATATATCTTTAATGGGATGTGTGATAGAGTTTGAAATAAGGAAATATTGAGTCCGTAATCCCAGCACTTTGGGAGGCCGAGGTGGGTGGATCACCAGACGTTGGGAGTTCCAGACCAGCCTGACCAACATGGAGAAACCCTGTCTCTACCAAAAATACAAAATTAGCTGGGCATAGTGGCATATGCCTGTAATCCCAGCTACTCGGGAGGCGGAGGTTGCAATGAGCCGAGATCGCCCCATAGCACTCCAGCACGGGCAACAAGAGCGAAACTCCGTCTAAAGAAAAAAAAAAAGGAAATAGTAATTTAGTAGATCAGACATGACACGAATAAGCACAAAATCTTAATGATGATGAAATTTTAAAGTTGGAAAGCCTCCTGGAGAAACAAGAATAATAATGGGGTCAGTTTGAGTATAGTTACGTGAAGCAGCAAAAGAATAAAATTCATCTTAATTTCAGTACACAATATTGTGTAAAAATACAGAAAACAAGGTTTAAAAAATTCAAGATACCGAAGAAAAACAACCATTCAAAGGGAGTAGAACAATTCTGGGCAATTGATAATATTGTTGTAGTTTTAAATATAAAATTGACACTTGAAGTCACACTTCAAGGATGTTTTCTGTTATAACTTATTAAAATTATTTACATTAACATCTATTATCCACCACAAAGCAAACTGGTGAGTTACTGGAGCAGAAAATATCAGTAATTTAGAAGTAATCTACGCCGGGCGCAGTGGCTCAGGCCTGTAATCCCAGCACTTTGGGAGGCCGAGGCGGGTGGATCACGAGGTCAGGAGATCGAGACCATCCTGGCTAACACGGTGAAACCCTGTCTCTACTAAAAATACAAAAAAAAATTAGCCAGGCGTGGTGGCATATGCCTGTTGTCCCAGCTACTTGGGAGGCTGAGGCAGGAGAATGGCGTGAAACCAGGAGGCGGAGCTTGCAGTGAGCCGAGATCGCGCCACTGCACTCCAGCCTGGGCGACAGAGCGAGACTCCGTCTCAAAAAAAAAAAAAGGTGCTTAGTTCTGTTCAGTTGCTCCTTTATAATTTGTTTTTGGATGAAAAAAGATTGTGTCATTTGTTTAAAGTCAGAGGATTATCTAAAAGCCAGTTTCCCAGTCAATTTGATATAATTGGTAGTGTGAATACTTCTTCAAGTACTATTACTTGAGTGGTTGAGAATTATATGGAAGAGGCAAATGCTCTGCACTCACCTCCCACTATGTGTCTGTGCATGTTTGCATTTAATATGGGGAATAGACATGATTTGAGTGTATGTGTGTATTTATATAGGGTAAGATGTGGATGGACAAATGATAAGACAAGTGGTAGGGCAGAAGTATAAAATAAATTTCTGATGCATGTATATGGAGGAGGGAAAGCAAGTTCATCTTTCAGAAATAGTCATATAGGTCATCCTAAACATTTCCCAACTTTAAGATTTTACCATTTTAAAATATTTTATGTACATCTCATATATATATCTATATTATACATATCATATATGTACACAGCTTAAGGAACTACAATCTACAATGGAGAGTTAGGTATCTCACCTCTTTCTATACCTCAACATACACACCAGAAAAGTCCTAATTCTCAGCAGAAATCACTGTTAAAAATTTTAGACATCAACTAAGTATCGGGCACTTTGTTAAGCAGTGGGGATTCATAGAATGACCACAGCTTTCACTCCCATGAAGCTTATAATGTGAATTCTTCCAGTTTTATTTTTTATTTTTTTGAGACGGAGTTTCACTCTTGTTGCTAAGGCTGGAGTGCAATGGCACAATCTTGTCTCACCGCAACCTCCACCTCCCAGGTTCAAGTGATTCTCCTGCCTCAGCCTCCCAAGTAGCTGGGATTACAGGTGCCCGCCACCACACCTGGCTAATTTTGTATTTTTAGTAGAGACAGAGTTTCTCCATGTTGGTCAGGCTAGTCTCGAACTCCCCATCACAGGTGACCCGCCCGCCTCGGCCTCCCAAAATGCTAGGATTACAGGTGTGAGCCTCCGCGCCCAACAAATTCTTCCAGTTTTAAAAAAATTTTCCTTTTTTCATCTTAATTGGCTGCCTGCCTGGTTTTACCTACTAAAAAGTAAATTGAACTGTGTTTAAAAAGTATTAGAAAGGTATGCAGTTTTATTCTGCAAATATTTATTTGACACTCAGTTTTTGCATAAAATTTTAAGTTTAAAAAATTTGAGCCGGGTGTGTTGACTCATGCCTGTCATCCCAGCAACTTTGGGAGGCTGAGGCAGGTGGATAACTTGAGGTCCGGAGTTCGAGACCATCCTGGCCAACATAGTAAAACCCCATCTCTACTAAAAATACAAAAATTAGCCTGGCATGGTGGCACACACCTGTGATCCCAGCTACTTAGGAGGCCGAGACATGAGAATCACTTAAACCCTGGAGGCAGATGTTGCAGTGAGCTGAGAACACACCACTGCACTCCAGCCTGGGTGACAGAGTGAGACTCAGTCTCAAAAAAAAAAAAAAAAAAAAGAAAGAAAGAAAAAAGAAACTTCCAGGCCAAGAGCTGGTTTTTTACTTTATTTTATGAAAATGGCTGAACCTCTCAATTTGCCTAGGGTGCTAGTTCTCTGCCCACACGTGGCCTCTTCTAAAAATTCCAAACTTCGGATTCCAACATGCCAAAACATCTGTGCTTTGTACTTGGAGGGAGAGCAAAATAATGAAGTTTGGGGACTTATTAAAGTCTGAAAGTAAGTTCTTTTTATAAACAGCACACCAACAGTGTAGAAAAATGTTTCTAATCTTTACCGGCTCCAAGATTCTGTTTTTACCTTTTCTTGGTTGGGCAAATATAGCTTAGCCCTTGGCATGTCAGAATTGGCAGCTGGCAATTTTCAGAACTGAAGAGGAGACGTGGAAGAAATACCACAGAAACACTGCTTCAAGAAGACCAGAAAAAAGAAGACTATTGTATAGAGAAGAAAGCTAATTTCTTTTAACATTAAGGAGGGAAATTATGCATTAGTTTCTTGGTCTTCAAAAGTGTTGAAATTTTAATTCGGATTATTTCTTCTGGTCTCCGGATGTTTCCTTGCAATGACTAAATGCTTATTTGGGTTATGACGTGTAGTGTAATTTCAATGCCCACACACTTTCCTGTTGAATATAAAAACAGTCTCATGAGGCACCGACTTTAGAAGGTAAACCCTATGCCCAAGTCTTATTGAATGCAATGTGTCATCTGTCCCTATGCATATGGAACAAAATGGAGCCTGATCTGGCTTTCATGCTGGAGTCTTTTGTCAGTCAGTTACTCTTTACAAAACCGTTCATCAGAATTAGTAAAGACAGTAAAATAGTTTCTAGAGGCTACATTAGCAGAAACCCTAAGTGTTATTTTATCTTATTTTTTATTTAGAGACTGGGTCTCACATTGTCACTCAGGCTGGAGTGCAATCACAGCTAAGGTGCAATCACAGCTCACTGTAGCCTCGAACTCCTGGACTCAAGGGATCGTCCTGAGTCAGCCTCCTGAGTAGGTGGGATTACTGAGCAGGTGGCACCAATGCACTCTAGTGGTAATTTTTAATTTTCTTTTTTGTAGAGGCTGAGTCTTCCTTGGTTGCCCAGGCTGGTCTCCAACTCTGGCCTCCAGCGATCTCCCACCTTGACATTCCAATGTGCTGGGATTACAGGTGTGAGTGACCCTATCAAACCAATTTTATTTTTATTTTTTATTTATTTTTTTGTTCAGCCTCTGCAGAGACTGTCAAAAATTGTCAATGCCAACTATATTTCTGGTCATCATGGTGGAGTATTGGGAAAAATTTTCAATTAGCAGTAATCGCACCCTGGATAAACCTCATTGACTACGATCATGCCACTGTGCAAAGCCTGCGTATTTTATTTTAAAAGCAAATAAAGAGAAATGTAAGATTGCTTTCTGCTTTGAAAAACTTAGAGTTATACATTTCAGATTTTCAGGAATATTTATTAATCCTAAACACAGTTAACTAATTTAGAAACCCTTCCCTACAAGAATTTAACCTTCAGGTCAAATTATCAGAAAATGGCTGCAACTGAGGCTAACTCAAAGAACTCTAGAGGGTAAGCGTAAAATACTGAGATTTGTTAACACAGAACTTAAAGCTTTAACTCTCACCAGAGTCTCAGAATCTAAATTGGCCATTGCCTTGGAAGACTTTGATGTAGTTGTGGCTCAATTTCAACTTTCCCTCAATTTAGAGCAACTAGAATTAAATGGACTTAATAATTCTCTAGCATATTAAATGCTAATCATCCAAGCTACTCACTATAGGACCTATTCAAAGATAGACACCAGCAGACACCTGATTAAAGACAGTGGTTCTTCTGGGACAATTTTCTATATTTTTCAAAAGCTTGTCAATGACTCCCTTTTGGGGGGCAGGTAATTTAAAAATCTTTGAGGGGAACCACCTTGCATTTATGAGTTTCAAATTTCAGTGAGACTGAAGCAATCTGGAAATTAAATGTAAATACATCCAGCATCCTGTCATCTATAGTTAAATGTAAGTTAAAACTACCACAGATGTTTGCCTGTTACATTATGTTCTGTATATTTGAAATACCTTATAATTTATAATTTTATAATTCATAATTTTAAAAATGACTGCAGATATAAGAAATTATACAATGATTGAAGTTATTTATTTCAGTTTAGAGCTTTTAATTGTATATTTCTTCTTCATTTTCATACCCTTTTCATACCCTTAGTTTCTTTTTTTTTTTTTTTTTTTTTTTTTGAGACGGAGTCTTTCTTCGTCGCCCAGGCTAGAGTGCAGAGGCGCAAGATCTCGGCTCACAACAAGCTCCACCTCCCGGGTTCACACCATTCTCCTGCCTCAGCCTCCCGAGTAGCTGGGACTACAGGAGCCGGCCACCACGCCCCGTGAATTTTTTGTATTTTTAGTACAGACGGGGTTTCACCATGTTAGCCAGGATGGTCTCGATCTCCTGACCTCGTGATCCGCCCTCCTTGGCCTCCCAAAGTGCTGGGATTACAGGCTTGAGCCACCGTGCCTGGCCCATACCCTTAGTCTCTTCAGTCTAGCCTCTCGCTAGAATTTTTTGATTCATGAGGTCTTAAAAGATCTACTTTCCTCTCACGTTTTGTTCAAAACTAAAGTTTCGACTGTCATTTTTTTTCACCCTTAATCTACAGTTGAAGTCAAAACAGATTAAATGGTATAAAGCTTCTATCAAATTCCTTCCACCCTTGCTCTAACATTTAGAACAGCTTGTCAGATTTTGTTTGCTCATGTGTGGTATCAAACACTTTTCTTTGCCATCTATACCTTGACATCTTATACCTTGCTGTCCTTTTAACAAACAAGTGCCAAGTTAAATAATTCAATAGTAACTTCGGAATAATGTAGCAGACGTTTAACCTTTGTAATTAAAAAGTGTCATTGGCCGAGCACGGTGGCTCATGCCTGTGATCCCAGCACTTCCAGAGGCCGAGGCGGGTGGGTCACGAGGTCAGGAGATGGAGACCATCCTGGCTAACACTGTGAAACCCCGTCTCTACTAAAAACACACACACACACACACACACACGTAAAAAATTAGCCAGGCGTGGTGGCACAGGCCTGTAGTCCCAGCTCCTCGGGAAGCTGAGGCAGGAGAATCACTTGAACCCGGGAGGTGGCGGTTGCAGTGAGTCGAGCTTGTGCCACTGCACTCCAACCTAGGTGACAGAGTGAGACTATGTCTCAAAAAAAAAAAAAAAAAAAGTGTCATTGAAAACCATTAAAATTTGTCTTTAATTTTCATCTTTATTCTGGTGCTCACTTGTCTGAAGGACTTGCAGTATTTTATAATTAAAGGGTATAAGAACTGTAGGTGATGGTTATCTAAAACTCCAAACATGGCAAATGTGGGCATGAGGGTGCCACTTGGCTTCTGACCAGTGATTTTTAGTCAGCAATATAACAAAGCTCTGCCTTTAAACTGATGATTCTGCATGATAATTAGCTATTATGAGTGAGACAAAAGGAGCTAAAGAATCTATTACAAGTTATACCTAATTAAAGAAAAATTTTACTGTAGGAATCTATATATAAAAGTAAAAATCTTTATATACTTCTTATATGTAAGAAGGAAAAAGCAGTTCTAATAAAAAAGAAAAATGAACAAATCAGAGGAATTTACAGTTTTTTCTTTGTTTGCCAACTGCATGTTTGCTTTGGAAATGAATTATTAAAAGAAAAAAATCACTCCTTCAATTTGTTATGAATCAGCCTAACACAGTGCTAAGCACATAGTTTGTGGTGACAAAGATAACCTGATGATCACTTCAGGTTTTAGTCTGCATTTTGTTTTTCATTTAAAATATATCTTGGCCGGGCGCGATAGCTCATGCCTGTAATCCCAGCACTTTGGGAGGCCAAGACAGGCAGATCACAAGGTCAGGAGATCGAGACCATCCTGGCTAACACGGTGAAACCCCGTCTCTACTAAAAATAGAAAAATTCACCAGGCGTGGTGGCAGGCGCCTGTAGTCCCAGCTACTCGGGAGGCTGAGGCAGAAGAATGGTGTGAACCCGGCAGGCGGAGCTTGTTGTGAGCCGAGATCTTGCGCCCCTGCACTCCAGCCTGGGTGACAGAGCGAGACTCCGTCTCAAAAAAAAAAAAAAAAAATATATATGTGTATATATATATATATATATATATACATAAAACAACAACCCTCCCAATTTGTAACTAAATACAAGATGATCTTTAAAAGACAGGCTCTATTTTTAAAAGCCACAGTACATTAACACTACAAATATTTTCAAGAATTAGAAACATACATGTCTTAAGATTTTCCAAAAATCTCAGGATTTCTGGGGAATTTCCAACATTTGTAGGACATAAACTCTGTTGCCTCACAAAACTTGGATAATCAATAAAAATATGCTCTATAGTGAAAAGATATTTCAAGCAAAAATGATGTAAATAGGATTAGATGAGAAATTTGCAAGAAACGTGTATCTGAAAAAATTCTTGCCATGTTCAATAAGATTTGGCTTTATGTTCATCCTTATACACTAAACATTTTAAAAGATGGTACTTTAAACAAGTCTTGTGTCCTTTCTTGTTTATTTTCGTATCCCCCCAAAAACCATAAATACAACCATATGTCAGGGCAAAGCTGTATTGAGGGTTTGGACATAGTGCTCTTACTTTTATTTTTACCATTCATTTCTATGTATAGCAAGTAATATGTGTTTTTCATCAATGATCAAATTTTGTATATTTTTAGTTGCTTGTGGGCTAGAGGCTTAAGGAATAGAATACTTTTCCTTTCGTGTTTTTCAATGACCACAATGTCAAACATGAATTTAATGAAAGTCTATCCAGTGATATATATAGTTTTAATTTGAAATTTATGGATCTAGGAATTTTTGAGGCTGGCAGAAGCACAGGTAAGCAGAAACTGATTACTCAAGGAAATGTTTCTCATGTATTAACTATATGACCTTGAATAAGATGCATAACCTTTGATGCTCAGTCTCCAAACTATAAACAAAAATAAAAATTCATTCCTGCAAAGTTGTTGTGATGATTTAATGAGGTGTGTGTAAAGCGCATAGGACATGTGGTAAGTCCTTGATAAATGAGAGGCATTAGCTAATGGTTACAATTTATTTCAAGGGAAATGAACAAAGGGAAAAGTAGTGCTTCCAGGAAAAAAAAATCCAGTACACAGTCAAATTCTGAAAGTCAAAACGTTATGTCGGTGTTTTCTACTTCTGCAGAGTTTTAATAAGTAAAACAAGGATATGTCAATTTGTGTAATCACAAGACCACTGGAAAACAAGTCTTAGTGTCTTACACTACGTTAAATGTGATATGTGAGGGCTAGAAAATAACAGTGTAAATATAAAAAGTAAACAAGCTCAGAAGAGCTTCACTTTTTTTTTCAGAGACACAGTCTCATTCTGTCACCCAGGCTGGCATGCAGTGGCTCGAGACACAATCACAGTTCAAACTCCTGGGCTTAAGCCATCCTCCTGCCTCTTGAGTAGCTAAGACTACAGGTGCACATGCCTGGCTAATTTTTTTTGTTTTGTTTTGTTTTGTTTTTTTTAGAGACAGAATCTCGCTATGTTGCCCAGGTTGGTCTCAAACTCCTGGCCTCAAGAGATTCTCTTGCCTAGGCCTCCCTAAATTCTGGGATTGCAGGCGTCGGCTACCATGCCCAGCCAAGAACTTTAAATAAATTTAGTACCTACAACAGATAGGCAGGTATAGTAAGTCACCTTCAGAATTCTGAGAATTTGATGAGTAAAAAATCAACCTACAAAAAGGTTAGAATGTGTCCCCACCATAAAGTAGCTAGAAGTATTATTATTACTGTTATTAGAGACAGGGTCTTGCTATGCTGGAGTGTAGCAGTGGCTATTCACAGATGTAATCATAGTGCATTACAGCCTTGAACTCTTGGGGCTCAAGCTAACCTCCTGCCTTAGCCTCCTGAGTAGCTGAGTTTACAGGTGTGTGCCACTGCATCTGGCTAGAAGAAATATTATTAACAGATCAAGGAAAGGAATAGAGAAGGGAAATAAAATTAATTTTCATTAGAAATTTATAATGGCTTCCTTTGTCTTTATTTTATATATATATAAATATATGTATATATATAAAATATATATACATATATAAATACATATATATGTATTTATATATATTATATATATAAATATATATATTATATATAAATATATATTATATATAATATATATACATATATAATATATATAAATATATATAACATATATAAATATATATATTATATATATGTACATATATATTATATATAAATATATATAACATATATAAATATATATATTATATATATACATATATATAATATATATGTATATATATACACACACACACACATATATTTATTTATTTATTTATTTTTTTTTTTTTGAGATGGAGTCTCACTGTGTCGCCCAGGCTGGAGTGCAGTGGCATGATCTCGGCTCTCTGCAAGCTCTGTCTCCCGGGTTCACGCCTTTCTCCTGCCTCAGCCTCCTGAGTAGCTGGGACTACAGGCACCCGCCACCACGCCTGGCCAATTTTTTGTATTTTTAGTAGAGACGGGGTTTCACCATGTTAGCCAGGATGGTTTCGATCTCCTGACCTCATGATCTGCCCACCTCGGCCTCCCAAAGTGCTGGGATTACAGGTGTGAGCCACCACACCAGGCCCTTTTGTCTTTGTTGAAATGATGACTGTAATCCTTCAGTAGGCCTCAAAGCTATTACATTCTCTGGATCCTGGCTCTTGTTGCAGTCTCATCCATCATCATTCATAGTTTTCTGAGCTGTGGCTGTTGTAGAGGTTTTCCAGTATCTCCAAAGCTCTGAGTTTCTTCCTACCTGTGGTCTTTGCCCTCTGCCGAAATCACATTCCTCCCCATTCACCTAGGTAACTCCTGTTCTTCAATTCCCAGCTAAATCTTGCTTCCTCCTAGATCCTTTCTCTGATTCCCTGGGCTGCCCATTTTACGCTCCCATGGCATCTTGCTCTCTTCTTATCATTATGTGTACTGAATTGTTCAGTGTATTTTATTTACCTAGTATATCGTACTCACAATGAAAACAAAAGCCATTTCTGTCTTACTCTCTGCTGTGTCTCCAGAGTCTAACAGTTTGTGCAGTGTAGTACTAACAACAATACCTACCAATTGTCACCTGCTAATTAATAAATGCAGTTGAAGCAGGTAGAACTCTTTGTTTTTTTGTCAGATATATCTCTGTTAAGGAAATAGATAAATAGGTTGAAATTAGTCATTCACATCATCAAAATTCTTTTCCCTTTTTCTGTGCTTCCCAAACTACCTCATTAGTATGTTAGTATTTGCTTTTCTACACAACAACCCTGAGACATAAGTACTGGTATCTTCACTTGATGAGTAAACTGAGGGTAAGTAACTTACCCAAAGTGGTCCAGTCAAGGTCTGCATACTGTTAACTACTCTACTCTCAGCTAATAATGACCTTATTGTAGTAGGGACTAGGACAATTAAAGAATGTGAGGCTCTGGTTCAGTACTGACACCTATTTCTAATTATAAATGTATGCAGTGGTTTCCTAGTTTTCATATCTTACTCATATTTGGAGACAACATAAGACGTGCCTTCCAGAAATAGGCCTTTTCTTGGTAAACTGCCATTTCACCTGCAAAATTTGGACCCATACCCTGGCCTGCAGTGATTTTACTAAGATAGTGCCGGGGTGTAACACCCTGTTTGGATAGTCAAGGTGAGCTCTAAGGAATTACCCTACATTTAAATGGTGACAGTGGCTGCAAATTCTCTTTCCTTTTTTCCTTCCTCCCTTCCTTTTTATTTATTTATTTTTTTCTTTGAGACAGAGGCTTGCTGTTGCCAGGCTGGATTGCAATGGTGCTCTCGGCTCCCTGCAACCTCCGCCTCCCGGGTTCAAGCAATTCTCCTGCCTCAGCCTCCCGAGTAGCTGGGCGCACGTCACAACACCCAGCTAATTTTTAGTATTTTTACTTTCACCTGGTTGGCCAGGATGGTCTTGATCGCCTGACCTCGTGATCCGCCTGCCTTAGCCTCCCAAAGTGCTGGAATTACAGGTGTGGGCCACAGCGCCCGGCCCTCCCTTCTTTTTTATTCTTCCTTCCCTTCTTGCCCTCCCTCCCACTCTTCCTTTCTTTTCTTTTTCTTTTCCTTTTCCTCCCTTAGTTGTAAAAGAAATCCTCTTATCACAAAAATGCAAACAAAAGTAGAGGTATGTAAAAAGCAAAGGCCCCTTTCAATCCTCTTCCTAAAGGTAGCCAGATTATACATAGATATACCTATAGCTTGTAAGTCATTTTATTTATATTTATAATAATCTTTCATGTTAAAATATATGGACCTTACTGGCCAGGCGCGGTGTCTCCACCTATAATCCCAGCACTTTGGGAGGCCAAGGTGGGCGGATCACCTAAGGTCAGAGTTCGAGACCAGCCTGGCCAACATGGTGAAACCCTGTCTCTACTAAAAATACAAAATTAGTTGGGCATGGTGGCGCATGCCTATAATCCCAGCTACTTGGGAGGCTGAGGCAGGAGAATCGCTTGAACCCGGGAGGCGGAGGTTGCAGTGAGCCGAGATCACGCCATTGCACTCCAACCTCGGCAACAAAAGCAAAAACTTTTTCTCAAAAAAAAAAAAAAAAAAAAAATATATATATATATATATATATATATATGGACCTTACAAATGGGATCCCATTTGTAATCCCAGCACTTTGGGAAGCTGAGGTGAGAGGATTGCTTGAGCTCAGGAGTTCAAGACCAGCCTGGGCAACATAGTGAGATACTGTTTCTATAAATTTAAAAAATAAATTAATAAAAAAATTTTTAAAAACAAAAAATATATGGACCTACCTCATTTTTAATGGCTGCATAATATGCCACAGGGTGATTATTCTGTAGTAAACTTATTTATTTATTATTGGGCTTCTCAAGTTTTTCCTCCATTTGACATTATTACAAATAATACTGACAATACTTGCACATATCTCAGATATGTCACTGCACTCCATAAACAGCATGTGGCTATATAATATACTGATATTATGTTTGGCTCATGATAGAAAAAGTCATGAATATGATGGCAGTTATTTGTTCAGAATAATATGAAATTTTGTCTTTCATAATTTCTGAGAATTTTGTTAAGGGAAAAATAAGAGCTCAGTCAGAGACCTCTAATTCATCTGCCCTCAGCAATTCCTATTCACTTTCTGCCTAGCTACCTGCTTGATACAAAGAGCTGTAATTTTTTTCTTTTTTCTTTTTTTACTTGGAGTTTCACTCTTGTTGCCTAGGCTGGAGTGCAGTGGCGTGATCTTGGCTCACTGCAACCTCTGCCTCCCAGGTTCAAGCAATTGTCCTGCCTCAGCCTCCTGAGTAGCTGGGATTACAGGCATAGGCCACCATGCCTGGCTAATTTTGTATTTTTGGTACAGACAGGATTTCTCCATGTTGGTCAGGCTGGTCTCGAACTCCGGACCTCAGGTGATCCGCCCACCTCGGCCTCCCAAAATGCTGGGATTACAGGCGTGAGCCACCGTGCCCAGCCCAAAGGGCTGTAACTTAAGGACAAGATACATTTTAATATGACAAATTGTATTAGCATGAATATCAAGAAGCAGCTCAGATAGCCTAACTTCTATTTTATTCTATTTTATTCTTTTGTAAATAAATGAATCATTCAATTGTGAATGTAGCATATATATGTCAAATATAGCATATATATATCAAATATAACACACACACACACACACACACACACACACACATATATATATATATACTTTTTTTTTAAGACAAGGGTTTCATTCTATTGTCCAAGCAGAAGTGCAGTGGTGTGATTTCGGTTCACTACAGCCTCAGCCTCCTGGGCTCAAGCAATCCTCCCACTTTAGCCCCCGAGTAGCTGGGACTACAGGTGTGCACCACTTCACCCAGCCAATTTTTAAAGTCCTTTTAGAAACAGAGTCTCACTTTATTACCCAGGCTGGTTTCAAACTCCGTTGCTCAAGTGATCCTCCCACCTCAGCCTCCCATAGTGCTGGGATTACAGGTGTGAGCTATAATATAATGCTCAGCCAGCATATACCTTTTCTTTTTAAAAAATTTTCTTTTCTGGTGATGGGTGGGAGCAGAGAAGGGCAGGAGGGAGGAATTGCATGAGCATATAACTTTTCTAAATAATTTTAACTAAATGATAAAAGTAATAAATATCTATTATAGAAAACTTTAAAGAAACTTAAATGTTAACAAAAGACAAGAAGAAAACAATGTCCTTTAATCTGAACATCCAAAGGAGAGAATGACTATACAGTTTTTGTTTCAATATTCTTGAATCTATGAATTGTTTTGCCTTTAAATTGAAAATATTAGTGATAGTTTTAATATGAAAATCGACATCCTTCTTTTTTTTTAGACTTAACCTTTAACATAAGCATTTTTGCATTAACATGAGCTTTATTTATTTATTTATTTATTTATTTATTTATTTATTTATTTTTGAGACAGAGTTTTGCTCTATTTCCCAGGCTGGAGTGCAGTGTCACAGTCTTGGCTCACTGCAAACTTGGCCTCCCAGGTTCAAGCAATTCTCCTGCCTCAGCCTCCCGAAGAGCTGGGATTATAGGTGTGTGCCACCACGCCCAGCACATTTTTGTATTTTAGTAGAGATGGGGTTTTCCATGTTGGCCAAGCTGCTCTCGAATTCCTGACCTCAAGTGATCTGCCCACCTCCGCCTCCCAAAGTGCTGGAAATACAGGCATGAGCCACCATGCCTGGCCAACATAGCATTTTTTTTTTTTTTTTTTTTTTTTTTCTGAGACAGAGTCTCACTCTGTCACCCAGGCTAGAGTGCAGTGGTGCAATTTTGGCTTACTGCGACCTCCATGTCCTGGGTTCAACGGATTCTCCTGCCTCAGCCTGCTGAGTAGCTGGGATTACAGGCATGTGCCACCCACACCTGGCTAATTTTTGTATTTTTAGTAGAGATGGGGTTTCACCATGTTGTCCAGGCTGGTTTTGAACTCCTGGTCTCAAGTGATCTGCCCTCTTCGGCCGCCCAAAGTGCTGGGATTACAGGGATGAGCCACCACGCCCAGTCTTTTTTTTTTTTTTTTTTAGATGGAGTTTTGCTCTTGTTGCCCAGGCTGGAGTGCAATGGTGCGATCTCGGCTCACTGCAACCTCCGCCTTCTGGGTTCAAGCGATTCTCCTGTCTCAGCCTCCCGAGTTGCTGGGATTACAGGCATGCACCACCAAGCCTGGCTAATTTTATATTTTTATTAGAGACAAGGTTTCTCCATGTTGGTCAGGCTGGTCTTGAACTCCCGAACTCAGGCAATCTGCTTGCCTTGGCCTCCCAAAGTGCTGGGATTACAGGTGTGAGCCACTGCACCCGGCCAACATAAGCATTTTTCAAATGTCGTTTGGAACAACAAAGCAAGACCCTAACTCTACAGAAAATTTAAAAAAAAAAAAAAATTTAGGTGCAGTGACATGCCTCTAGTACCAGCTACTCAGGAGGCTGAGGCAGGAGGATCCCTTGAGCCCAGGTGTTCGAGGTTGCAATGACCTTTGAACATGCCATTGCACTCCAGCCAGGGTGACAGAGCAAGACCCCATCTCAAGAAAATAAATAAATAAATAAAAATGTCATTGGGCATTTGTGCCATTATTTATCCAATCATTCTATTGTTAAATATTTAGTTTCTTTTGAATTTTTTGCTATTATAGGTGACACTTGATGAACAACTTTGTTCATTTTTTTAATTTAATTTTTTTAGGTTAAATTCTAAGAATTAGAATCAAAGTTTTGAACAGTCTAAAGACTCTTTGAACCTAACAAGAATTATATTAGTACTTAAAAAAAAATTCCTGTTTTGTATGTGAAAACTCTCATATTTAAATTTACATTTAATTAATAGCTATATTAATAATATGTATGTAAACATGTATATGCTATTTTTCTCACTTAAAATGCCTATGATCATTGCCTCTTATTCTTTTGTGGTGGTGATGATTTTACGAGCTCTTTTATATAATAAAAACGTTAACTATGTTTTTTTTTTGCTATGACTCTTTTTCTAGCTTATTATGTGATTTTAAGTTTTAAAACATTTGCATTTTTGACATGAAATTTCTGTAGCCAAAATTCTTGATCTTTACTTTCAAAATTCCAAGGTTTCATCTTTCTTTCACCCAGGGATTTGATATTTAACCACAGTATTTTAGCTGTTCATTATATGCTTTTGTTTTTATTTCACATTTGACTTTTTGTTACCTTTGTGTCTTCAGAGTACAGTGTACGTTAAGACATATATCGATTTTCTTCTCAGTAGTTGACCAATTGCCTCAATACTCTTTTCTTTCCAACAACAGTTCTTTATTAAGATGGAAACTACCCTGGTTAGTCCTATGGTGAAATATTCTGCATACAAAGGATACTAATGGAATGATGAGTAACATATTTACCAAGTTGTCAGGCCCCAAGAGCAAGGGAAGGGTGAAGTCAGTGTGGTGTACATGAGGCAGATCCCTACCTGGGAAGGTGAAGAGGGGATTGGGCAGGGAGGTGAGTACAGCAGGCGCTCACAAAGCGGTCAGCTGTGGGATGGGAATGGTCAACTCTGAAGCTACGGGACTTGGAGAGAGCCTCAGCTGTTGGATGAAAGAGCGAAAACAGATGCAGTAGTTTTCAAACCAAGTTCCATGGAGGCATTTTAGGGGCTTTCCTGGGAAAGCATGAAGAGCTGGAAGAGGTTTATAGCCCTCTCCTCTCTTTCCACCAGAAATATAAATGCTTTTTCTTTCTGTTTCAACATGAGATTTTATTTGAAAAAATGATTTCAGTGTTTTTGTAATAACTTATTTATTGTAGACATTTTTAAGTACATGAAAATAGCAAGAATAATATAATAAATTCTCATTCTTCACCAATGATAATTTGCCTTCCTTATTTCATCTCTTTCCCTCTATTTTTCTTTTCTTTTTTATTTTATTTTATTATGATGGGTGGGCAAGTACAGCAGAGAAGGGGCTGTCTGCCTGTTTTTTCTTTATAACCTGAAACATCTAGTCATTTCACTTGTAAATAATCTAGTATGTTTCTTTGCCTGAGAAAGACATCTTGTTTTTAAAAATATAATTTTCATGCCTTTATCTCACCTAACAAAATTTACAATAATTATTATTAACAATAATTCCTAGCCCAGGCACATTGACTCATGCCTGTAATCCCAGCACTTTGGGAGGCCAAGATAACAGAGTAGCTTAAACCCAGGAATTCAAGATCAGCCTGGGCAACATAGCAAGACTCTGTCTCTCCGAAAAGTTAAAAAATTAGCTGGGCATGGTGACGAGTACCTATGGTCCCAGCTACTCAGGAGGCTAAGGTGGGGGATTGCTTGAGCCTGGGACGTTGAGGCTGCAGTGAGCTGTGATTGTGCAGCTGCACTCCAGCCTAGGCAATGAAGTTGGTTTGTTTTTGTTTTTAAAAATGTTTTGTTTTGTTTTTAAATAAAAACAAAAATAAACAATAATTCTTTACTATCACCTAAGTCCATATACAGATTTTTCTGATAGCTCAAGAGTATCTTTTTATAATGGATTTGTTTGTCTCTGAGACCAAACAAAGTCCATATGTTACATTTTGTTGTGTCTTTTAGTCCCTTCCAACCCTTTCTATGACATTGATTTTTTTAGCCAACGTGGTTTTTTGAATTGTCCATCTGTTCTCATTGATTTGTGATGCTTCCTATAGTATAATTTACATATAATAGAGTCAGTTCTGGTCCATCAAATCTGTTTCATTGAACTGTGTCTAGTATTATGTTATAATGGGCTCACAAAAGTTATTTTATTTTTAGTGGAGACGGGGGCAACAGAGCGAGACTCCATCTCAAAAAAAAAAAGTTATTTTAATTTCAGAGTAAGTTTCATTATCTAGAAGGGAAGAGGAGGTTTCAATATTTATTTATTATCTAGATAGCTTTATTATCTAGAAGGGCATTAATCTACCATTTTAACATCAGTTTTTAAAGATGTTCTTATTTGTTCTTCTAGATGCTACCTTAGGTTCTTTTAACTTTTTTTTTTTTTTTTTTTTTTTTGAGATGGAGTCTTACTCTGTCGCCCAGGCTAGAGTGCAGTGGCGCTATCTTGGCTCACTGCAACCTCCGCCCTCCGAGTTCAAGCGATTCTCCTGCCTCAGCCACCCGAGTAGCTGGGATTACAGGTGTCTGCCACTGTGCCCAGCTAATTTTTTGTGTTTTTTGTAGAGATGGGGTTTCACCATCTTGGCCAGGCTGGTCTTGAACTCCTGACCTCATGCTCCACCCGCCTCAGCCTCCCAAAGTGCTGGGATTACAGGCATGAGCCACCACGCCCAGCCTCAGGTTCTTTTAACTTTACAAGAGTAAAAATAATGTTTCTAAATCCAAATTTTGGGGTCACAGGCTCACATCAAACATAAAAGATTTAGGCAAACCAGTTATTTCTGGAGTAATGTACTATTTCCCTGCCTTCTCCACATCAAAATTTCTAAAAACAAATCTAGAAACCAAATCTACTCAATACTTCCACTTATGTCAAAAGTTAATTCAAGGAAAGAAATTACTTTATAGTAAACCACTGGGACATAATGCAAAATAAAATAAATACTGTGAAGGAGAATTGCACTTCTGTGATTTAAGCAACAGATGAGAACACTTTCCTCTGCTGGCTTTTGAATCGAATCCAGGGGAAAAGTGAGAAGATGTGAAGCTAGAGATAAAAATGCTTATGAAATCAAGGTAAGAGTTCAAAAACATATTATTGATTTAGAAACCTTGATCAAGAAGGAACAGAATAGGAAGGAAAGGTGAGGAGTTAAGCTTATGCACATTCATTCATGCCATAAAAAATTATTTCCTTTGAGATTAAGCCCCATTGCAGAAAGAACTTGAGATGACCAATTATTTTAGTTTCATGCTCTACCTTGACATGTTAAGTTCATGATTTATTGAAATTTGTACATACCGTGTGGATGAAATTTCTAGCTTTTGCAATTTGCTTAACTTGTTTATAGTAAGGGGTATAAGAGGTTTTGACATCTCAGGTTGTTTAGGGGTAACTGGTTGATTTCTCAACTCAGGGTAGGACACTGTGTATCAAGGTGAAAAGGAAATTAAAGACAAATTAGCTGGATTTTCTGGGGATACTGAAATGTGGGAGTCCAGGATATAGGCCTCAAAAAACACAACTAACAATCTTCTACTGGCAAACATCTTGCATGTTAGGTCAACTGAATAATGAAGACTAACATAGGACATCAGATCATTAGATACATTCAGGAGTTATTTTTTAATTTTTTAAAAATTTTTATTATTATTTAAAAATAATTTTTTGTAGAGAGGGGCTGTCACTATGTTGTCCAGGCTGGTCTGGGCCATCCTCCTTGGCCTCCCAAAGTGCTGAGATTGCAGGTGTGCACTACCATGCCTGGTTGGAGTTGTCTATGCAGCAAAGAGTGACAACTTGCTGGATAGGGTCATATTAGAAAAGGTAGCACCATCATTTTGCTCAGTTGCTGATAAAGGCTTGTGTTTTCTCACACTTTACAAAAGTATTGGCAGCTCTCAATTCACAAATGTGCTAATACAAATATCTTCTGCATGGTCTGATTGCACACCATCTCCTCAGGCCACCCATTGTCCTAGAACCAAACATCTGGAGCATGGTACCTCCTGACATCTTGGTGGAAAGTGGTGGTGGTGGTGGTTAGGCGCTGACTCTTTTCTATCAACTCTTTTTTTCCTCCTAATTTTACGTCTTGTATTCTCTTTTTAAAAATGCTGTTGATTTTTGTTCAGGCATAATTCCACTTTGCAATTTAACTATTGACCCTCTACTTAAGAATTGCCCCTGTACATTTGATAGATTGAGGTGCAGGTCCAGAAAGGGGTCACAATGTAAAAAGAACAAAGGAGCCTTCTGGAAAAGAAATTATTCTAAGGGTGCTAGCATAGCCCTGGAAATGTCAGGCTCTGTCAACTCCATGTTTCTGCATATGTTGTCCACACTGTCTACAACACATTTCTTCATGTAGGTAATCCTTTCTCATCTTTCAAGACTCACCTTGATCACACACCTTTTCTAGATCATTCCTGTCATCTACGCTATGTTTCTACAATCATCTGTAATTCTCTCTGCCATAGCATTTATTATACTATATTTCAATTAGTTTTTTCTTTTTCTTTCTTTTTTTTTTTTTCTTGAGACAGGGTCTCTCTCTGTGACCCAGACTGGAGTGCAGTGGTGGTGCGATCTCGGCTCACTGCAACCTCCACCTCCTGGGTTCAACTGATTCACCCACCTCAGCCTTCTGAGTAGCTGGGATTACAGGCGCCCGCCACCACAGGCTGGCTAGTTTTTTTGTGTGTGTTTTTAGTAGAGATGGGGTTTCACCATATTGGTCAGGCTGGTCTCGAACTCCCAACCTCAGGTGATCCACCCATCTCAGCCTCCCAAAGTGCTGGGATTACAAGCAAGAACCACCACGCTTGGCCTAATTTGTTATTTTTGTTCTCTACCTTCACTATTAGAATGTAAACTTCTTGAGGGCAGGAACTGAGTTATATTCACTACTGGTCAGCAGTACCTTCCATGATGTGGAGAACACATAATATCTTCTCAGAGTAAATGAATAGAGTTTGATTTAATGACATTATCTCAGCGAGAGAAGGAAGGGGCAGTGATTCAGACTACAGTGATGTGTCTGTCATACAGATGATCCTTGACCCAGTTTCTATGCATTTATGTCTTTATCCTAGAGAGAAGTTTTGGGGAATAGCAAAGGAGTATCTCACTGAAACTCCTATAAGAGGTTAGAAGCTCAAGGCAGCTCTGCTTTAAGATATACATCACTGAATGTGTATCTATAACCAAATGTGTACATTCTTTCCACTCTTCTGATAACCAGGAACAGCAGGAACAATTTCTAAGTATTAGAATCCTTGGCAACAGGTGACCAGAATGATCCAAACAGAAGAAATAAAAATTGTAGCCACCACCATAGTAATAGTCCCATGTTTCTGAGCACTTGGGAAACAAATATCAAGCATATTGTACCTATTTTCTATCATTGCTCCTGTTCTTTTTTTCTTGCACTCTTTTTCTGCCACCTCTGGCTTTAACTGAGTATTTTATGTAATTCAATTTTCTCTCTTCTCTTAGCATATCAATTATACTTCTTAAACAATTTTTAGTGGTTGCTTTAGAGTTTGCAATATACATTTACGACTAACCTAAATCCAACTTCAAATAACACTATAACAGTTGGGCATGGTGGCTCGTGCCTAAAATCCCAGTACTTTGGGAGGCCAAAGCAGGAATATTGCTTAAGGCCAGGAGTTCAAGACCTGCCTGGGCAAAACAGCCAGGTCCCACGTCTGCAAAAAGTAAAAAATAAATAAATAAAAATTAGCCAAGTGTGGTGGTGTGCACCTGTTGTCCTAGCTACTTCGGAGGTAGAGGTGGGAGGATTGCTTGAGCCCAGGAGTTCAAGGCTGCAGTGAGTCATGATCATGCCACTGCACTCCTAGCCTGGGCAACAGAGCAAGACCTTTGTTGCTAAAAAAAAAAAAAAAAAAAAAAAAATTAGATTTCCTTTCTCAAAAATTATTTTGCAATGATAATATGTTAACTCTATAATAAGAAAAATTGAGCCAGGCATGGTGGCTTATGCCTGTAATCCCAGCACTTTGGGAGATTGAGGAAGGCCAATTGTTTGAGCTTAGGAGTTTGAGACCGTTCTGGACAACATAGTGAGACCTCATTTCTATAAAAAATAAGCAAAAAAATTTAGTTGTATACAGTGGTGTACAACTTGGGAGGCTGAGGTGGGAGTTTCACTGGACCCAGGAGTTTAAGGCTTCAGTGAGCTGAGACTGTGCCACTGCACTCCAGCCAGGGCAACAGAGCGAGACCTTGTCTCAAAAAACAAAACAAAAAACAAGGAAAAGAGAAAAAATGTTAGTTTAAATTTTGTTAAATTTTATTTTCAAATAACTTGAAACCTTAGAAAAGTTGCAAGTATAAAGAATTTCAATATACCTCATATCCCAGTTCACCAGCTGTTAACATTTGCCATGTTTCTTTTATCATTTTCTCTGGAACACCAGGAAAAATTTATATACACACAAACACAAACACATTGTGTGGGTATTTTTTCTGAAACATGTGAGGGTAAGTTAATATCATGTCCTTTTACCACTTCATATTTAAAGTGGATTTGTTTGCTTATTTATTTGTTTATTTATTGAAAGAATACCACAGAAGTAAGGTGTCCTCTCACACTTTCTTGAGGAGTATACGGTATCAGCATAACTTATCACTGGGTGCTGTTAACCTTGATCGCTTGCTAAATATAGTGTCCGCCAGGTCTCTCTCTATTGTAAAGCTACTATTTTTTTCCTTTTCCATACTCTGTTCTTTGACACTGAATCACTAAGTCCAGCCCACACTCAAGGAGAGAAGGGATTAATTTCCATCTCCTGGTGGGAGAATAGCTGCATACATTATTTGGAATTCATCTATAAGAGGAGAATTGCCTATCATCTCATCTCCTTCATTTGTTAATTCAGTTATTTGTTTATATAAGTATGATTTCAGGATTTCAGGGCCGGGCATGGTGGCTCACACTTTGGGAGACTGAGGTGGACAGATCCCTTGAAGCCAGGAGTTTGCGACCAGCTTGGCCAACATGGTGAAACCCCATCTCTACTCAAAATACAAAAATTATCCAGGCAAGGTGGCCTGTGCCAGTAATCTCAATTACTCGGGAGGCTGAGGCATGAGAATCACTTGAACCTGGGAGGCAGATGTTGCAGTGAGTCAAGATCGAGCCACCACACTCTAGCCTGGGCGACAGAGTGAGACTCTGTCCAAACAAACAAAAAAAAAGAAAGTGTGCGCTCAGGTGTATTTTACATTTTGGAATCTAATCCAATACTATTTTATTTATGGTGTTACTCAAATCTTTTCAGCTTTGGCTAATAAGAGATCTTTCAGGTTGGCTACTGTATACCTTTGACATGTCCCTATGTTTTTGTTTTTTGTGTAATTGTACTAAAAAATGCTCCAGGTTCATCGTGTACTTTCTTTGCCCTGGTCCTAGAAAAGCATTTTTTTCTTTCTATTGAAAATAGCATTGGAAACCAAGATCTGGACGAAGGTGTACTTGTCGTTACTGGAATATCATTGACCCTAAGTAAACAGTACTAGGGAATATGTATGTGTCTATTAACCAATGAATATACATATATCTATAGTTATATCTATCTATCTACCTATCTATCGTCTATAAAACTAAATTTACATGGGTTCATACTGAGGTCTCCAACTCAACTCCCGGTACCACATGGTTCATTCTAGACTCCCGTCTTGATTGTAATTTCTCTGACAGTGAGAAACCTGGCTTCCATTATCTACCATTAATTTGCTTATGTGTTCATCTCTACTATAGATGTAAAGTACTTCAGAATTGTCAAACTATACTCCAGTAAGACACAAATTTACAAACTAGAGTATAATGTGAATGCACTTTTTTTTTAGTCTTCAGTCTTACAGCTTCCATCAAAATACTGTTTTATTTATTTATTTATTTATTTTATTTATTTATTTAAGACAGAGTCTCACTCTGTTGCCCAGGCTGGAGTGCAGTGGTGCAATTAGGCTCACTGCAACCTCTGCCTCCCAGGCTCAAGTGATTCTCCTGCCTCAGTCTCCTTAGTAGCTGGGATTACAGGCACATGCAACCACACCTGGCTGATTTTTGTATTTTTTAGTAGAAACGGGGTTTCACCATGTTGACCAGAGGCTGCCCTTGAACTCCCAACCTCAAGTGATCCTCCTGCCTCAGCCTCCCAAAGTGCTGAGATTATAGGCGTGAGCCACCACACCCAGCCAAAATACTGTTTTTTAAAGATCTTTAGGACAGCTTTTTTTTTTTCCACCTTACTTCAGAGACATTATGTCCTACATTTGTAATAGTTAGATTCATTTGTCACATCCTGAATTTTGATAATCAAATTGTCCCAGATTTGGCCTGTGGGAACCATTTCAGTCTTGCTCTTGTGTTCTTCGATATACCTCCATCACTTTCTGAGCACTTCTTTACTTTATGGCACCACAAGATGTTCAAGTTCATATTTAACCCTCTATCCCAGCCCTAGAATATGTCATTTCTTCAAGGAGCCCTGAAGGTGATACTACTTTTAGGACCTTTTATTGAATAGATGTAGAAAAGATGCCATGGATTGTGTACATGGGCTGTTTGTGTGTTGTGTGTGTGTGTGTCTAATAGTTATTTGAATTTAAAAGCATATTGAATTTAAAAGCATAAAAGGAGAACCACAAGAATTAGCTGCCAATGTGCTTGGAAATGTATCACCATCTCCTTCACAAACATTGCCTTTTTTATTGTTTTCTAAATAAATATGTTTTCCTTCATGAATCATGAGCTACTTTTCAATCTGTTATTAATTTTTTCTTTTCCATTCTTACCATGTTAAATTATTTGCTTTTCATTGCCAATTCTGACACAGTATTATTATCTGCCTTTTATTCTTCCTTAAAAATAAGTTCTTGGCTGTGTGTGGTGGCTCATGCCAGTAATCCCAGCACTTTGGGAGACTGAGGCAGGCAGATCACTTGAGCCCAGGAGTTCAAGACCACCCTGGGCAACATGGCAAAACCTCCTCTCTACAAAAAAATACAAAAATTAGCCAGGTGTGGGCCAGGCGCGGTGGCTCATGCCTGTAATCCCAGCACTTTGGGAGGCTAAGACAGGCGGATCACGAGGTCAGGAGATCGAGACCATCCTGGTTAACACGGCAAAACCCCGTCTCTACTAAAAGTACAAAAAAATTAGCTGGGCATAGTGGCATGCACCTGTAGTTCCAGATGCTGTGGAGGCTGAGGCAGGAGAATGGTGTGAACTCGGGAGGCAGAGCTTGCAGTGAGCCAAGATCGCACCACTGCGCTCCAGCCTGGGTGACAGAGCAAGACTCCATCTAAAAAAAAAAATTAGCCAGGTGTGGTGGTATGTACTGTAGTCCCAGCTACCATAGAGGCTGAGGTGGGAGGTTTGCTAGAGCCCGGGAGGTTGAGGCTCCGTGAGCCATGATCCAACCACTGCATGCCAGCTTGAGTGACGAGTAAGACCCCGTCTCAAAATAAATAAGTAAATACATAAATAAATAAATATAAGTTCTTACAGCATTGTATGGAAAACTGCATTCACTTAAAAAATGCTTAAAAATGAGATTTTGGAATTTGCATAATTTAGGGACTTTTATACACTGAATTACAAAATGTAAGACTTTAGTCCTCTTGAAAATTTTTATTTTATTTTTATTATATTATTTTTTTAAGACAGGGTTTCATTCTGTCACCCAGGCTGGCGTGCAATGGTGAGATCACAGCTCACTGAAGCCTCAATCTTCTGGGCTTAAGTGATCCTCTCATCTCAGCCTCCCAAATAGCTGGGACCACAGGCACACACCACCATACCCAGCTATTTTATTATTAGTAGTATTTGCAGAGATGGGGTCTGGCCATGTTGCCCAGGCTGATCTCAAACTCCTTGGGCTCAAACCAGCCTGGCCAACATGGTGAAACTCCATCTCTACTAAAAATACAAAAATTAGCCAGGTGTGGTGGCACGCACCTGTAATCCCAGCTACTTGGGAGGCTGAGGCAGGAGAATGGCATGAACTCAGGAGGCAGAGCTTGCAGTGAGCAGAGATCGCGACACTGCACTCTAGCCTAACAGTGCGAGACTCTGTCTCAAAAAAAAAAAAGAATTAAATTTTAATTAAATAAATTTTAAAATTAATATTTACAGAAAATGTTAAATATTACCTCAAATAGATATTCTAATTTTGTAATTGGAGGTTTTCAGACAATTTTAGTCCTCTATATCACGTTCAAATTGGTCTCATCAGTGACCTTCCTCCAAAGTAGATACATGATTTGCAAATGATAAATAGAAGATTTAGGAGAAGGGAGAAAAATGTTTTCATGCTCATTTCTTATCTTTTTGTTTTTGGGTTTTTTGTTTTTGATTTTTGATACAGGGTCTCGCTCTGTCACACAAGCTGGAGTGCAGTGGTGAGATCATGGCTCACTGCAGGCTTGACCTCCCAGGCTCAAACAATCCTCCAGCCTCAGCTTCCCCAAGTAGCTGGGACTACAGCCACACACCACTATGCCTGGCTAATTTTTGTGCTTTTGGTAGGACGTGGTTTCACCACGTTGCCCAGGCTGGTCTCAAACCCCTGGGCTCAAGCAATGCTTCCCAGCTCGGCCTCCCAAAGTGTTGGGATTACAAGCATGAGCCGCCTCACCTGGACACTTTTTATCTTATAGTCATTTGAATTAGGCAATTGGTTATATTTTGAAAACTCAGTACAATTCTTGGAGAGTTGTCTGGGGTAAATTTTTTCACTGTCACTTTGAAAACTAAAGATAAATTTTAACATCATAACCTCATCATCTCACAGCTTAATAAATATTTAAACTTTACTCTGTTTAATAACATTGATAATTAGACCATTATTAATTAAATTTTAAATATACCTGTAAAATGAAATTAAAACAATAATTAAAAATCTGGAAATATTTTTTATGTCAAAGAATCTAGGTTGGACACTAACATAATGTAAACACTTGTACAAGTATCTGGTGACTGTAATTTCTCAGTTATTTTGAACAAAGTAAAAATTTGGGATATTAAAATTGATTTGTGATGATTATAGATTTAATAATCAGTGTTACAACTAGATAACCATAAACAACCTTATTATATAATTAGTGTTTAAAATTTTTTTTTTTAATTTTCATTGTAACTATAATGAATCTGATTTGAAGGAGAAGGTTCATTAAATTGTTTGGAAATTTGCAATTGCTCTTTAAACATTCATTTTCCTTGATCGCTAATTTTATGTAAGAAACATTCATCACTGAGTTGTAAAATCAACCACAGTAAATAAATACCAACTGCTTACAAGACTTAAGACCATTTATAATTACAAGTTGAGCATCCCAAATCTGAAAATTCAAAATGTAAAATGTTCCAAGATCAGAAACATTTTTGTTATTTTGTTTTGTTTTTGAGACGGAGTCTTGCTCTTGTCGCCCAGGCTGGAGTGCAATGGCGTGATCTCAGCTCACTGCAACCTCCGCCTCCCAGGTTCAAGCAATTCTCCTGCCTCAGCCTCCCGAGTAGCTGGGATTACAGACACGCGCCACTACGCCCGGCTAACTTTTGTATTTTTAGTAGAGACGGGGTTTCACCATGTTGGCCAGGCTGGTATCAAGTTCTGACCTCATGATCCACCCGCCTCGGCTTCCCAAAATGCTGGGATTACAGGCGTGAGCCACCGTGCACAGCCTCAAAATTGGAAACTTTAAAATATAACACATTTAATGTACTAGTCTTTTAGATGCGTGACCTGTGTGTTACAACTGAGTCTTTAATCTTGGAGCTTCATCAACTTAACTGGTTTGCTTTCATGACCCTCCCTCAGTCCTTTCTGCAGAGGTTCAAGAGGAAGACCTTTTGAGAAGTATGCAAGTTTTTTTTAATATATGTATGAAAACTTTATTCACTCTGTTAACTTTTTCATCATTCACAATGTTTATCTTTTTAAGAATAGTGGTAACTGGGCTGGGCACGGTGGCTCAAGCCTGTAATCTCAGCACTTTGGGAGGCCCAGGTGGGTGGATCAGGAGGTCAGGAGTTTGAGACCAGCCTGACCAACATGGTGAAACCCCATCTCTACTAAAAAAATACAAAAATTAGCTGGGCACAGTGGTGCGTGCCTGTAGTCCCAGCTACTCGGGAGGCTGAGGCAGTAGAATCGCTTGAACCCGGGAAGTGGAGGTTGCAGTGAGCCGAGATCGTGCCACTGCACTCCAGTCTGGGCAACACAGTGAGACTCCGTCTCAAAAAAAAAAAAAAAATTAGTGGTAACTGGTTTTATTTTCTTTTTAGCCTTAAAGATTTTTTGGCTGGCAATGCGAATACATTCCTATACTTCTGCCCACTTAATTTGTTCTTGGCCATTGTCTTTGATACTCATGTGTAGCCACTCAAGCTCCAGGTGACACCATCTACACACACTGGAAATATGAAATTTTTTGAGGCCCAACATGTTGTTCAAAGGAAATGCTCACTGCAGCATTTTGAATTTTAATTTTCAGATTAGGGATGCTGAACCGATAAGCATAATATGAATATTCCAAAATCTGCCCAAACACTTCTGGTCCAAAGTATTTCAGATAAGGGATACTGAACCTGTATAAGCTGTTCATCTAAGCTATATTAGATATGTCTTCTTATCAAATTGTTCCATTAAACTATAATAAAGATAAATCAATGGCATACTATGAATTTCCTCAGGCTTATTTGATCTTCTTTTAAGCAAAGGTTGCAATTTTTATTCTGTACAATATAAAACCATATTACAGGCCAGTCACAGTGGCTTGCACCTGTAATCCCAGCACTTTGGGAGGCCCAGGTGGGCAGATCACCTGAGGTAAGGAGTTCAAGACCAGTTTGACCAACATGGTGAAACCCCATCTCTACTAAAAATAGAAAAATTAACCGGGCATGGTGACGGGCGCCTATAATCCCAGCTACTCAGGGGGCTCAGGCATGAGAATTGCTTGAACCCAGGAGGCGGAGGTTGCAGTGAGCTGAGATTGCCCCATTGCACTCCAGCCTGGGCGACAGAGAGAGATTACCTCTCAAAATAAATAAGTAAATGAATAAATAGATAAATAAATCCATATACATAGATTTGATGTATAGGTTCTACATTTTTTACTTTTGGAAAAAATATGTAGGGAAAAAGTTTACAAATCTCTCATTCTCTGCTATAAAAAGTTATAAATGAAACCAACAATTATTTGTGCAGTTATCAGTTCTGAATACAATATGAATTATACCTAGAAATTAGAATTTATCTAGATGCCTCTGCCTGCTTGTGAAGAACACAAAATTATATCACAGAACACTCTGGCTTCTATAATTTGGGGCAATTTTGAAAAGCAGACTTCTTCCTAATGTAAGGAAAGAATAATTTTTCCATAAGTCACCCAGCATAAAAAAAGTTCATGGTCTGATTTATCTTTTTTAAAAGGCGAAGTGATTCACTATTATATTTGCATGGATTATTTTGATCCTTACTAGTCCCTAATTGTGAAATCAATTTAGCATGTGTTATATCTGTTTGGGTTTTCCCAGCAAGAGACTGATATAAAATGTAGCAAATTGGCTGAAGTACATGGGCTAAAGTAAAATGAATTGAATAATTAAATATAAAATGTTTACCAACTTTATTCTTCCTAATTTTACAACTGTCTTGTATATTGAGATTAACTGTTTCTTGAGTCTATGAACACAACTGAATCTGATATTTTAACACCCTGCAGTGCCACTGCTTGTTTGATGTTTCATTTTGCAATGCATATGGTCATTTTGCCCAACTTCAATTCTTCTCCAGACTTCATTATCATAAAAATCTTATCATCAGCCGGGTGTGGTGGCTCACGCCTGTAATCCCAACACTTTGGGAGGCTGAGGTGGGTGGATCACCTGAGGTTAGGAGTTTGAGACCAGCCTGGACAACATGGCGAAACCGGCCTGTATTAAAAATACAAAAATTAGCCAGGTGTGGTGGCATGCGCCTGTAATTCTAGCTATTCAGGAGGCTGAGGCAATGGAATCACTTGAACCTGGGAGGCGGAGTTTGCGGTGAGCGGAGATCGTGCCATTACACTCCAGCCTGGGTGACAGAACAGGACTCTGTCTCAAAAAACAAAAAAACAAAACAAAAAAAAACTTTATCATCTTTAGCAAGTTAAATACATACTTGCTTTTGAGACTAGACAGAATTTTTTAAATTTTCATTTACAATCATTAACATTGCCTGTGATGAACCATCCTTAGCATCTTGGAAGCTTTCAGATATAAAAATGTTATAAGCTGAGCAAAGTCTTTTCAGTTTTTCAAGCATTATTAATGCTTTCTTTTTAAAAATTAATAGTTTTTTCTTTTTTTTATTTTGAGACAGAGTCTCGCTCTGTCACCCAGGCTGGAGTGCAGTGGCTCGATCTCGGCTCACTGCAAACTCCGCCTCCCGGGTTCATGCCATTCTCCCACCTCGGCCTCCCGAGTAGATGGGACTACAGGCGCCCGCCACCACACCCGGCTAATTATTGTATTTTTTTAGTAGAGACAAGGCTTCACCATGTTAACCAGGATGGTCTTGATCTCCTGACCTCGTGATCTGCCTGCCTCGGCCTCCCAAAGTGCGGAGATTACAGGCGTGAGCCACCTCGCCAGGCCAAAATTAACAGTTTTTAAAAGTTTTTGCATTATTTCTTTTTCTAAAGTTATGATATGGCTTGGAGATAGCTGTTCATGAATTCTGCTCCCTTTAAGCACCTTCATAAATCTGGATTTTTAAGCTTTATTTATTTATTTATTTTAAAAGTACATCCACAGAGTGATATAGATATTGAGCTTTAAATATGGGTAGCTGTGGGGTTTTTTTATTTTTATTTTTATTTATTTTATTTATTTTGGGAAGGAGTCTGGCTCTGTTGCCCAGGCTGGAGTGCAGTGGCACGATCTTGGCTCATTGCAACCTCCGCCTCCTGGTTCAAACGATTCTCCTGCCTCAGCCTCCGGAGTAGGTGGGATTACAGGCGGCCGCCACCACGCCCGGTTTTTGTATTTTATTAGAGACGGAGTTTCACCTTGTTAGCCAGGCTGATCTGGAACTCCTGACCTCAAGTGATCTGCCCGCCTCGGCCTCCCAAAGTGCTGGAATTACAGGCATGAGTCACCACGCTCGGCCTTGTTTTTGTTTTGAAAATCAAAGATATGAAGTCAAAGGCTTCTTTGGATAATTAGCCAAGATGGATGAAAACTATGTGGGCATATACATCAAACAGGGGAAACTGCAGTCGCTTTCCACAGCAGGCGCTGAGCTCCACTCCTGACTTTTCCTGGGCACTCACTGACATTTGCACATCCTGAGAAGCCACTACCGCACCTGCAGACGATGCAGTGGCCCGCCCCAGTCTCTTAGAGTCCCCCCAGCAGTAAAACAATCCCAATGACGATACTTCCCACTTGAGTGTGTGACCCTCCTAACACTCACTCCGCCTCTCTGTTTTCGTTTTGTTTTTAAAGATCCCTTTTAGAAAATATCACACGATTTTGTTTTACAGTTGAGTAATGCGTAAAAAAGACATCAAGTTTTTAAATTTCTATGCAAATATTTGTAATGTTAATATTTTAATAGAATGTCTGCAGTGTCTTCAACCTCTTCTTTTCTTAGGCACTTTGCATTCAGCGTTCAAACATGCCGACTTCCTCCTGCGGAAACACCAAACGAAAGGGAACTTCTCCCACCTCAGCCTCCGTCCAGTAACAACCGGGCTATCCTTTCCCTCCGGTTCACCGCCAAACTTCTTGAAAGATTCTCATCTATACTTTGTTTAAACAAGGCCAACTTACCTTTTCACACGCTGAAATCGTGCTTCTGCTGAGTGTTCAAGAGGAACTATTCTCACCGTGGTCACCAGCGACTCATGAATTGTCAAAACTGAGGGACAGGCCGGGATCACATCTGTAATCCCGGCACATTGGGAGACCAAGGTGGGCGGATCACTTGAGGTCAGGAGTTCAAGACCAGCCTGGGCAGCATGGCAAAACCCCGTCTCTACTAAAAATACAAAAATTAGCTTGGTGTGCTGGCACAAACCTGTAATCCAGGTACTCCAGAAGCTGAGGTGGGAGGATTGCTTGAACCCAGGAGGCAAAGGTAGCAGTGAGTCGAGACTGTACCACTACACTCCAGCCTGGGTGACTGAGTGACAGCTTGTCTCAAAAAAACACAAAGAAAAACAAAACAAAAAAATACTGAGGGGCAGTTTCTGTCCTTGCCTGATCCTTGGGAAGCATGTGTCAGCATAAACAGTTCCCTCCTTTGGGCCCAGAACTGTCTCCTGGAAAATACATGAATATCTCACAGGAATGCGAAACATAACATGTTCAGGATAAAACTAACCATATTCCCCCCAAATCTGCTTCTTAGCAGGGGTCCTGTAGGAATGGCCCCACTATCTACTTAATGAGTGAGTACAATTTTAGCCATTAATATTTGCCTTGTCATTACTTCGTAACATGTAGATGTACAGTTTTGAGGATACAAATATATTTTGTGGAGTAGAAGTAAAAAATAGCATATTTTTATTAATTAAATGAGACAAAATTTATACCTTTTTTTCCAATCAAATTCTACTCAAAAGGTTAATGTATGACCAAAAATAAAGTTTGTAAGTGGTACCTGGAAAAAATGTGTGCTACTCCAAACATGTGGAAATTAGAGAAATAAGATGGACCCTGAAAGAAAAACTAGTAAAATCCACAATATTGAATGAGATTAGTTATCTGTGGGAGTAACCCAAACACAGCTTAAATTCCTAATTAAGGAAGTTGGAAATGCCCAAAACTCTACCAAAGCATTCTGAGTGTCTCACTGGAATATTTATTAAATTCAAACCTAACAGATTGTAAAATGTAGAGAAAGGATCAAACTGAAAAGAGATATTTAGCTAGAAAACAGAAAACTAAATTGCAATGAGTCAGGTATTGACATGTATATCTGTGAAGGTCTTGAGGCAGGTGTCTCATCCCTTTGGTGCAAATGTAGGCTTCAGACTCTTGGAACCTGGTGTCGTTAAATATTTCAATCATATAATTGACTTCCCATTTATGTTCCATAGTCTAATCATAAACTAAATTTCGATGGAGACCAGCCTACATGAAGAGTATAGCTATGCCACATGAATTTACTGTTTCCAAAATATAAATAAATACACCAATACATTGGCCTTGAAGTTATAGCTCAGTCTCTTTGAGGTACCTTAACCTGAATATAGTCATCCATGACTTCTGAATTTCCAATTCATCTATAACTTCTAAGATTTGACTCTAGAATATGAAGGTCTAATTGATGTACTGCTACTCCTTTGTAGAGAGATTTCTTTTACTTAGAAATCCTTATATTTTTGTGTCATTGATAAACTTTCAACCAGTGTTTTGCTGGCAACTCTGGAAATAAATGTTTGCAATTACATATTACTGAATTGATTTTTTCTTTGCCATTTCTATAAAAACAGCACCTTTCATGTTTAACTTCTATTAGTATTAAAGCTTAAAATACTCTTACTATATCAGGATAGTAACTGTATTTATGCTTTTAGCATTATTACTCATCTGGTAACTATGCCAATTCATCTCGCCCTACCATTGTGCTTCACCGGGATGATCTCATTCCATTCCAACATTCAACATGAATTTCAGGATGAGAATGAAGCCCAAACATGATTTCAAACACACCCTTCTGTCTGATTCTAGTCTCTTGACTCTTTTTGACATTTCTTCTTATATTTTTTATTATTGATTTTTCAAAACTGGAAGATTTAAATTTTTCTTCTTAAATATATTAACCTTTAATAATCACAACTATCAAAGCCATAAACAAAAATCACTGTTTTTATTTTTTCATTTATTAATTTTTCTATTTTTTTGAGATAATCTTACTCTATGAGTCAGGCTGAAGTACAATGGCGTAATCTGGGCTCACGGCAACCTCCGCCTCCCAGGCTCAAGCAATTCTCCTGCCTCAGCCTCCTAAGTAGCTGGGATTACAGGTGCCTGCCACCATGCTCAGCTAATTTTTGTTTTTTTAGTAGACACAGGGGTTCACCATGTTGGCCAGCCTGGTCTCGAACTCCTGACCTCAAGTGATCTGCCTGCCTCAGCCTCCCAAAGTACTGAGATTACAGGCATGAGCCACTGTGCCTGGATTCATTCTTCCTTTTTATATTCCCAACTGTCAACACACCTGTCAGTTTGAACTCCTTTTTTTCAAACTATGTTCCCTCTCCTAGTGATGTATGCAGTATTAATTAATTTTTTCCTAAATTTTTTTTGGTTGCCTTTTCTTCTAAGTCATTTCCAATATTCAACAAGAAGAATATTATCCTGGTTGCTGAAGATGCAGTTTCCAATTTGTTCTTTGACACATAAAGACAGTTTTGTTCTCTGTAAGTTAGTAGATTAAATTGAGAACAAGCAGTCTGTGTTTTAAGTTTTCAGTGCCCAGTACTTTAAAACAAAGTGGGACCCAATGGTAGATATCAATCATATAATAATGAGCCCCACAACAAAATATATCTTTATTTTTCTTTACATTTAATAATTTTAAAACAGTATGGGTGTATGCAGGGTAGTCTCATGAAGATAAGACCTATGAAACCCCTTGAAAGGCTGAAAGTATTGCCCTATTTGTGTTTCTTGTTATTTGTGCATTCATTTTCGTGTTCTCTAGCAATAGCTCATCTCCTATTTTTTCCATCATGCTTTTAAAAGGGCCAGAATTTGGATCACTATTTAAGTAATCCAAAGGACAATATATTACCATATAATGTAGAATTTTGTGTGTGTGATTTCGTAAGAAAGATATTTGAAAAAAAATTGTTTTGTCTGCCTTTTACTTCCTGCCATGTCTTCCCATAGACCAAAATCGTAGTAGGTATTGATAATATATTTTGATTTTTTGTTCTGTGCCATGCACTGTTCTAAGAGTGTGTGTGTATATATATACATAATTTTACACATTTAATCTCAAAACAACCACAATCCTTATTCTCATATTTTTCAGGGAAAAAAGGGTCAGAAATTTTCTTTGTTGAGCATCATACAAAGCCATTTCTTTTTATGTGACATAGTACATTTTTTTTTTATTATACTTTAAGTTCTTGGATACATGTGCAGAACATGCAGGTTTATTACATAGGTATACACATGCCATGGTGGTTTGCTGTGCCCATCAACCCTTCATCTACATTAAGTATTTCTCCTAATGCTATCCCTCCCAAACCCCCCCTCCGACAGGCCCCAGTGTGTGGTGTTCCCCTCGCTGTGTCCATGTGTTCTTATTGTTCAGTTCCCACTTAATGCGTGAGAACATGCAGTGACAAAGCCATTTTTTCACTCCTGCCTTTTGTATGCTAGAGGTTCCATACTTCTATAGCACATATAGTGTATAGAACTTCTAGCATCCTTGTTAAATTATCCTCCTAATTTGGTTGCCCTTACCTGCTCTAACATTCTTTTTTCTTTGTCTTTTTTGTTTGTTTGTTTGTTTTTGTTTTTGTTTGTTTGTTTTTGCAGAGTCTCATTCTGTTGCCTAGGCTGGAGTGCAATGGCGCAATCTTGGCTCACTGCAATCTCCGTCTCCTGGGTTCAAGCGATTCTCTTGCCTCAGACTCCCAAGTAGCTGGGATTACAGCCACCTGCCACCATGCCCAGCTAATTTTTTTTTTTTTTGGATTTTTAGTACACACAGGGTTACACCATGTTGGCCAGCCTGGTCACGGACTCCTGACCTCAGGTGATCCACCCCCGTCAGCCTCTCAAAGTGCTGGGATTACAGGCATGAGCCACCATGCCCAACCTTCTAAACCTAATTAATTAGGATTTTTGCTATCTTTGTAAGTCATTTCTGGGGCTACTACCAGATATGAAAATACGATGTGAAATACTTTTAACATCTACTGACATGTTTATACACTAGCCAAGAAATGGCAGTGCACTGACATGGCGTCTTTATTCTATTGAGAAGATAGATATTTTATTTGCTCACTACAATTCCTCATTGAGTGGTCAAACACTTATTAATATAGAGATGATGTAGGTTGAGATTAAGTTTAATTATTTTTTGTTTCTGAATAATTTTATACTGTTCACAGCAGCATACCTTTATTAGTCCATATCTTCTGTTCTAAAATAGTATCATAACTAATTTTCATTTATCTACCCAGTTTTCTTGAGATACGGATAATATATGATGTGGCATATATAATCTATTTTAATAACCTAAAACTGGAATATTTTATGTTTTTTTACTACTTTTACAAAACTAAATAATAGGCGGAATAAGAGTCATTGCAAAATCTAGAATATTTTGGTAAATTTTTATCACATCTTCTTTTCTGCTGTCCCATTTCACTTCAGTTGCTTGGGTTCATTTTAATTCTACATGATTACTAATTACAATAATTGATTATTATACATACATATATAGTTTTTAAGACAGCAATTTAATACATTTCAGAAGAATTTTCATAGTCCCCTGGCTAACCAATTCTCTCTCCAGAATAAAATCCTGGCTCATTCTCTAATTTTTACAATGAAGTAATTTCTGTTTGGAAGTTAATTGTGGGAATAAGGGGAGGATTGATGTTGACCTCTTTGAGAAGCAATCGTCTATGATTAGAAGAACCTAGGGAAAAGCGGTGGTGGGGGAGATAAGTGTCTCTATTGAGAAAGTGTTAATTATGTTAATTAACACTGAGGCAACCTGGTTAGTTTTCATAAAGGAAGATTTTTATAATGAGGTAGGTGCTTAATCTTGTCAGAGAGAGTGGGTGTAGTCAGGTTTGGTCTTGTCTCAAAATCTGGAAGAGAGCACACTGTGTTTGGTAGATGTGAGTCAATCAGAGGATTACTTGCGATAGCTCTTCAATGACATTCTTGCATTGTCAGATTTGTTTACACAACTCCTCCTAGAGCCTCTGAGGGGATTAAATGATGATAAACAGCCTTTTATTTTCTTCAATTTAAGTCTTTAAAAAGTCTGTCCATTGCTCCGGGTCAATAAAAGGAGTATGTTTTGAACCAGTAGCTGTGTGAACTTTTTTTGCAGTAGATAGCAGTAGGAAAAAGTGAAGACTTTTTGCTTGTAAAAACATTTACTGTCTCCTAGCAATCTGCAGTGATGCTATGCAAGTCTGACAATAGATTAATGTTTTCCAATGTCATAAAACTTTACAGTAATACAGGAAGATTACTTAACTGTTTGCCTCAGAAGTTGATGCTCTGATTCTGGAGTCTCAGAAACTCTTGACTACAAACTAACATCATAGAATTATCAATTATTAACAGCAACAGAGATTTAAAGCCATAGTTGTTTTGTCCAAACTTATATTTTTCATACAAGAAAACAGATTCTTATTTATTTTTCACCATTCTTATTTATGTATTTATAGGTGTGTATGTATGTATTTATTTATTTTTCAGAGACACAGTTTCGCTATGTTGCCAAGCTGGCCTCGAACTCCTGGTCTCAAGTGATCCTCCTGCCTCAGCCTTTCATGTAGCTGGGACTGTAGGCTTGTGTCACTGTGCCCAGCTTCACCATTCTCATTTAAACTCCACTGCTTTTTTCGCCATGGTATATTATCTCACCTGAAATGTGTAGGGCTGAGGCTGACTTGGATGATAGGGTGAAGAAAATAAGAACTATAGAGTATCTGAGAAATAACTTGTTTTGCTTTTTTGTTTGTTTGTTTGTTTGAGATGGAGTCTCACTGTGTCACCCAGGCTGGAGTGCAGTGGCACGATCTCGGCTCACTGCAGCCTCTGCCTCCTAGGTTCAAGCAATTCTCCTGTCTCAACCTCCCAAGTAGCTGGGATCACAGGCATGTGCCACCACACCCAGCTAACTTTTGTATTTTCAGTAGAGACGGGGTTTTGCCAAGTTGGCCAGGCTGGTCTTGAACTCCTGACCTCAAGCAATCTGCCCACCTCAGCCTCCCAAAGTGCTGGGATTATAGGCATGAGCCACCATGTGCAGCCAGTATTTTTTTTTTTTTTTTTTTTTTTGAGACAGAGTCTCGCTCTGTCGCCCAGGCCGGAGTGCAGTGGTGTGATCTCGGCTCACTGCAGCCTCCGCCTCCCAGGTTCAAGTGATTCTCCTGCCTCAGCCTCCTGAGTAGTTGGGACTACAGTCGCGTGCCACCACGCCCAGCTATTTTTTGTATTTTTAGTGGAGATGGGGTTTCACCATTTTGGCCAGGATGGTCTCGATCTCTTGACATCTTGATCCGCCCGCCTCAGCCTCCCAAAGTGCTGGGATTACAGGCGTGAGCCACAGTGCCCGGCCGAAGCCAGTATTTTTAAGTCATATAAAATGGCATCTGGCAGGACGTGGTGGCTCATGCCTGTAATCTCAGCACTTTGGGAGGCCAAGGCAGGTGGATCACTTGAGGTCAGGAGTTCGAGACCAGCCTGGCCAACATGGTGAAACCCCATCTCTACTAAAAATAAAAAAACAAAAATCAAAAAATATTAGCTAGCCTTGTGGTGTGCACCTGTAATCCCAGCTACTCAGGAGGCTGAGGCAGGAGAATCACTTGAACCTGGGAGGTGGAGGTTGCAGTAAGCCGAGATTGTGCCACTGCACTCCAGCCTGGGTGACAAAGCAACAGTCCATCTCAAAAAAATTAAAATTAAAAATAAATAAATAAATAAATAAATTGGAATCTAACAATGTATATTCAGTACAGATGTGCTATTCTAATAAAATTACCTGCTTCTCAACTAGAATTAGACATGGTCAACATACAGATGCCACAGCTGCTGGGTGTCTGCAACTAAATAGTTTGTAAACAAAAAGAGCGGGTAAGACCAGAATGGAAAAACTCTGGCCTACAGGATCCAGGAATCAGGAAAGGGCCAGGTAGCAACTGCATTGAATTGGAGAGCAAATCATCATCTAGCAAAGGGACAGTACATACTCAGCTCCAGCTGATATAATGCAAGAATGTGAGACCAATCTTGCCAGATCTTTGTCTTTTTCAAAAAAAAAATTGATATCTGGGTGCTTTTTAAAAACAGTATGTGTACTAGATAAAATCAGCCTACAAGTGGGTTGCTAGGCCCAGCAAAGAAAAACACACAATTCCCAGTTAAATGTTAATTTGTTTATCTGTATTTTACCTAACAAAGCTAACTACAGCTACCCATCAGTTTGCAGACTCTAGTTTAAGAAAACAGAAGGTGGCCAGGCGCGGTGGCTCATGCCTGTAATCCCAGCACTTTGGGAAGCTGAGGCGGGTGGATCACGAGGTCAAGAGATCAAGACCATCCTGGCCAACAGGGTGAAACCCCATCTCTACTAAAAAATACAAAAATTAGCTGGACATGGTGGCGTGTGCCTGTAGTTCCAGATACTTGGGAGGCTGAGGCAGGAGAATCGCTTGAACCCGAGAGGCGGAGGTTGCAGTAAGCCGAGATTGCGCCGCTGCATTCCAGCCTGGTGACAAAGGGAGACTCCATCTCAAAAAAAAAAGAAAACAAAAGGTATGTTGACTCTTGTGGTCTGTCTCTGTCTCTATCTCTGAGGCTTGCCAATGACCTTGACTTAGTTTTAGAAGTGGCTGCCCTCCTTTTACACAACAGTAAATTATTTCATTATATTTTTGAATTGACAAATTTTACAGTAATATATAGGAACAAAATATATGCGTTCCTTTCAGTTACCTGAAGAATATATATCAAAATTGAATAGAGACAATTTTATTGTTAGCTTCTAGTAAAGGGTAATGTTTTCAGTGAAATAAATATTTATATGAAAGTTTCCTGGGAAGAAAAAAATTCCTATGTATTATTACAGGCAAACATAATAATAGAGTTAGAATGCTCAGTCTCCTTGAAGCTTTGCTCCTGTCTGTTCGTAAAATCAGATAGGCTGACAACAAGCTGCAACACATCCACCAAAGTTATAATTAACATTAACTTGAGAAAGAGTCCTACCTCCGCTTCATGTTAAATTCCGTTTGATCTTAATTGAAAGGAGGCACAGAGTTACAGGAAACAGACCCCTGCATTGAAAATGCTATGGTAATATGTTTAGAATTTCCCAAGGAACAGAAGATCTTTAGAGCACAGACATTTGGAAGCAGAGAAATTAAGCCCTTAACACCTCACAGCAGCAAAACTCTTCTATCATGCTTTGAAGGCCTTCGTTTTGGGATTTATTTTCGCCTTATCTAGGACAGGTCTAGAAACTGAATTTCGCTTTTGAAGCTTGTAATTCTTTATAGCACTTTGTCAATTTGTTTTCAATTACCTTCCTTCTAATGCTTACTTACCTCGCATAGGCTACCCATCTCTTTGGCTTTTTCTTTATAGTTAAGATTTTTCAGAGAAAGTAGTGAAATAGAAACAGGCAAAATAAAGCCATTTTAAAAAATTAGTCAATTTATCAAATGTGTATTTAAGTTTCCCAAGCACTAGGCACCATACTGGGCCAGAGTTCCTGCTCTCAAGGAACACTAATTTGAAGAGACAGACAGGGACACAATAGGGACCACAGTACAGGACCCCATTATCCATGGGGGATACATTCCAAGACCCCCGGTGAATGCCTGAAACCAAAGATTGTACTGAACTCAATATGTGCTATGTTTCTTCCCGGTACATACATACATGTGCCATTTTGTGGCATTCATGATGAGCTCAGGTCTGTTGTTTTGTAGACTGACCCTTAATTTTGATTTGTCTGGTTGGTTTCCTCATGATTCTATTCGGGTTAAACCTTTTGGAAACTCTAGTGCACGCACCACTGATTTGTAGCAGAGTCACATAATGTAAGTTTGTTCAGTTATTATTACTGGTGATGCTAAGTTTGACCACTTGCTCAAGGTGGTCTATAGCAGGCTTCTCCATTGTAAACGTGCCTTTTCCCTTTTGTAATTAATAAGTAATTCGTGGGGCGATACATTAAAATGTGATGTCCATAGTGCCTCACAACTTTTCAGCCAATGCTTTGCATCCATTAGTGATTCTTTTTTTTTGTTTTTTGAGATGGAGTCTCACTCTGTTGCCCAGGCTGGAGTCCAGTGGCACAGTCTCGGCTCACTGCAACCTCTGCTTCTCAGATTCAAGCAATTCTTGTGCCTCAGCCTCCTGAGTAGCTGGGATTACAGGCATGCACCACCACTCCTGGCTAAGTTTTGCATTTTTAGTAGAGATGGGGTTTTGCCAGGCTCGTCTCGAACACTGACCTCGGGTGATCCATCCGCCTTAGGCTCCCAAAGTGCTGGGATGGTGTGAGCTACCAGCCTGGCCTCCACTGGTGATTCTTGACTGGCTGTACAGTGTTTTAAAAATTAGGAAATTTGGGCATGGCAGCTCACGCCTATAATCCCAACACTTTGGGATGTGGAGGCAGAGGCAGCTGGATCACCTGAGGTCAGGAGTTTGAGACCAGCCTGGCCAACATGTTGAAACCCTGCCTCGAGCTTGCAGTGAGCCGAGATCGTGCCACTGCACTCCAGCCTGGGCGACAGAGCAAGACTCTGTCTCAAAAAAAAAAAAAAAAAGAAACCCCGCCTCTACTAAAAAATAAAAAAAGAATAAATAAATAAAAATTAGCCAGGCATGGTGTTTCGCACCTGTAATTCCAGCTACTCAGGAGGCTGAGGCAGGAGAATCGCTTGAAAACAGGAGGCAGAGGTTGCAATGAGCTGAGATTGTGCCACTATGCTCCAGCCTGGGTGACAGAGTGAAGCTCCATCTCAAAAAAAAAAAAAAAAGAAATCACTCGCAAACATCTGGACTTTTAAATTCTTGTAAAAATTGAAAGATATGCAGGAGACAGTGGTTCACGCCTGCAACCCCAGCACTTTGGGAGGCCGAGGCGGGCAGATCATCTGAGGTCAGGAGTTCGAGACCAGCCTGACCAACATGGAGAAACCCTGTCTCTACTAAAAATACAAAATTAACCGGGCGTGGTGGCGCATGCCTGTAATCCCAGCTACTCAGGAAGGCTGAGGCAGGAGAATTGCTTGAACCCAGGAGGCGGAGGTTGCGGTGAGCCGAGATTGCGCCATTGCACTCCAGCCTGGGCAACAAGAGCAAAACTCGGTCTCAAAAAAAAAAAAAATTAAAAGATATGGCCAACACTGAGTCTGTGTTCCTGGGTTGCAGTAACTGGTAGGAAATGAGTAGTGATTGTCTCCTAAAAATGAGGCTAAGATTTTCAGTTGACCACGGTTGTCATCATTCCCCATTGTTTACACTGCCCTGCTTCACTCACTTATGAATTCTTTTTCTCCTCTGTGACCATTTGAGCTCACTATCCTTGTATTATGGTTTCTAATTAAGGAATTTGCATAGCTGATGATGATGAGGTATATGGAAGACAGGAGAAGGAGCTTAGTAGAAAATACTAAAATTTTTGGTTTTAGATGTTTGATAAGCATTGACAATTCTTGTCATTAAGTCAAAGAGAACTCTGAACTGGAGGTAAGATTTGGAATTCTAAGGTGCTAGTTGAATGCACGGATGTAATCATTTCTTCAATATATTACATTGTATTATTACAACAATAGTTTGCAATATAATCATTTACTTACTATTTCACTTACTGGCTTATCATTAATCTTTTATTTCCTGCACCTGATATAATAAAAATTCAATAAATTTTATTGAATGAATAAATAAATGAGTGATTCATATGAATAAAGACACTTATTGGTCAAGAGGCATTTGAGGAGGAAAACATTCATGAGTCAGATAACGTGAACCTCAAAGGATAGTGAAGTTAGGGGAAGGTCGATATGATCTTTAGACTGTAGAAAAAGTGATGTGGTAGAATGAGCTGCCTCTACTCCAGGTAGCCTGTGGTGGAAGAGAGACCATCAGAGGAAAAACATTTCAGTGAAGACAGGATGGTGATCAGAGGGATATATGAATGAGAGATTCGTGGGATAGGCCTTAGCAGTGAGGTTAGTAGGCAAGAAATAGTTTCATTCAGTCAGGATTTTGTGACTCAGTAATAGGGAAAAGCAGAATGGTGGGGTTGATCAGCTTTTGTTCGGGCTGGTATAGGCTGACATTCTAGGTAGTGGCAGAAACCTGATAAGGTAGAAGTTGATAGGGTTTGTTCCAGGTTTCACATACAATGCTAGCAGAAGATTATTCTGTAGGGACTTCCCTAAAGTGTTTAGGGTTGGGATTAACTTGATCCATGGATTCAAGCATTCCAAGGGAAATAACAACAGCCTGCAGTAATGTGAAGATCTACACTTAGGTTGTAATCTGAAACCACATTTAGGTGGTTAAAGTTGAGACAGTCTGCAGCAATTGGAGAGACAGACCCCAGAAAAAAAGGAGCCAGTTGGTCAGGTTACTACAGTGATTCTCCAATTTTTTTGTGCAGCAGAATCACTGAGGGAGTTTTTCAAATGTACAGGTTCCTGAGCACAATCTCAGAACATTCTGATTCACCAGGGCTGCCAAGTCCAAAAATCTGCCTAACAAGCAAGTCAGCTAATTACAAGGGCCACACTTAGAAAACAATGTTTTAAATTTTAGAAGATGCTCTCCCCTTGATGAAGAATTACTGCTTCTGAAGGGCTTCTGGTTTAAACAATCAGGAATGGCAACGTTTATCTCTCTTTAATAGCCAGTTTTCTCATGGTATTTGTACTTGAAAGCAGTAGCTTGCTAAAAATGAAATACAACTTTGTATACTTGGCTACATAGTTACATATCCATCAAAATATTATTATTATTATTATTTGAGACAGAGTCTTGCTCTGTTGCCCAGGCCAGAGTGTAATGGCGCAATCTCCACTCACTACTACCTCTGCCTCCAGGGTTCAAGCAATAATCTGGCCTCAGCCTTCCGAGTAGCTGGGATTACAGGCATGCGCCACCCCATACCTGGCTAATTTTTGTATTTTTAGTAGAGACGGAGTTTCACCAAGTTGGCCAGGCTGGTTTCAAGCTCCTGACCTCAAGTAATCCACCTGCCTTGGCATCCCAAAGTGCTGGGATTACAGGCATGAGTCACCATGCCTGTCCTCAAAATATTATATTATTCCCCAAATAACCTTAAGTTGTACCTTTTAGGGAAAATTATGTTGTTAAATTAATGACCAGCTAGGAAACATTCCATTGTTATCAAAAGGAAAAGATTCCTTTCAGGGTATGTGTGTTTGTGCGTTTCTACATTCTTCACATGTCTCTTTTTCATTATTTTGCTGTTTTTGAACAGCTAACTATTTGCTTGAAGGGATTATAATGTACAAGCTACATAAGGCTATTTAGCAACACATTGCCTGGGTCTATTTTTGAATTTGGCAAACTCCTGTAGGACATCAAATCAATAGATTCTTTCAGTTCATCTCAGCTGTCACTGAGTACCTGCCTCAAAAGTTTCAAGGCTATGAGTTGCTCTGGGACTGTGGGGATAAATAAGATGCAGAACCTGTCTTTAGAAAACCCAAATTCTAGAAGAGGAAATCAAGAGGTAAATAACAATGAACAATATGTAGTGCCAAAAAGTGCAACAAGAAAAGTGTGTATAAGGGGTATAGGTAGCTCGTGAATCAACCTCTTTTCACCTCGGGAAGTGGCATAAGTGGTATAGAGAGGATAAGAGCATGCCCTCTGATTTAGACAGCAGTAGGCTCAAATCTTTTTTTTTTTTTTTTGAGACAGAGTCTTGCTCTGTCGACCAGGCTGGAGTGCAGTGGTGCGATCTTGGCTCACTGCAACTTCCACTTCCTGGGTTCAAGCAATTCTCCTGCCTCAGGCTCCCCAGTAGCTGGGATTACAGGCATGCTCCACCAAGCCCGGATAATTTTTGTACTTTTAGTAGAGATGGGGTTTCACCATGTGAGCCAGGCTGGTCTCAAACTCCTGACCTCTTGATCCGCCTGCCTCTGTCTCCCAAAGTGCTGGGATTACAAGCGTGAGCCACTGTGCCTGGCCAAGCTCAAATCTTTAAAACTACCTCTTACTGGCTGTACAGTTGACCTCTTCAAGCTTCAGTTTCTTATTCTGTAAAGTGGGAATAACCCTCATGCAGCTATTATAAGGTGTAATGAAATAACACTTAAACAGCACGTAGCATGCTGGTGCTTGGCATTGAGGACTAAGCTCTGATTTTTTTTTTATTTTGCCCAAATTCCTATCTAAGGGGTCTGAAGAGTCATGCCCTACACACCATAAATTTTAATCAGATGGATTTTATTTAACCCTATATATCGTGACTTACCTTCCAATCTGACTCTGGCATAACATTATGTGACAAAGAAGAAAGTCAAAATATTTTACCCTGAAACATGCTACTTTGTCATATATTGAAATGGCTCTGCAAAGCTGTCCTTTGTGGGGGAAAATTTGCACCTGTAAATATCTCTGTTAACATAGCTAGATCTTTTTCTTTCAGGCCATCCCAATCCTAAAGAGATTAACTAAAAGTCTAGCACCTTTTAAAGATCTGAATAGGAAACATCTAATGTCTCTAAAGGCAGCCACTATAAAACTTCAAAAGAACCTCGGTCTCCACAATCTTTTACGTTAACCTTTCCTTTCTATCAATCCCAAGTCTTTAGACAAACATTTCCTTTCTATCGATCCCAAGTCTTTAGACAAACTCAATCAATTGTCAGCCAGAAAATCAGAAAATGTTTAAATTTACCTGTAAGCCTAGAAGCATTCTTATCCCGTGAGTTGTCCCTCCTGCCTTTCTGGACCAAACCAATGTATTTTCTTAAATGTATTTGATTGATGTCTCATGCCTCTCTAAAATGTATAAAACCAAGCTGCGCCCCGACCACCTTGGGCACATGTTCTCAGGACTTCCTGAGGACTGTGTCACAGGCCATGGTCACTCATATTTGGCTCAGAATAAATCTCTTCAAATATTTTACAGAGTTTGACTCTTTTGTTGACAGCATTCAGTAAGGAGATGATACCTTCATCGAAGACATCCTCCTATTAGCATTCTAGAGCAGAGGTAGGGGCATGGGGCACTGGGGCTTGATACTTTTAAGATCTCGTTTTACTTTTAGAGCATTATATAACTTATGGTGTCTTAGCACAAATAAATAATTTCCTTTTGCATTTATTTATTTAGAGACAGAATCTCACTCTGTCACTCAGGCTGGAGACAGCAATGGCACGATCATGGCTTAATGCAGCCTTGACTTCCTGGGTTCCAGTGATCCTCCCACCTCAGTTTCTTGGCTAATTTTTGTATTTTTGGTAGAGACAGGGTTTTGCCATTTTGCCCAGGCTGGTCTCGAACTCCTGAGCTCAAGGAATCCACCCACCTAGGTCTCCCAAAGTGTTGAAATTACAGGCGTAAACCACCATACTGTCCTTTTTTTGTCTTTTAAATGACCTTTCATCTTTGTACATTTTGAGGGCTTTTCTTTTGTTAACTAAGCTATTTAATGAGAAAATTTATAATTTATATAAGAGAGTTTACATTTTTTTGGATGCAAGAAGCATTTTTTTACCTGCTAGGAACAGAGTCTCTTGACTTTTTCCTTGTTCTGGGGTAAGGACATTAACCAGCAGTGTTTATTTAAAATACCGAGTGAATTTCCTTGAACTTCTCATTTTGAATAGACACAGGAGACATAACACAAATGGGTTGTTGACCCTGGCTGTTGACATCTTTAAAATACAGGTTCTGAGTAGAAAAAGTATGTAGTTCCTTTTTATGACTGCCACATGGGCATTCTGTTTTAGAGTTACTCCTCACTGTAATGTTCCATATCATCATCATTTTCTCAGATTTTCACCTGAAGATTGATCTGTGGATCTAAAGGTCATGTTGCTTTTTAGGTAGCCTCATTATAAATATAATATTTGTAAGTTCTGAGCATAACAGAGGCCAGGAAAAATTGTAGCATTGACAATTGAAGTTCTGTTTTTGCAAACAATGTAACCTCAAATCATAGATATGAGATACTTGGTTAGCTCAAAATGACCAAGTCACTCCCTGGTTGGACATTCTGTGCTTCACAAAATGTAATCTCTCTTTCAGAATTTTAGAAATAATGCAGCATTTTAGAAGGATGATTTTACCTTCTTTAGTGCCAGATATTAGTCTGGACTGAGCAATGGGTAGGTAGGCTAGAGCCATAAAAAGTAAATCATGATCGATGAATGACATATGTATGTATGTGAGAGTCTGGAAAGTATAAAGCTATCATAAATATTATAAGAGAAAAGCTAAACCCTAGGAATTGTTTGTTATTATTTTCTGTGTCTCACTAATTAGATTGGCTGTTTTTCTGAGTTAATGTAATGTGAGTCTTATCTCATTGATGTATTAAGAATCTTTTATGTGCCTAGAAACAGGTTAGGTAATTTGAGAATTTAATAACTATAATAACAAGCATTCAATGAGTCAATAAAGCTGCCTTAAATTATTTCAAAACATGAGGGGGTGGAAATAAATAGAAAATAAAACAAATAAGGATCCTTATCCACTGTGACCTATAATGTTCTTCAAAAGATTTGGGCCAGGTGCGGTGGCTCATGCCTGTAATCCCAGCACTTTGGGAGGCCAAGGAAGGTGAATCACAAGGTTCGAGACCAGCCTGGCCAACATGGTGAAAACCTGTCTCTACTAAAAATACAAAAAATTAGCTGGGCGTGGTGACGGGCGCCTGTAATCCCAGCTACTTGGGAGGCTGAGGCAGGAGAATAACTTGAACTCAGGAGGTGGAGGTTGCAGTGAGCTGAGATCACACCACTGCACTCCAGCCTGGGTGGCAGAGCAAGACTCCATCTCAAAAAAAATAAATAAATAAAAAGATTGGTCTTCAAGGATCTCTAAGTTGAGTTACTAACAGTTAACTAAAACCAACATTCACCCATCTATTTCTTTAAAGTGGATTTTAAGTTTATCATCAAAATATTAATAAAGTATTTTGATATTGATATTAAATGATTAAATGTTTGATAAACAGTAGATATGATATATCAACTATTTGACATTGATATATCTAATGTTTAATTTGTTTAATTATGTTAAACTAATGTTTCTTTCTCAAATGGAGGCTAGAAAGGAAAAAATAATTTTAAGCTGTACAAGGGAAGGATTTTAAGTTAGAATTTAGGCATACCATTTAAATGATAGCTCATCTTTTGATTTGTTTGTTGAACAAATTTTTTTTTCTTTTTCTTTTTGAGAAAGAGTCTTGCTCTGTCGCCTAGGCTGGAGTGTAATGGCACAATCTCAGCTCACTGCAACCTTGGTCTCCCGGGGTCAAGCGATTCTTCTGCCTCAGCCTCCCAAGTAGCTGGGATTACAGGCGTGTGCCACCATGCCTAGCTAATTTTTGTACTTTTAGTAGAGACAGGGTTTTGCCATGTTGCTCAGGCTGGTCTCAAACTCCTGACCTCAAGTGATCTGTCTGCCTCAGCCTCCCAAAGTGCTAGGATTGGAGCCACCACACCCAGCCTGAACAAATATTTAATAAGAACTTAACCTGACACCCTGAAACGTACTGGTGCATAAGGTGTTGAGCAAAATAGACAAAGACACTACTCTCATCAGCTTAGTTGAGGAGAAAAAGAATAAAGTAGACATATTGTTGAACAAGATTATTTCAGATTTTTTCTTTTTTTTTTGAGATGGAGTCTTGCTCTGTCACCCAGGCTGGAGTGCAGTGGTGCAATCTCAGCTCACTGCAACCTCCGCCGCCTGGGTTCCAGCTATTCTCCTGCTTCAGCTTCCGGGTAGCTGGGACTACGGGCGCCTGCCACCATGTCCAGCTAATTTTGTATTTTCAATAGAGACAAGGTGTCACCATGTTGGCCAGGCTGGTCTCCATCTCCTGACCTCGTGATCCGCCCGCCTTGGACTCCCAAAGTGCTGGGATTACAGGCATGAGCCACCGTGCCTGGCCTATTTCAGATTTTTTTTTTTCTTTTTTTTTTTGAGACGGTGTTTCGCTCTTGTTGCCCAGGCTGGAGTGCAATGGCGCAATCTCGGCTCACCACAACCTCCGCCTCCCAGCTTCAAGAGATTCTCTTGCCTCAGCCTCCTAAGTAGCTGGGATTACAGGCCAGCCACCGTGCCCTGCTAATTTTGTATTTTTAGTAGAGATGGGGTTTCACCATGTTGGTCAGGCTGGTCTCGAACTCCTAACCTCAGGTGATCCACCCGCCTCAGCCTCCCAAAGTGCCAGGATTCCAGGCGTGAGCCACCACACCCGGCCTTTTTTTTTTGAGACAGAGTCTTGCTCTGTTGCCCAGGCTGCAGTGTAGTGGCGTGATCTCGGCTCACTGCAACCTCTGCCTCCTGGCTTCAAGCGATTCTCCTGTCTTAGCCTCCTGAGTAGCTGGGATTACAGTTGCACGCTGCCACACCCAGCTAATTTTTGTAGTTTTAGTAGAGACTGGGTTTCACCATGTTGGCCAGGCTGGTCTTGAACTCCTGACCTCAGGTGATCCGCCCGCCTTGGCCTCCCAAGGCACTGGGATTACAGGCGTTAGCTACCACGCCCAGCCTTATTTCAGATTCATAACACACTATGTGCATCTGAAGTAACATTAAGAACCTTTTGTCTTGGTTTATTGCTCTTTTTCCCTGGACTGCTTTCAATTTTATTTTATTGGCTACATGAACTTGCTCCTAAAACTGTAGGTAAGAGAAAAAAAAAACATAAAAATTAAAATGTCATTAATCTGGCTTTAAGAGCAAAAGGAAATGGATACTTGGCTGAAGATTAAGTAAGAAAACAGTGGAGAAATTTTCAACAGTTACAGATTTAGCCAGCAGTTATGCCTCGACTGGGACTGTAAACAATTTGTACTTTTAAGTTCTCCAAATTCTGTCATATTCATTAATCATATTTTACAATTAAAACATTGCCAAATTTATGCCCTTGGAAGTTTTTCTAAGCCTTTCCCCCTTTTTCCCTCCTCCCCTCATAATTATTTAAATTTTATTTTTGTACATTCTGAAGCTTCTATTTTATAATTCTATTCCCCTATGAATCCAGTTTGGCCCACCGTTCAACTTAGTAAAGCCATGTTTCACCAGATCACCTAACCTATTTCTTTTTCTTTTCTTTTTTTTTTTTTTTTTTTTTTGGTGAGACGGAGTCTCACTCTGTCGCCCAGGCTACAGTGTAATGGAATGGTCTTGGCTCACTGCAACCTCCGCCTCCTGGATTCAAGCGATTGTCCTGCCTCAGCCAACCAAGTAGCTGGGATTACAGGCACCTGCCACCACGCCTGGCTAATTTTTGTATTTTTGTAGAGACAGGATTTCACTGTGTTGGGCAGGCTAGTCTTGAACTCCTCACCTCAGGTGATCCGCCCACCTCTGCCTCCCAAAGTGTTGGGATTACAGTTGTGAGCCACCGCGCCTGGCCCACCTAACCCATTTCTTGACAACACATTGTTCATTATATTCTTACAGATACATGTATGGATAGAATTGTAGTTGGCATACAACAAAGGACCAAATATACCACAAAGGATCAGAAATTTAGTGGTTGTACTTTGTAGGCTGTTTCCACTTCAGCGCTTTACTTTTAACATCGTAATGAATGACTCATTTGGACACATGAAAGGTTGTTTTGAAAATCAGTAAGCCTTAGGAACACGGGAGTCAATGTAGAGTGCTTTATTTTGTCAATCATTTAACTATAAAACCCTTTTTTTTGGTATCCATTTCTTTTATATTTCTGAAGGTTTTTTTGTTTATTTTCATTATTATTTTCTGTCTGGTCCCCAAATAATGTAACTTTCTTGAAAGTGGGACATTTCTCTCTCTCTCTCTTTTTTTTTTTTTTTTGAGACAGTGTTTTTCTCTGTCGCCCAGGCTGAAGTGCAGTGGCACAATCATGGCTCACTGCAACCTCCACCTCCAGGGTTCAAGTGATCCTCCCACCTCATCCACCTGTGTAGCTGGGATTTTAGGTGTGTGCCACCACACCTGGCTAATTTTTGTATTTTTAGTAGAGATGGGGTTTTTCCACGTTGAACATGTTGGTCTCGTACTCCTGACCTCAAGTGATCCGCCTGGAAATTTCTCTTTTTAATTCAGTGCTGTCTCTGCAGAGCCTAGTCTGTCATAGTAATCACTCAACAAATATTTGTTTATAATTTGACTAACTTTACCTATCAGTTTATTGATAAAGCACACTTTTGGAGCTAAAAGAATGGCAAAGTTAAATACACTCAGTAATTTTCATCCTTAAGTTTAAATTAATTAATAAATTATTATTATTGCTGTTTTATGTTATAGAGATAGGGTCTTGCTCTGTCACCCAGAGTGGAGTGCGCTGTGATCATAGCTCACTGTAGCCTTAAACTCCTGAGCTCAAGTGATCCTCCTGCATCAGCCTGCCAAGTTGCTGGGACTTCAGACACAAGTCATCACATCCAGCTAATATGTTGAAATTTATGAGTATTTATTCTATCATAGATATTACGTGAACATGTCATGAATTTGTGAAGAAAACCACCCCATTTTTTTCCCTCATTCCTCTTCTTTGGATCCATTCTTCCTTTTACTCACAAATCCCCAGACCCTACATAGTTTTTAGAAGAACTGCAACTTCACTATCAGACAGAAAAGTTAAAATCATCCTTAGGTGAGCCACAGTATCTGAACAATCCCCTTAGAATCTTGCAACTTTTTTTTTCTTTTATTTACTTTCTTTTCTTTTCTTTTTTGTTTTTCTTTCTTTCTTTCTTTCTTTCTTTTTTTTTTTGTTTGTTTTTTGAGACAAGGTCTCACTTTGTTGCCTAGGAAGGAGTGAAGGGGCATGATCATGGCTCACTGCAGGCTGGAGCTCCTGGGCTGAAGGGATCCTCCCACCTCAGCCCCACTACAGTAGATGGGCTGCAGGAGAGCACCACCGCACCTGGCTAATTTTTAAATTTTTTGTAGATATGAGGTTTCACTATGTTGTCCAGATTGGTCTCAAACTCCTGGCCTTAAGCAATTCTTCCACCTCAGCTTCCCAAAATGTTGGGATTACAGGCGTGAGCCACCACGCCCAGCTCTCTTTTTCATCTACTTCACGGAATAATGATTTTGTTTCAGGTCCAAATAGTTCATGGCATCCCCTGGACTGATTATAATTCGGGGTTAAAAAGCACTCAGGGAAAAAAAAAATGGAGAAAAATGTAATTCCTGATAGTTTTGAGAGAAATTGGATTACTGAATGCAATATTTCTAACAAATAAATAAAACATGCAGTGGCAACTGACATTTAGCATTATTATTTAGTAGAAAAAATTAAAAAGAAAAATTTAAAAATATTTTCAATGTCATAGAATTTAGGATTGATTAGAGAAAATCATGTAGATGTCTGTAAATTTATTAATTTTTATCATGTATGATAAAAAACATCATATGACAGAGAAAATGACCATTACTTGAGGTTTACTTTAACTACTTAGAAAAAAATTTTAACGCCGAGTTTTCTTGAGGTAGTTGATTATTGGGTACATTTTTTTTCTTTTTCTTTTTATAGAGATTGAGTCTCGTTCTGTTGCCCAGGCTGGAGTGCAGTTGTGTAATCTTGGCTTAGTGGAACCTCTGCCTCCCGGGTTCAAGCAATTTCCCTGTCTCAGTCTCCCAAGTAGGTGGGACTACAGGTGCATACCACCATGCCTGGCTAATTTTTGTGTTTTTAGTAGAGATGGGGTTTCACCATATTGGCCAGGCTGGTCTTGAATTCCTGATCTCAGGTGTTCCGCCTGCCTCGGCCTCCCAAAGCGTTGGGATTACAGCCATGAGTCATCATGCCTAGCCATGAGTACATAATTAAATTAAACATTCTATGTGTTGATGAATGTTTTATAATAAATCTCATTTGTTTAGAGAATCTAAAGCTATTCCAAATTGTGAGTACTCTAAAAACAGTCATACTATGAACAGACAAAAGAAGAAATAAAAAGGTAAGATGCCCAAATTCATAAGATAAGAAGTAGATAAAATTATAAGATAGAAGTAGATAAAATTACACAGAGATACAATTTTTTACCTATCAGACTTACAAAGATCAACTAAATTGAGGACATAGTTGGCTAGGCTGTTTGATATATCAGTTGCCAAAATCTATAAAAACTGCAAATATACATATCCCTTGTCCTAATAATTCAACTTCTAGTTTATCCTACAGATATACTTGGACATTTGTCTGGAAAATAATAACATTTACATGGAAACATTTCCTATGATTCAACATAGTAGTAGAAGATTGGAAACAGAAGTCTAAATGTTCAAAACAGAGAATTGATTAAATACATTATGATATTTCCCTATAATGAAATGCAATGCAGCCATAAAAAAGAATGAGGAAGATCACTATAAACTGATATAAAAAGTTCTTTCTGCTATATTAAGTGTGTGTGGTGGGGGGGCATGGGAAGGACAGAATAGTTTATATAAGATGCTACCATTTGTTCAAAGAGGAAGAAGAAAATAATGTGTGAATGGATTTGCATAAAAGACCTAGGGAAGGATAGACAAGAATGTGACAGCTCTGATTGTTGTTGGTTGGAGGAGAGGGTTTGTGGGAGGGTAGAGAACTGGGTGGACAGAATATAAGTGTGGGGCTGGGTGCGGTGGCTCATGCCTGTAATCCCAGCACTTTGGGAGGCCGAGGTGGGTGGATCACCTGAGGTCAGGAGTTTGAGACCAGCCTGGCCAACATGGTGAAACCCCATCTTTACTAAAAATACAAAATTAGCTGGATGTGGTGGCAGGCGCCTGTAGTCTCAGCTATGTGGGAGGCTGAGGCAGGAGAATTGCTTGAACCCGGGAGGAGGAGGTTGCAGTGAGCTGAGACCACGCCATTGCACTCCAGCCTGGGCAACAAAAGCAAAACTCCGTCACACACACACACAAAAAAGTGTAGGAAGAAGGCCTCACTTTTATCTTCTTGGCTTTGCTGATTTTCGAATCATGGGAATGCTTTAGCTTTAAAGATGTAAGCATATAGATCATTAAAATAAACTTTACAAGCCGTAAAGTACATCATTGGTGTATAATTACAATTTAACACACAAATTATCATTTAAAACACAGACCTGATGGCCTGGTGTAGTGGCTCACACTTGTAATCCCAACACTTTAGGAGGCCAAGGCCAGAGGATCACTTGAGCCTAGGAGTTCAAGACCAGACTGGGCAACACAGTGAGACTCCGTCTCCACAAAAGAAAATTAAACAATTTGTCAGGCACATTGGCATGCACCTGTATTCTCAGCTACTCAGGAGGCTGAGGCAGAAGGATCCTTTGAGTCCAGAAGTTTGAGGCTTCAGTGAGCTATGATAGTGATACTGCACTCCAGCCTGGGTGATAGAATGAGACCCTGTCTCATAAAATAAAATAAGAACACAAAAAAAAAACCCCACACAGACCTTAAAACTTAAATTTATAAAAAAGCCAGTCATATTTAGCAGTGGGGAAAAATTTTAGAGTAGGATATAGAACCACTAATACATTAATCTTGACTTTAACATTTCCTCAAACTCTCGAAAAGTATTTATCCTGTGTGTTTGATTTTAGAGCGTTTCACCTGATTCTCCTTTAGGAGTTGATAATGCAAAACAGTGAAATTTATGTAATTGTAAAGGTAGAAAACACTCCTTCATATTCCATATCATTTCTAGAATTTGATTCAGACCAAAATTATACCTAGCTCAAGTGGAAAATTTCTGATTCACAATTAGCAGCCTCCATCTTTATAAGCTAACAATGGCTCCTAAGTGTATTCAGTTTCACCCAGGAAACTGTCAGTTAAGAACATCCAAAATCTGTAGCCATATCTGGGTATGTGTAGCAGGAGATGAGGCCTTTTGCCTGCTTCTAATCATGAACCCACACTCATAGGAGACCAACTTTCTATGTCTGCACGATGCTGTATCCCACCCTAGGGTTGCATACATACTTGGGAAGGACACAGAGGAGTTATAGGGGAGTGAGTGTGGCAATGGGGGAACAAGTAGACAGTAGAAAATCATGGGTGGCACTTGGCTTTCCCCAAAGCCTAGAGGATCGGTCTGAATGAAAAATGTGTTCTTCCACTTATGCTGCATTTCTTCTATGTCAACTGCCTGTTTAAATCCCATCCCATGAATAAGCTGAAGAGTCATAGTTTATCTAATAGAGACAAAATCTGACGACAGGATATCACTCTAACTTGATGCTGGATTTGTTGACATTTGAGACAAAACTCTGGAACATTTATTTAAATAGAATTGTCACTATATTTTAATTTAGTTGATAAATTTATGGCTAGGGTGGAAATGCTTTCTGTGTGGTTGAAAACTTCAGGCAGTTTGCCAGGACATTTGCCTTTTAAACTTTGATGATGATGTTGTTTGGAAGAAAGACAGGCTCTGAGAGAACTAAGAGTGAAGGTTACACACACCAAGTGAGGTAGGGAGAGAACTAAGGCTCAGGATAGTTCGAAAACAATGAAATTTACTGTTTTAAAACAATGTGCTTTGAGAGAAAAATGATATTTGGTGAACTGGGTGACTCAGTTTATTGCTTCAACTTTCTACCTTATTCTGTATAGGTCTACTTTTATAACATACCCTTAGTTTTTACTAAGAAGTATGTAAGTGATATTTCATCTTCTATTGAATTAACATGTGCTTTTTAAATTTACATACTTTAGATTTTTTTAAGGCTGTTGGGACAAATCATTCCACCTCTCTGTGTCTTTTCTCTGTGAAAAAAATCTACCTCCAGAAACAACTAAGAGTATTTACTTACCAAATACAGAAATGATTCTTGAAAATGATTCACAGAGTGTGGTAGAGAGGGATGAGGAAGTGATGTCAGTGTTGCTTAAGAAGACATGCAAATATAATGATTTAGGTCATGTCTCAGCAGATAGCCTTGTGGAGTTCCGGTGCCAATTTCTAGTATTTGTTTTCCTTACCCTTCCTACTTTGTCTTGTCTAAAGAATCTGAGACATTTATTGATTCTACTTCTGGGAAGAAAATTGGAGTTCCCCCACAGGAAACTACAAAAGCTTACAAAGATAATTAGGAAAGAGCAGTTGGCTCCTAGAAAAGTTATCAATGAATCCTGTTTGCAAGTAAACTCTGCACTAGAATTAAGACATTTTCTAGGTTGTGTATATAGTGAGATATAGAATCATAGAGCTGGCAGAAGCATTTAAAATCTTGTTTAAAAATTTTATAGATGGGCCAGGTGTCCTGGCTAACACATGCCAGCACTTTGGGAGGCTGAAGCGGGCGGATCACTTGAGCTCAGGAGTTTGAGACCAGCCAGGGCAACATGGCAAAAATCAGTTTCTACAAAAAAATACAAAATTAGCTAGGCACAGTGGAGCGTGCCTGTAGTCCCAGCTATTTGGGAAGTTGAGGCCGGAAGATCTCTTGAGACTGGGAGGTGGAGGTTACAGTGAGCCATTATCTCACCACTGTACTCCAGCATGGGTGACAGAATGAGACCCTGTCTCAAAATAATAATAATAGTTTAAAAATTTTATGGATGAAGAAATAAAAATTTAAAGAGGCGAAATAATTATGCCATTGTAGAAGTTTAAAGTTTTAGCTTAAGACCTGTGTTTTGTGCCTATATACTCAATGGCTTGCAATTGTTCTGCAAGGTTTAATGATGTGGATTTAGAGCTATCTTTCAAGACCGAGAGCAAATTTCTAATAATCTCATAGGTAATCTCTAAATTCCCAATCCTTTTAACATTTCTTGATTCTCAGTGGATTTGCTGTTTTCCAGCGAAGTGTAGATCCAGAAAGCTGCCTTTATTTTATGCCTTCTCTGGCCTTAAAAATCAAGATCCCACCTTCTTCTCCCTCTCCTTTCCTATCATGCTGGCAAAGCTGACACTGCAGATGCTCCTGGGCTGTGGACACATGCTTCGAAAGCGGGTTTAGAAAGGGAATCAAATGTGTCACCATGCCAGGTAACCATTTATCCCTCCTACTTTCATCAGGTTACAACCTGGTATCTGAGTCATGGTGGGGCTGAAGGCTCTGCACCTAAGGCAGTGTTAGTTTAATAGAGCATATTGGGAAGTAGCTGTGGTGGGCACATTGAGAAGTGAAAGGCTGTGGGACATCTATGAAGGAATGGCCATAAGTAGTTAAATATCTTACATCTGACTTCCTTTGACCTTAAAAACCTATACCTGACTGGAGATTTCAATTACCTCCTGCCCTTCAAATCTTCAATAATGAGAAGCACTTAAAAAGTTTCCTTTATTCAACACCTCTTAATTGAGTAACACAGGCATAAATAGCATAGATGCAGTAGGGCCATAATATTCCATCAGGTGGCCTGCAACCCTGCTCCTCATAAGTGCAACAGCTCATCACTATCTCTGGGATTTGTTCATGTAATTCCTCCTCTGTTACTGATCTTTTTATTTTCAAACTTGGAAATGCATGTTTCAGTGTAAACAGCTTTTCACTCAAATCAGGAGATAAGAATATTTAAATATATATAGGAAAAATAAAAAATGTTATGGCAGTCTGCAGATTCGAGATGTTTGGATTTTCCGTTCCATGCTGTTCATGTTCTCAAGCCCCCTCCCCCAAATCTCCACATCCCATTTGCACTCCTATATAACAGAACTCAGGATAATCAAGTTAATCCTTTCTTTTTTCTTGACACCAGTGATATTCGGAGGGCTGTCTCACCCCAACATTTTTTGAACTAAATATATAGAAGTTGTCACATTTTGACCAATTGATCCTGAAACTCTAGCTTGGACCCAAGATTGGGATCTGAGTCAAGGGCAGCTGTGTGCTGGCCAGTAGGAAATGGTCTGGTGTGGAATTTCTTATTTTAATTGCTTTTTCTTTCTTTCTTTTTTTTTTTTTTTTTTGAGATGGAGTCTCGCTCTGTCGCCCAGGCTGGAGTGCAGTGGTACAATCTCGGCTCACTGCAACCTCCGCCTCCAGGGTTCAAGCTATTCTCCTGCCTCAGCCTCCCGAGTAGCTGGGATTACCGAGTAGCTGGGATTACAGGCGCGTGCCACCATGCCAGCTAATTTTGTATTTTTAGTAGAGACGGGGTTTCACCATGTTGGTCAGGCTGGTCTCTAACTCCTACCTCAGGTGATCCACCTACCTTGGCCTCCCAAAGTGCTGGTATTACAGTCGTGAGCCACCTTGCCCAGCCTTGTGTGGAATTTCTTACAGAAGCTGTGCTTACATCAGATAGTGAGGAAATGAGCAAAGGATATTTTCTCTCCTGGTGAATCTTTTCCAATCAGATTTGTTCTATTCTGGTAAGTCTGAATAGCAGATATACAAAAATCCTCACAGAGCTGAGTGGCACTGAAACAAAGACTGTCATCTGTAGCCGGCCATCAGTGGAACCGTAAGTGCAGTTGAGTTGCTCTAGAAAGTGATGCAGCAAGGAATTGAATCACAAGACCAGCTTTCTCTACATAGGGTACTGTGCTATCCCAGGACTCCAGGAGGCCGAGAAGTTTAAGATTTCCTGTGCTGCGTTTCTTGTTTATTCCTACAGCAAACACTCATGGCCTATGTCAACTTGAGAGTATCTTTTCTTCCTTAACAACCTGAAAAGACCCAATACACTATTAAATGTCTAACTGCTTAAAGTGCTGAATGCAGATATGCTCAGACTTTCCCCTGAGCTATGCCAGGACAAGGTATTTTTTAACTTCACGTGACAAGGGCTAATGATAGTGCTCTTTCTTGACTCATCTTTTGAACACTGCCAGAGCTGTAACCCAAGATTACAACCTTATTTTACCACAAGTTCAAGCACTGTGAATAAGAATTGCAGAGGCAAGGACAGAAAAAGCCACAGATATGGTTCTGGCTTGTGATGTCCTAGATTTCCCTTAAGTATATTAACTATTGCAAGATAAAGGTCAGCAGAATTGGAGAGATAAACCACAAAATTATTAGATTTCAACTCTTATCATGGCAAGATTTAAGCCATAGGAACAAATAAGAAGTAGATATCTATTACCTTTTTTTTTTCCTTTGAGTCAGAGTCTCATGCTGTTGCCCAGGCTGGAGTGCAATGGCGCAATCTCGGCTCACTGCAACCTCCACCTCCTGGGTTTAAGCAATTCTCTTTCCTCAGCTTCCTGAGTAGCTGGGATTACAGGCACACACCACCATGCCTGGCTAAATTTTGTGTATATATATATATACATATATATATACACACACACACACACAAATATATACATATAAAATATATGTATATTTTAAGTAGAGATGGGGTTTCACCATGTTGGCCAGGCTGGTCTCACACTCCTAACCTCAGGTGAGCCACCCACCTTGGCCTCCCAAAATGTTGGGATTACAGATGTGAGCCACTGTGTCCAGCCTCTATTATCATTTTGATAGTAGATTTTATTTTATTTATTTTCAAAAGCATAAAAGATCTCCTGAATGCTATCAGTCTTCACAATATTCAGTCTGTATATTCCTTATCACACAACTAATAAAATTTTATTAATTGCACATAATGCTTTTATTCTCTATAAATGATCTGAGGGAGGAAACTATGTCTTTATTGTTCCCTTCTGTATCTTCAATAGCTGGCACTTAATTTGTGGGGTCCAGTGCAAAGTTGAAATATGTCCCCAACTCAAAAATTATGAGAATTTTAAGACAACAACAGCAGAGCTTCAAAACAAATGCAGATCCCTTCTGAAGACAAGCCCTGTGCAACTGTACAGGTTTCATGCCTATGAAGTTGGTGTTGCTAGCACGTAATCGGCGTTCATTATTTATATGTTGACTTGAATGAGTTAGTGACTAAATATTCTGAATGAATATACTTTTTGTTCTGAAGACTAGAAGTGAAATACCTATAGGCAAGATTAGGTCTATAATACCAGATACTTTTTCAATAATCAATCTCAAACTTTCCTACTTTTAGTTCTGCTTTTTTCCCAATGGTCTAGAATGTTGAAACCTGGTCAGTCTTAAGGAAATTGATTAACTTGACTGCTATCTTTCATTTCATTCTTGTTCATGCACAATCTCAATAATTTTGGTAGCACTATCTTCCAATTACTTTGGATGCATGAAGTTTAAACTCAGAAAGATCCAAATTAACACACAAAGAAATATAAGTTGATGTATTTTAAAAATTATTATTATGCATATACTGCCTTAGTATCAATAATATTCAAATGACAGGATAGAAGAAAGTGCAGTTACTTGCAAAACTAGTGTACTTTGTATCTGGGAAGTCTCATATCGCTGATAAAGACCAGACTACTTTGGAAAGAATAATAGCTTGAAGCTAAAATTTACTCAGTACTTCACAAAACAGTGACAAATAAGTTTCTCCACTAACTCTCCTACAAAGTATTTTCCTTCAATTGAAGGTACACACTTGACTTTTTCCAGAAATGATCTTATTCTGGAGCTGTCAGAGGAAGCTTCTTATAAAATCTATATACCCACTTGTAGTAATATGCTAAATCAGTTCATGCAGGATGATGAGATTTTAAAAATAAGCTTCAATTCTGTTCCCTTATAGTTTTTAACAAATTAATCTAACAATAAATCATGATGGTTTGCCTAAAGTAAGTTGCAGAAGACTTCTTTTTCTCCAGAGTCCAGTTTCTTATTGCATGTTGGTCTCATGAGACTTTGGGTCTATTGCAAATGTTGTATCCATGTGAACTTTTTTTAATCCTTAAAGTTACTGAGTTTTATTTTTCTTCCTCAGTATTTCTTCAAAATGTATTGCAGGAGCGGAAACTACATGAATCATTCCAAATCTCTGCTTGCCTTCAATAGCATAATGGAAAGAGAACAATCTTTGAAGACAGGCAAACTTGTATTTGAATCTTTGTTTTGTCAGTTTCTTCCTGTGTTGCTTTGGAAAAGTTATATAATCTCGCTGAATCTCAGTTTTACCTTCTGAAAAATGAAGATGCTTCCCTTGCAATGTTTGTGGTAAAGATTCGTGATGATACAGGTGAATCGAATAACACATGATAAGCATTTAATACCTGGTAGATGTGATGATGATTATGATGATAAATTCTCTTTGTAGACCATTTTCCTTTCACAATTTTTTTTCCTTCATTTTCAGAGGAAGACATGCTCATCATAGAAGGCTAGTTTTATATATATATGTGTATATATATGTATATATATGTGCATATATATGTGTATATGTATATATGCACATATATATGTGTATATATGTATATATGTGCATATATATGTATATATGTATATATGTGCATATATATGTATATATGTATATATATAAATCTTAAGCAAAAAAAGTTATTCGCCATATTAAGATAACAATTTGAGAGATTTGTATTTTATGTTTTTTTGCATGAATCTTTTTTTCTTTACCCAGTTAAGATCATACTTAACAAATATATGTATTTTTTAAATTTAGAGACAGGGTCTTGCTATGTTCCCAGGCTGAAATGCAGTGGCTATTCACAGGTGTGATCATAGTGCACTGTAGCTTTGAACTCCTGGGCTCAAGCAATCTTTCTGCTTCAACCTTCCAACTAGTTGGGACTACAGGCTCATGCCACTGTGCCTGGCTATATCTTTTATTTTTTGCTTAACATTATATTATAAACATGTTCCCATATCATTAAAAATTCTGAATAAATACCAGTTCAACTGCTGCTGAATAGTCTGTTGAATGAATGTTTCATTTCAGTGACAAACACACAGGAAAGACCTAAATAATTATCTTTTTTTTTTTTTGGTGACACAGTCTCACTCTGTCGCCTGGCTATATATATTATATCTTTTGACAAGGGGATATAATCTTTTTTCTTTCTTTTTTTCTTTTTCTCTGTCACCCGGGCCAGAGTGCAGTAGCACAATCTCGGCTCACTGCAACCTCCGCCTCCTGGGTTCAAGCGATTCTCCTACCGCAGCCTCCTGAGTAGCTGGGATTACAAGCATGTGCCACCACACCCGGCCAATTTTTATATTTGTAGTAGAGATGTTCACCATGTTGGTCAGGCTGGTCTTGAACTCCTGACCTCATGATTCACCAGCCTCAGCCTCCCAAAGTGTTGGGATTACAGGCATGAGCCACCGTGCCCGGCCTAAATAATTATCTTTTAAATGTTGTGGTAGTTTGAAAGAATAGGGAGCTTTTGACCTTACACTATCAGATACGGCTTCCTAATTCCCGGGCACTTTTTCTTCAGTGACCTCACCTTCAAGCAGCCTCTTAGAACCAGTGAACAATAAAGTTGACTCTACCGACTATGCACACTCCCACACTAGAAAAAAACTACAGCCATTTAAACAAGGCCATGAGTGTTTCTGAAATGGCATGTAGTCATTGGCAAGTTGACAGAAATAAAGGTGAAGGAGGCTTATAAAGATATAATCTGAAACATTCAGCCGTTTGACTTTTTGGGGCACAAGACTTTTAGAATTCAAAAGAACAAACAACAGAGAGAGAAAAGAATGTGTCTGGAGGAGCTTTGTGGCTGCTCTAGGATGGTAGGTGGAGAGACAGCAGCTTCTATTTGTTCAAGTCCATACAGGCGGCTTTTGGTGACAGAAACATAGATAAGACATTGGATTAGACCAGAAGTATAAAATTACTAACCCTTCGATAGTTTGAAAATTGACAGCTGAATACAATGAAAAGTGTTACAATCATACATGTTGTTTGATACCAGAAATTAAGCCCTCATAGTTTAATATGTGTCAGTGAATAACAAGAATGAGAAGTTTGCTTGCTGCTTCCACTGCCTGTGCTAACTGCCCTTTAAGATAAACTTGTATTGGTAGCAAAATAACAGATATCATAAGAAAGAATAATTGTCAGATTTAAAATCTTATTTTTAAATTAATTATTTACAAACAATGTTAAATAGTCTTGCTGTCTCCTTTGTGATGTGGGACTTTTTACAGGCGGGTGACAAAAGTAAGGGAAAATTGAGGCATCAGTTGCTAAATCAGAAAGCTGATCTTACTAACAAGTCTGAAAAGACAAATAATAGCAATTGATTTTATATGTAAAAATGATTCTATTTGAATGTATCTCAATAGTGACTTTGTTTTGTTTGAGGCAGAGTTTTGCTCTGTAGCTCAGTCTGGAGTACACTGGCACGATCACAGCTACTGCAACCTCTGCCTCTCAGCCTCAAGCGATCCTCCTACCTCAGCCTCCTGAGTAGCTGGGACTACAGGTTCATACCACCATGCCCAGCTAATTTTTCGTATTTTTTTGTAGAGACAGGATTTCAACCTGTTGCCCCGGCTGGTCTTGAACTCCTGGACTCAAGCAATCGACCTGTCTTGGACTCTCAGAGTGCTGGGATTATAGGCCTGAGCCACTGCTCCCAGCAGGTAGTGGTTCTAATTTCATTGTAGCTTCATGTTTTCCAGGAAGGATAGTGTACCTCAGCAGCTAACTCTAGAGAGTAGGTAAAATTTTCCTGAAGAGATTTGGAAAGCTTTGAATCACATAAATTAATCAGAGCTTCAGTACTGATGCAAGCATTGATTGATACATTGGTGACCTGCTATGTAGATTTTTATGGTAAGTGACTTCAATGACATCAACAATCTATTACTAACTTTAACTTGAGGCAGAATTTAAAATATGAAAACTATATCTGGGTTGGAAAGGAATTAATAGATAATTTAGTGATAATCTAATAGATAACTTATTGATGTAACTGGTAGTAAAGCTCTGGACTAGGAACTATGACTATGTGACCAAAAGAAAAATAGTGTGATCAATAGAGAGAACCAACTTGGATAATTCAAGTTACTGAATAATTTTTTTTCCAAAGCCAAAATTTGGGTCAAAAATACTGTGACTGCTATAACCCTGTGTTTGAATGGAAACAAAATCTGATCTGGCAAAGCAGTAGCTTTTATTCACATCCAGCCTTAAATCAAATAATGGAATCAAATCACCATTAAATCAAAGAACTATAAAACGTAGGACATTGTTGATCATCTAACCCAACGCTCTATTTTTATAGTTGACAAAATTGAGAACTTTTTTTTTTTAATTTTTATTACTTTTTTTGAGACAGTCTCGCTCTGTCACCCAGGCTGGAGTGCAGCGGCAAATCTCAGCTCACTGCAAGCTCTGCCTCCTGGGTTCAAGCAATTCTCCTGCTTCAGCCTTCAGAGTAGCTGGGACTATAGGCATGTGCTACCACGCCGGACTAATTTTTTGTATTTTAGTAGAGACGGGGCTTCATCGTGCTAGCCAGGCTGGTCTCAAACTCCTGACCTCATGATCCACCGGCCTTGGCTTCCCAAAGTGCTGGGATTACAGGCGTGGGCCACTGCGCCTGGCCAAGAACTATCTTATACTTTGAAAATTACCTCTGATTTGATTTGGCTGTGTCCCTACCCAAATCTCATCTTGAATTGTAGTTCCCATAATCCACACATGCTGTGGGAGAGACCCGGTGGGAGGTAATTGAATCACGGGGGGTGATGGTTTTATAAGGGGCTTTTCTCCCTTTGCTCGGCTCTCATTCTCTCTCCTGCCACCCTGTGAAGAGGGGACTCCACCATGTTTGTTAATTTTCCTGAGGCCTCCCCAGCCATGCGAAACTGTGAGTCAATTAAACCTGTTTTCTTGATAAATTACCCAGTCTCAGGTATTTCTTCATTAGAAGCGTGAGAACGGACGAATACAACCTCCTTACGCTATTGTGTCACATATTATTTAACTTTAACTTTTAAAGAACTTATTTTACAGTTTTACATTGCTATATACTCTACTATACTTTTCTACACTCTCTTTGGCATTCTCTTTTATTATATTCTAGAGGACTTTGAAACTTGATAAAGATGATGGGCAACAGTGTAATTAAATGAGCAATGTGGGAAACCTCTAAGGGCTAAACCATGCAAAGGAACTATAGTGATTTATCGCTCCATAGAGTTTGTTCTCATAGATTCACTGAGTGTCTTACCATGAAGTAGCCGAAAATCACTACCAGGAAAAGTCAGGATATAATCTGTGGTTAACCTTTTATAAAGATAATGATAGATAAAACAGTGTAGTCTTGAATTTTTTGCTAGTTAATAGTTATAATTTGTAAACATAAACCGAGTAAACTTTGACTTTATTGTTGTAGGCAAAAAAAGGTTTACATATTGTATTTTGGAGCGTTCTTTGTATGTTTTCCCAATTTGTGTTAAAGAGTGGTTTTCCAGCTGGGCGTGGTGGCTCATGCCTGTAATCCCAGCACTTTGGGAGGCCGAGGTGGGTGGATCACTTGAGGTTAGGAGTTCGAGACCAGCCTGACCAATATGGTGAAACCCTGTCTCTACTAACAATACAAAAATTACCCAGGAGTGGTGGCATGCGCCTGTAGTCCCCAGCTACTCAGAAGGCTGAGGCAGGAGAATCGCTTGAACCGGGGAGGCAGAGGTTGCAGTGAGCCAAGATCGTGCCACTGCACTCCAGTCTGGGCGACAGAACAAGACTCCGTCACACACACACACACACACACACACACACACACACACACACACAAAAGTGGTTTTCCAAGAGAGAACTGGAGATCATTTTAAATGGATGAAAAAAATTATTTGTTTTTCTGCATCCAAGAAGTGTTTGCTGCCTGTTGAGTAGAAGTGAACTTATTTTCTACAGTTGTTGAACTTTTCTCTGCTTTATGGAATTGTGAGGAAATGCCCATAGAGGCCGATTGCTGGGCAGGGCACAGGCTTTCCAAATAAAATTCAGTTGAAGTTTCTTAAAGATATAAATGGTCTACCTGGAACTAGAATCAGTTGCCAACTGACTTGCCCTGATGACATTTTCAATTCTAATTTGTTCTTTCGTTCCACATGAAAAACATTGGCAGGGCATTCTTAATCACAGGAAGTGATAAAGGATATCCATTTTAAAAAATAAAACCAATTTCCATCTCATGTGAGTCGCTCACCAACATTCAAATCTTGCTTCAGTTTTCCCATAATGATTGATAAAAGGGCAGCCATCCTTACACAGACCTGAGGTGTCGATCAACAGTATGGCTCCCCTCCACAGCCATGATCAGAGACAGAGGAGCCCTGGAGGGTAGTGCAGGGGGCTAGGAGAGCACAGTAAGGGAGTGAGGGACACTCCAGGCTGCTGCCTGAACTTTGGGGAGTGATAGTAGGACCCAGGAGTTTCTCTGTGAAATTCCCTGATTTCCACAGAAATTCTTTTTTGTCTTCTTTGATTTTGATCCTCTCCCTGTTCTAGATCAGTTAATAGTAATCTTTTTTTTTTTTTTTTTTTGAGACGGAGTCTCCCTCTGTCACCCAGGCTGGAGTGCAGTGGCGCTATCTCGGTTCACTGCAGCCTCCACCTCCCGGGTTCAAGTGATTCTCGTGCCTCAGCCTCCTGAGTAGCTTAGACTATAGGCATGTGCCACCATGCCCGGCTAGTTTTTGTATTTTTAATAGAGAAGGGGGTTTCACCATGTTGGCCAGGCTCGTCTCAAACTCCTGACCTCAAATGATCTACCCATCTCGGCCTCCAAAAGTGCTGGGATTACAGGTGTGAGCCACCATGCCTGGTCAGTTAATACTAAACTAATTGAAGCACCTGAGGGAGAGCAGATAGAGTATGGAGGAGGGATGTAATGAGATCTGGGTTAAAATCTGTTCATATCATTCATTGGATAAGGTATTTTGCTTTTCTAATCATCAGTTTCCTTTTCTTAATGTAAGGGTTTTTTTGTTTGTTTGTTTGTTTGTTTTTAATTGTCCTGTGTTGGGGTAAAGAGAAAGGATCTGCTTGGTACCTGGCACCTACTACGTGATCAATAAACCATTTATTCAGAGTTAACAATTACTTAAAATTGCTCAATAACAATTGACAGCTGTAAAACATAAGGAAGAAAAGTGGTGAAATTGTTTTAAAGGTTTGCTTTAAAAGGTCTGACCTTTCTGAGAAGGGAGGTATTAAGGAACAAAACACGTCTCAGTTATTTGGGAGGAGGCTGGGAAACAGGAGGTGTGCATGATTGTGGGAGAAGTTGTGGAAAAACTGGGAAAGGTTTTCCGCAAGAGTCTATTAATGAATTATTTTATTGCTACCGTACAGTACAACTCTGTGATAGGCACTTAGTTTTAATATTTTTACAAGTTTGTTTTTAAGCTATCATTGTATAGAGGAAATACATATGTAAATTAACAAGTAATGTAGGAAAGTACTTTGTGGGCTTATGTATCTAAGAATAACCACACCCATACTCTAGACTTGGTAAGGATGAAGGCTGTTCCATTGTTCTTTTCCTGGTGATTTCCTTAACTGTGCAGTTTGGAGAAAAAAAAGACATGAGCTACTAAAACTTCCTGTTCATTTCTCACCATGTGATTCAATTTGTTTTGTCTAGTCAAGATTTTAATGACTTAAGAGGTTTTATCACTTTCCTTGGGAAAAAAATTCAACAGGATAGCCTGAAAGCTTACAATATAGAGGAATTATATTTATCTTTGGTGGTATCACAGATAAAAGCATCTATTGTTCTTAACTTTGCATACTTACTTTGATAAAAAAAGATTATTTGTGGCTTAGGCAACACATGAAATGACTACTTCAGTGACACACTGAGTAGAACTGTAGCAGGATCTCTAGGGAAAGTATTGTAGACAGCAAGTGTGGTTTTAGGCATCTTCTGCTACATACGCATAAATATAGGGTGACTGTGGGAAATGGGCAAGTCTGTAGAATGGAGTCTCTGAACCTCTCACTACATTTTTTTTTGTTTTGTTTTGTTTTTGAGGCAGAGTCTCACTGTGATGTCCAGGCTGGAGTGCAGTGGCATGACCTTGGCTCACTGCAATCTCCATCTCCTGGGTTCAAGCAATTCTCCTGCCTCAGCCTTCCGAGTAGCTGGGATTACAGGTCTCCACTACCATGCCTGGCTAATTTTTGTATTATTATTATTTTTTTTTCAGTAGAGACAGGTTTTTGCTATGTTGGCCAGGCTGGTCCGGAACTCCTGACCTCAGGTGATTCATCCCCCTCGGCCTCCCAAAGTGCTGGGATTGCAGGAGTGAGCCACCGCTTGGCCTATCTCACTACATCTTGATTCATGAGCATGCATGCAGGGTTGGCTGTGTTCTGACTCCTTTAGGTAAGGAGACTTTAGAAGTCAAGCAATAACTGAAATCCCTAAAAACTCAAACACAAACAAAAGCTGATTAATTCGAATACTCGTTTTCCAAACAGTGATGGGCACTTAGATGTTTTTTGAGGTTTAAGTACTTTGCTATAATAATGACTCTTGGCTGGGCACTGTGGCTCACACCTTAATCTCAGCACTTTCAGAGGCCAAGGCGGGAGGATCGCTTGAGCTCAGGATTTTGAGACAAGCCTGGGCAATATGGTGAAACCCCCTCTCTACACAAAATAATAAAATTATCTGGGCCTGGCTGCACGTGCCTGTGGTACCAGCTACTCAAGAGGCTGAGGCAGGAGAATCACTTGAACCCAGGAGGTGGAAGTTGCAGTGGGCCAAGATCGTGTCACTGCTCTCCAGCCTGGGTGACGGATTGAGACTGTCTCAAAAAAAAAAAAAAAAGGTGAAGAGAATTGGATAATTGATTTATTCTTACGATATCCTGAGTAGCTAAAAGCACTTGTATATGTAATCTCATTTCCCTTCAAAATCTATTTGGATGGGAGAAAGCAGATATGTATTCATATAATTTCTTTCATGTTTACAAATACAAATGAAGAAAATGCTTTTGAATCTTAAGTTGAAAACTGAGTGGCCATAAACTCAAGGTAAGAATCCAGGACTCTCAATCAGCTCCCTCTCTCAATCAGCTTTCACAATTTCTTTTCCTAATTTTAAAATCCTGGCAGCCAGAATTAATCACCAAATTTAGGAAAATTTCTTTACACAAGGTTCTTTCCCTTTGGTTTGTATTTTAAAAATATAATGACGCTACCTGCTTCCCGGTAATATCTATCAGAACAGGTCCTAACTGGGCCAAGGCCATTGTACTTCTCTTTAAGAGCACAATAATGGCACTGGTGGAGTTTTGAATTTAATATGTAAGCTCTATCAAGTCCTTTAAAAAAACATTATAAATGTGTGAGCTAGAAATATTTTACTAGATTATAAATGCACAATGGGTCACTTGAGAAAGGCACCATTGAGCTCAAAGATTGGTTTTGGTTCTTACATAGCCCCATAATTACTTTATTTTTATTTTTTTCGAGATGAGGTTTCACTCTTTTTGCCTAGGCTGGAGTGCAATGGCATGACCTTGGCTCATTGCAACCTCCGCCTCCCGGGTTCAAGTGATTCTCCTGCCTCGGCCTTCCGAGTAGCTGGGACTACAGGCATGAGCCACCACGCGTGGCTAATTTTTATATTTTTAGTAGAGATGGGGTTTCACCATGTTGGCCAGGCTGGTCTTGAACTCCTGACCTCAGGTGATCCGCTCACCTCAGCCTCCCAAAGTGCTAGGATTACAGGCATGAGCCATCGTGGCCAGCCTATAACTACTAATTATAAAACTTTGGACGAATCACTTAGTCTTTCTTTTAGTCAGTCTCCTTATTTGTGAAATGGGGTAATAATAATGCCAGCATTATATAGATCACAGGATATTTTTATGAGGATATATATGATAATGTACTTGATAATATATGTTCATGTACCTGAAAATATACATTATCATATATATCATAAACATTTTTGAGTGATAAAATAAATATATTAGTCTTAGGCTGGGAGCAGTGGCTCACACCTATAATCCCAGCACTTTGAAAGGTTTTGCTTAAGCCCAGGAGTTTGAGTCCAGCTGGGGCAAACATGGCAAGACCCTGCCTCTACAAAAAATTTAAAAAAAGAGCTGGAAGTGGTGGCATGTGCCTGTAGTCCCAGCTCTTGCAGGCTGAAGTGGGAGGGAGCCCAGAAATTCAAGCTTTCAGTGAACAATGATAGTGTCACTGCACTCCAACCTGGGTGACAGAGGAAAAAAAAAAGTCTTGAAGTCTGTGAGGAAAAAAAAAATTGAATTTTAGTTTACTACATTTAATGAAATCTAAGATGCCATACATTGTAAGTCATACCATTATTTTAGTTACCTCTATAAAGGAAAAGAAAACATTGTCAGTTCGATTAGAACACAAAGCTGAGATGCACCCCGACTTCAGAGATGTTAACGTCTGAAAAAAAGTGCTTTATTATAATCGAAGGAATATGGTAAGGTATATTGTCAACATCATTCGAAATGTGTATGTATCATATTCAGACTTTACTGTTATAAAAATAGCATAGTTCTTAAGTATGCAATTTGACTGCGTATTAAATTTTAAAAGGATGTATTTGAGAGTAGATTACTGGCAGTCAATAGCCCAAGTTCTGGTATGGCAGACCTGAGTTAGAATTTACTTTTTTTCTTTTCTTTTTTTTTTTTAGACAGGATCTCGCTCTGTCACCCAGGCTGGCATGCAGTGGCGCTATCACGGTTCACTGCATCCCAACTTCCCGGGCTCAAGCAATCCTCCCATCTCAGCTTCCTGAGTAGCTGAGACTACAGGTGTGCGCCACCATGCCTGGAAAATCTTTCTGTTGTTTGTAGAGACAGGGTCTTGCTATGTTGCCCAGGCTGCTCTCAAACTCCTGGCCTCAAGCAATCCTCCCACTTCGGCCTCAAAAAATGCTGGGATTGTAGGTGTGAGCCACTGTGCCCAGCCAGAAATTATTTTTCTACCATTTAACCAGCTGCGTGATCCTTGCTAAGTAGGATCATCATCATTATTATTAATATTGTATATGATATGAGAAATAGGCAATCCCTATAGTGACTCATTACTCTTGGTTAGAGAAAATTAATCCTATCAGGTATGTTTGAAATATTTTCTATTGATCACAATAAGAACGAAGTGGAAGTTTAATTGATTCAAGGTGATCACATCTTTATTTCTGGAGAAACAGCTCAGAGGTCTCATGTTGCTGACAGTGGATTAGAATCAGACAGAATGTTCATACATACATATGACTAGAGTGTGCTAATAAATCATTTCCTCCAAATGGTGCTCCCGTCATCATGTGCATCAGCGAACAGTATAACAGTTCTCAGAAAACATTTGGAACAAATGTGTACTCTTTAAAAAATATGTTATATTTTATCCAAACCCAAAACTGTCATGTTTATTTCAATTTTATTCATGACATGTAAGAATATATTCTATTTTTGCTGGAAAAAATATTCAATTGAAGTCAACATATTTTGCCTATTGTGAGACAGAATGTGATATATAAATGACATATAAATCATTTATCAATAAGCCGAGGATTAAAGAAATCATTACTTCATCTTCTTTTTCTTTTTGGATTTATTAAAGAAAAAAAAAGGAGCAGCATTTTGACTATGCCAGCCTGCATATTATGTGGAGTAGGTAAATTACAAAAACTCCTGGGCCTTCAAGTTGGTCACCCATAAAATGTAGACAGCACTAATTTAACAAAAAGTTGTGAGAATAAAGAGAGATTATAAACATAACTGGTACATAATATATGCTCAAAAATGTAATTACTATCTTTTCCTATCCTCTTAGAGGGATGAGAAATAGGAAGCGTGAGTTAAACACTCTTTTCTGTGTGTTCAAAAATGTTTTCAAAATGAACTTTGAGAATAGTTGGGATAAGTATAATTGACCCTTTCTCCAGCAATCAACTTCAAGCCTAGGTTAAATACTAGACTCCTTTTATGCCAAAGCAGAGTTGGCTTTATCATTAGTTTACACAAATATGTACATGAATACAAAAGGGTTAACTTAAGGAAACTTCACTACTCAATATAACGGTATTGGCTGCCCCTTACTTGACATGCCGTACAAGGTTCAAATCAACTGGGTAATGGAGGGAATTTTTGCAATGTCCAGACACAATGCTCATTCGATACTCTCTGGGCCACTCTGGAGATTTTAAGAACTGCACATTTTTAGGTCTTTGATCCTCAGCCTCCAGTTCAGTTCTGGTCTTGTGTGGCTTTCTGTGAAATTAAGTCTCAGCGTCATTGTCCAGAGCAACCATGAAAGAATGTTTATGCAGTAGGTACTGTTTCCCTGAACAGCAGTGAGCTTCTGGCCTCTTGATACTTATGGGCTTCTTAGTGTGACACTTTTTAAATCAATTAGCCAGAGAGAAGAGTTGTTGTGCAAAAGGAATTGGCCTATGTTAAGCTGATAGAGCTACACTGCCAATGAGGGAGACTACTGGTGTATCAGCCTCCTTGCAGGGAGGGCTAAAGTTGATTTGGCATTGGCTAATCAGTAAATAAATGATGTTTGTGATTCAAGATCACATTGTAACTTTGAGAACGTCTATGACTAACAGCAACAACAAAACTCAAGTGATTTCGTGAGTTTCAATGGTTTCTTCTCAGCATTCAACTCAACTTTGTTGTTAATTGCACAGACCTCACCGCCTGAGTATGTCAAATTCACTTTTTCCTTTCCTTTTTGGATGGCAATGCATGGAATGCCCTTGTATAAACATAGCCAGGGCATGAGCACAATTCTATTTCATTTCCTCAACTCTTTGTTTTGCTATTCACTCTCATTCTCTTGTGTCTGCATTCCTTGACTACTGATGGATTCAGTCAGCGTCACCCAGGAAGGTGTGTAGAGGGATCCATGAAGCAAAGGCCAAGGAAGAAATTCAAGTTAAAATTAAAAGAGAAAAAGGCAGGCAAATTAATGTTCTCCAGAAAAACAAAATTAATAGGCTGTATATAGACAGAGAAAGAGAGGGCTTTCTTTTTAAAAATTGGCTTATGCCACTGTGTGTGCTGGCACATTCTAAAATCTGCAGGGCAGACTAGCCGACCGAAAACCCACAGAAGAGTTGATGTGGCAGTTGTGAGTCTAAAGACTGCCTGGAGGCAGAATTCCTTCTTTTCCAGGGGACCTCAGTTTTTTCTCTTAAGGTCTTTGACTAATTAGATGAAGCCCACACACATTACAGAGGGTAATCAGGTTTTCTTAAAGTCTACTGATTTAAATGTTAAGTATATCTAAAAAATACCTTCACAGCAACATCTAGTCTAGTGTTTGACTAAATGTCTGGGTATAATAGCCTAGCCAAATTGACAGATAAAATTATAAAACTACCAAGCAATCAAATAGCTTGCTTTCTATTTGATTCTCAGATTTTCAAATTTAATGTGCTTTTTTTTTTTTTTTTTTTTTGAGACAGGGTGTTTTTCTGTTACCCAGGCTGGAGTGCCATTGCACAGTCATGGCTCACTGCAGCCTATGTCTCCTGGGCTCAAGTGATCCTCCCGCCTCAGCCTCCTCAGTAGCTAGGGCTACAAGCATGGGCCACCATGCCCAGCTTAATTGATTTCTGATAATTGGATGGAATTATAAGACATGAAATCAGTTTTGCTGGATGATTGAAATAACAATCTGCCTAGTGGCAGATGACTAGAACAAACTTCTCAAAGTCTATCTTGTTTTTTCAATAAAAAACTTTTGAGTTTAAATACCAAAAGTAAAGTCAACTGAAGATAGCTATCAATGAGAAGGGATGAATTTGAACGTGTAAACAGTAAGATAAGCAAAGCAAGAAAAACTAGTAGCCACCAAACACAGGATGTGTCATATTCATATCTCTGACCCCATTAATTTAAACTGCTAAGCAAAACAAATACAACTGCTCATTTTCAAAACACTTTGTAAAAGAAAACAAAATTAACTATTATAATACTAGGGTGATTCTCATTTTGCTCCTGAAGAAACTGATGAGAAAGTTTAATGGCCTTTGTAAGGTAGCAGTTGAGCTTTGACAAAGTTGGGATTTAAAAAATAGCTCCCTGCCCTGTCTTCACCAGGATACCTCTCTCCCTGGATCCTTCAAACGGGTACAGATGAATCACCAAGAGGGCTGGTAATCTGGCTGCCACATGAAAACAAGTGAGCTTGAGATGTTCTCAGAGTCCGAGGTTGTTGGTTCAGTCTGAGTAATGCACAGTCCAGCTGAAATTCAGCTGCCTTTTGTCTGGATAAGGCAGAAGGAAATGAGTAAAACCCTGATGGGAACCAAAAGATGCTGAAAACATTTGCAGTGCCACCCAGAACAATTCAAAACAAAGTAATAAAAGGAAAGTTTATCTCTTTGGAGCACTGCTCAGGAATTACAAGCTTTCTGTGCTGAACTCTCCTTCCTGAGGAAAGCTTTCACTTCTGAAAAATATACCCACTTTTACGAAGACTACTTTCTGAGGCAACTTTCTGACTTGATGTATTTCAGCATTGGTTTTTCCTTTGTTTTGCTGCTAATTTGCTTCATGATAGTACGATGGCCTTGGGAGCTCCATACACATTTTAAGTTTAAGAAAAACTTTGTTTTAAAAAGCCATGGATTTTTCTCAAACAGACTAGACAGTTTGTAGCTGCTTAGCCCCAGAGACATTTTTGTGGCTGTGAAAATTTCTGCCACTGTGGACACATAAAGGCATGGGACCATGTGGTCTGAGCCAAGTGTAACCACTCTGCCTCACATCCTCCCTCAGCCCCTCAGTCCATATGTGGATACGAAGTGAATTACATTTCATTCAGAGACAGAGGGAAGATTTTCTCCAGAGTCTGAAAAAGTTGATCATTTAGCTTGGCTTCCTTTTGAATAAGGTATTTCCAAAGCAACATAGACCAGATCTCACATAAATGTCATTTACCCTGACTGCAGAGAGTACAATTATCCATTAAGTAAATCACTGACACTGTTAACATTTCCCGTGCTACAATATCTAACAATGATTTTTTATAAATTGCTGGTTGCAGGAAGAAAGATGGCAGAGGTTACTGTAGAAGGAGTAAGGAGTGTTCCCTTACAATCTGTAATATTTTTTCTAAATTAACAACCAGAAAGATGTCAGAAGCAAGCAGGTCCAAGCCAATATGGTTCTGCCACAGGCTTATGGAATATAATAGACTCACAGCATCATGATTTTCCCTCCTGAGGTTCATACCCAGGGTCACAGCACCTTCTCTCAAAGAGTGGTTAAGCTCGCCTTTCAGTTAGTACTCAGTGAAGTAGATAAAGGAAAGAGGGAAAATACATGCGAAACAACTGAGAAATATTCCTGCTTATAAAAAGAGTTGTTTCTCTTTTTCTTTGCTAGCCAACATTTTGCTGTGAGGCTGTGTTCCTGTCTTTCTGTTTAGAGACACTGACTAGAGTCAGAGGAGGGTCTCCCCTAGAGGAAGGCCTTGCTGAAGAAGCCTAATTTGCGCAAGGGTACAAACAGTGAATGCACTGGAGATCCTAGAACAAGCTGCTATTGCCTCTGTTGCAGGCCATGACCCTCTGTAGGATGCAAACCACACTGCATTTATATCCTATGTGTTGGTGAATAGTGAAGTTGTAAGAAAGAAAGGGAGTGAAATAGAAACCCGTAGGAATGGGAATTCGTGCTTCCACTGATATCAGTCTCACGAAATGTCAGCCGGTGCTAATTGAAGGATGCCAGAAAACACGCACCAACCAATATTTTCCATACGAATTCCAAATCAGAGATTTCAGTGTTTCTTGACAGCGTTTTAGCCTGTCATGGTCAGAAGCTGAAATACAAATAGCTGTGGGCTTCAAGAGAAAGCGCCTCTTGGGGGAATTTATATGACAATAAAAAATGAGGCCCTGCAAGAAGGAAACAAAAACGCAGCCAGAATGACAAAGAGGTGGTAGAAGAATATCTAAGGCAAACCTTTTCTTGACTCTTCTCAGGATTAGTTATGTCTAGATGTAGTAGAGGTGGCACGCTTTCAACAGTTCACAAGGGACTGAGCTACCCATTTTCTAGACCAGGTTTTTACTCACTTCAATGAAAGCCTGCACAATTTGTGTAAGAAATATTGCACCGCCTGGCATGGTGGCTCACGCCTGTAATCCCAGCACTTTGAAAGGCCGGGGCAGGCAGATCACCTGAGGTCAGGAGTTCAAGACCAGCCTGGCCATCATGGTGAAACCCCATCTCTACTAAAAATGCAAAAATTAGCCAGGAGTGGTGGCGGGCGCCTGTAATCTCAGCTACCTGAGAAGCTGAGGAAGGATAATTGCTTGAATCCGGGAGGTGGAGGTTATAGTAAGCTGAAATTGGGCCATTGCACTTCAGCCTGAGTGACAAGAGCAAAACTTTGCTTCAAAAAATAAAAGTTAAAACAACAACAACATTGCATTGAAAGAAAGTATAATTTTTCATATTTTCATTAATTCGGAAACATGGAGGCTAATATGTTAAGCCATATTTTATAGTCCAGAAATAGAGGAGTGCTAAAAATTTCAATGCACATTTCTGTCAAAATGATCCACATGAGAGATCTAAATACCAACCTGAGAGAACCAAGCTTAATAATACCGGCTGGTAGGAGGAAATGTGCTGGTCTGCTCTAAAACCAAGTACAAATATACACGTTTAATTCAACATCAGGCACTTGATCTTTTCCTGTTTTGGCCAAATTAAGTGGAAAGAAAAGATGGTCCAATAGAACATTAATTAATAGTTTTTATTTTCCTATTTTTTTAAATTTTGTTTTTTGAAAAGCTTCTATTGGCTTCCTTAGTAATTTTTACTTTGCAAAGTAGATGGAAAAAGATAATATAAAATGCAACATACTGAGCAAGACTATTACAATAGTAATTAAATATTGTTAATGTCAATGCAAAACAGGTGTTTTTTTAAAGGAAAACAATAAATAGCTGTAAAAGATTGGAGTGGATATCTCTTGTCTTTGTGGTTCCAGCTCCATTCCCCATTTTTTGCCTGCTATTATATATTACTGTTTTGTTCCAGGAGTTAGGGCTCCATTGCCTTCATTTAGTTATTTAACAAACATTTATACAGTGCTTCATGTGACTGCCACACATTCTTCCAAGCACATCACAAAATTCACTTATTTACTATCTATAACCATACAAAATAGTATTATGATCTCAGTTTTAGAAAAAAATTAAGGCATAGAGAAATTACATAATTTACCCAAGGTTACCTATCTATTAATAGTAAGAGATGGAGCTGAAAAATGAGGTCTCATCAGCTGTCAGAGTAACTGTGTGTTATCCTATGAAGCCTCATCTCCAAATAAATATGCTTAACAGAAGCCAGTGTTTTCTCTAACTCATCATTCCTGGTCAGCATGAATGCTTTTCATTTAAACACATGGCCTTTTCTCTAGCTCACAAAAGTACATTTGTCATTAATACTTAACTTTTAGGCCGGTTGCGGTGGCTCATACCTGTAATCCCAGCACTTTGGGAGGCTGAGGTGGGTGGATCGCTTGAGCCCAGAGATTCCAAACCAGCCTGGACAGCAAGGTGAAACCCAGTCTCTACAAAAAATACAAAAATTAGCTGGGCATGATGGTGTGCACCTGTGCTCCCACCTACTCGAGAGGCTGAGGTGAGAGGATCACTTGAAGCTGGGAGGCAGAGGTTGCAGTGAACCGAGATGGTGTCACTGCATGCCAGCCTGGGTGACAAAGCCAGGCTCTGTCTTCAAACAAACAAAAACCAAAAAAATTAAAAAAACATTAACTTTTATTCCAATTGCTTTCTTCTTTGTCCTTTGTTGATGATATTTCAACTGCATGTGATGGACACCTCCGAGGCAAAAGGGCTGTTTTTGTGTAATTTTCACTATGCAGTGTCCATTCTACTCATAGAACAAGTAACTTCTTAAAAAATTCATCTGGAGATTAAAAAGTAATTCAATTCAACAAACATTTATCAAGCACCTATCAGATGTGATGCACTGTGCTACTCATGGGAGTGATAAGAGAATCTTTATCCATACTGCTAGCACATGTTAATAGATGATATTACCATGAGAAAACAAGATAGGTCAATATCCCCTCACAGTGAAAGGCTTTGCAAGGCTCCTTCCTCCTTGGTAGCCCAGAGCGAGCCTTAACTTTTGCCAGGAGCCAGACCATGCCATGAATGATGGTGCTTCAGTCTTCCTAGGCCTGGAACATGTTGCTTAGTGGGAGGCAGGCTTCTTGTCTTCTTTTACTCCCATTTGGCAAGGACACCTCATTATGTAAGACTACCACTGTTTATCTGCCCCATATTTATGATTTTTACAAGGGATATTCTAAGCTTTGGCAGATATGAGGGAACATTTTATAAGGCAAGGCTTGTAGTGGGCAAGACCTCAAATGAAATTTCTGTAGTATATCTAAATTACCTTTAAATTATTCATTTTAAGGTGATTTAATGCTTTTTTTTCCCCTGATTGGTCATATTCATCAGGTTTAGATGAGAAGTAAGCTCTCTGGGCCAGGGTACTATTACTACATTGTAATTCCTAAGTTAAAAAGAAAAAAAATCAACATTTAATTGACCCTGGAAACCTAACCAACCTAAAGAATATTTAAGTTTATCCCATCTTTGGCAAGTATTTCTAAAACCTCGGAATCAGAGCAGAACCTAACCTTTGGAAAGTCCTCTCTTCACTGGCCAACCTGAAACCTATAATATTGTTTTTAATGGCTTGTAGTTAACACCCCGATGGTTATGAATGGGAGATTTCATAAAGGTATGTTTGGGGAGATGCAGTGAAGTGCCAAGTGTCTACTAAGAATTACTTATTTATTCAAACATTATTTTATTGTTAGTTTCATTGGACATTTATACCTAACAGTTGCTACATGAATCTGGAAATTAATAAAACAAAACCCCAACACAAAAGAGCAATCAGTTTACATGTCTTTCTTCTAAAAATGATTGAATGTCTCTGGGTATATAGGAACTATTTTATGAGCAGACAACGTGAATGGTCTATTTCCAAGGCCACCCAGTGTATTCTGCACTTTAATGTACATCTGATTTAAGTTGTCTCCACCTGACTAACATCTTTTAAAAAACGAGTAGTTTAGAATTGCTTCTCAGTTATGAGCTGGAAAGTAAATATTTTCACTTAAAGGAATTATAGCATGTGAAAATAAATAAGTTTTAGAAGTACAATCAATTTTGATGCTTTCTGCAAGCCTGCCATACAATAAAGGTCAGTCTTTCAGAATTTTTAGAAAGCACAAAGCCCTTTCATTTGTGATGAAATAAAGAGAGAAAAATGTCAACCTTCTATACATATATATGTTCCTGAAAACTCTGCAATAAATCTTCCCTTTTGTAAATAAAAATCACAATTTAAGTATTTCCAAAGAGCTTTCTATTTGAAGGAATAACGTGGTCAACCCTCTTGTAAAGAATCACCTTTCAAGATACCTGTTACATAAGACTGTTTTAGCAAAGCAGGATAAAGTTTTAGTATAAGGTTTTACTAATTTGCAATCACATAAAACAAAGCAATAAGCAGTAAATTCTATACATTTGCAATAACACAACTTATCAGAACAAATTAATTGTTTTTCTTGATGAAAGGTATAGAAAAAGAAACACATTCGAGAGGATTTGCAATTAACTTTTTCAAGGCATAGTTATCAATAAGCCGGGAAAGCTAGAGGGATATGTAAAGTGGTACAGGAAAAGCAAAATCTTGGTTCAACACTGCTTTAGCCTACTAAAAGTTTTTGTGTGCGTAGCCTTCTCTCCATATAAAATTAGAAATATATTTGTCTTTTTGTAGCATCTCATGAAACACTTTCCAACCTTTGTGGAATTGTAAACTTCATTATTACCATGATTTCCGTCTTTTCTCATTGCCTCTATCTCAATTTTTCTTCATAATACATTTGTGTTTTTCTTTTATGTAAGGATAAAAACAATTCTCAAACTAATGAACTAGGCTAATAATGGTAGATTGAATAAAATCTAGTTGTCAGTTGATTATTTTTTGTGCTTACAAAATTTACATTATTTACACTATGTATATGTGTATATAAGTGTATATATATATACATAACTGTTACTTCAAAAAAGTCAGTTTATTGGTGAGTATTTTTTAGCAAAAATATTTTTAAATCTGATGTAATTTTTGTTAAATTCTAAAGTCTTAGCCCAAGAAGATGCAGTTTGCCATTTACTCAATTGATAGACATCTATGTTACATTTTTTCTTGCCAAGTTTTATACTGATGATTGGAGATATCAAATCAATATGACATAAACTTTACAATTGTAGAGATTGATCTAATGGGAGGTGGAAGTAGGGGTGATGACAAAAACTAAAAATATAAATAAATAACTAAACTGCAACGTTGAAGATATATACGCACATACATTGATAAAAGTTGTTGGAGATATAAGGCAAAGTTACAATCATAGATGCACAACTAGTTGATACATAATAATCAGTATTACATTGTCAAGGTCGAGGAAGAGGATGTGTATATTATGAGAATTCAAAATCCATAGTCACAAATCAAACATGAGCTACCAATACAGTACCATGGTAAAAAAAATTTGTGATTCAGGAATATAAATGGAACAATTAGAAACCATGAGGTAATCCTTCCATGAGATAAACTTGGTAAGGCTTTTATTATTATTCGTTATAATGCTTTGTCCAGTTTTGGTTCTCACAACTTAAGTGAGATTTAGAGAACGTGAATGGGATACAAAGAGAAAAGAAATATAGATATTTTTAAATATGGGAAAAGTCTGCCATTAAAAATATATGAAAGCGGCCGGGTGCAGTGGCTCACGCCTGTAATCCCAGCACTTTGAGAGGCCGAGGCAGGTTGATCACAAGGTCAGGAGTTCAAGACCAGCCTGCCCAAGATGGTGAAACCCCGTCTCTACTAAAAATACAAAAAAATTTAGCCAGGCGTGGTGGTGGGTGCCTGTAATCGCAGCTTCTCGGGAGGCAGTGGCAGAGAATTGCTTGAACCCAGGAGGTGGAGATTGCAGTGAGCCGAGATCTCACCACTGTACTCCAACCTGGGCGACAGAGCAAGACTCCATCTCAAAAAAAAAAAAAAAAGAAAGAAAAAAATATATAAATATATGAAAGCACGTATTATAGAAAATACCAATTAGTTTTCCTTAATGTAACTGGAACCCAGAAAAGAAAACTTGGAGAGTTTAGATGGATGCAGAAGTTTATGCTAGTCATTAGAAAAAGTATTCTGAGAATAAGAGTTGGGAGTGACTGGAGAAGCACACTAAGAATAATTAGAGTTGAGAAATAATCCTGGGAGAAAAGGCTAAAATGACAATGCTGTTTCAACTGGTGGAGAGAAAGTTATGTTTGGTTCATATGACTAGAAAGACCAGAGGACAACTCATCTGTTGCCCTGTCTTCTCCTCCCTGCTAATTACAACATTACAGTGATGTATATGATAATGAGGCAATTTTACACTGAATCCAGATATATCCCATTTAGACAAACATGAATTAAGGGTTCCAAGTTCCATATTTTCCTTAATGGTAGAAATGTGGGAGTTAGGGGTGAAGTGGGCAGTTTCATTTGTGCTTTAGTGAGAGATTCAGCATGTCTCAGTGATGATGAAGCTACAGCCTGTTCATATTGCTTCTCTGTTTACACTGGACCTGGGAGGGATAGGACAGGAACCGGGAGGTCTTGTCATGGCTGATCAGGAGAGTGGGTTGGCCTTATTACTTAGTGCTTTCTATTCCTCACTGGTCTTTTTCCCAACAACAAGAGATAAGCCTGACTTATGCTGGGAAAACAGGAGGTTTTGAAAGAGGAAGGTTCTTACTTAAAATGGACTCAATAAATGTTAATAAAAATTGATTAACAAAAAATGAGATATTTTGGGAATGAGTAGTCATTTTTCACACACTGAGAGACAGACTATACCAAGTCTATAGAAGAAAGTGTATTAACCTCAAGTGAGAACTTTCTATAACTAAGGATTTTGAGAAAAATGAGAATAAATTTATAAAAGATATTGTAAAATCTATTTTTCAAGAAACAATAATTAGAATAAAAGAAAAATCTACTTAAATGGTTTAAACGTATCCTCATACATTCAATCCTTTATAAATTACTGGAGCTCGCGGAGTAAATCTAATGCTCTAAATAGGGCTGGATCTAAGACATCAGTCTATTACAGAGATCCTGCCCCATCTTACAGGGATGGGCGGACATCACTCAGCACCTGGGCTTAAGGCCCTGAAGGAACACTGGTTCAGGGTTGCCTGATCTTTGAAAACTGGAACCTGAAACTTGGAAATCAGAATTTTTATTTAAAATATGACTTAAAAAATTCAGATTAAAATAAAAGCACAATATGGGTCATATTAAAGATGTTTACTGGGGTCAAGTAAGGCTTGTAAGGTTACCCATTTGTGATTTCTAGTTTAGACTTGTTTCTATTTCAAAGGAGGAGGCTTGAGTACATGGACCCTCATAGGACCTTGCAGCCAGATATATTTCCAGGATCAAGGACTCTTCTAAAGTTTTCTACATCTTGACACATCATCAGCACTAGTCTTTTTTTTTTTTTTTTTTTCTTTTTCACATATGTAACTGCTGGGCAAGAAAGAAAAGAGAAGTTTGGTGCCAGTTTTCATGGGCCAGAGCTGGTTTTCCTTCACACTTGCACCATGATCTGGCATCAGAGCAGAAATCTTGTGAGGAGGGTGAGCAAATGGAGTCATAATTCCAGGGAGTAAGTTGGATCCTACCTTAGAAAAATGCCCAGATAAGCCTGGGCACAGTGGTTCATGCCTGTAATCCCAGCTCTTTGGGAGGTCGAGGTGGGTGGATTGTTGGAGCCCAGGAGTTTGAGACCAGCCTGGGCAACATAGCAAAACCCTGTCTCTACAAAAAATACAAAAATTAGCTGGGGGTGGTTGCGCACGTCTGTAACCTCAGCTACCTGGGAGGCTGAGGCATGGGAATTGCTCAAACTGGGGAGGCAGAGGTTGCAGTGAGCAGAGATTGTGCCACTGCACTATAGTCTAGATGACAAAATGAGACTCTATCTCAGAAAAAAAAGAAGAGAAAAGAAAAACAAAACAAACAAACAAAAAAACAGCCCAAAAAGTCTTGATTGCAGTCAGGAGGCTGGATTAAATGGTTCCTGGAATCTCATTCCAGGCTGATTGCATGGTTCTCAGACATTTTTGGTGATGTGTTTTATTCTCCCTCAGTATGAATATTAACCCCTACCGTCAATAGAGCTTTGAAAAGCTTCTCTATTGAAGGTGGGGGATAATCATACTGGGGGAGAATAATGGCTATTATAAAAGCTTCTCTTCTGCCTTCAGAAAAAGAGTTACTCTTTTTTCTTCCCAGAGCCTTGAAAAATGAATACAAAGAAACTTTGCAACTTCTTCTAAGTGAACAGTAAACCTTGAGTGTTTTGTCTATGGATTTTTAAAATCATTGGATTGACTAACATTCTCAAATGATGCAAGTCTCTACCACTAAAGTTTTAATTCAAACCTAAAATGCTGCCATTATTTTGGGTAATGATATATAATTAAGTCTGCCGACTGTGTTCTCATGCTTTTCTATCAGTGATTCATGGCTGCTGTCACAAAGCAGCAGCATATCGGAGCTTATTTTGTCAAAGCCTTTGTTTGAAATACTCAGCAAACAGGGTTTTCTTGATTTATCAGATCGTCAAGGTGGTTCACGTGCTTTTGTGAAAACCTGAGTCTCTGCCAGGTCCATTTATATTCACTGCAACCTTTTTTTTTTTCTAGAAATGTTTATGATGTTACCATAAAATTGAATAAAAAGCTAAGTCTAGTTTTCAGCTAAGCATGTTGACTACTGTATATTCCATAAAGCAAGGTTGAAAAAGAAAACGGGTTATGGGATCTAATATCTTACCTTTTCCAAAGATTATCTGTTGGTATCCTGTTACTGTCACTCATTAGAGGATAAATACCTGGAGTGACTTGCTTCTGAGGAGCTGCTCTTCCCAACACTTTTACAACTGAAGATTCTAATAGCATATGCCAGTTTCTCCTCACATAAACTGTTGGAATAATGAATGTCTATTTTTTGGGTAGTAAGCTAATGCAGCAGACTAGCAGAAGTCAAGAACAAAAGCTTGACTCCAGCGTTTTCCATAGCAGCAATTGGACCTCTGGAGGTGACTGCAAACCAGACGACTTGTTCCATAAAGAATGGATTTACTAGCTTAGATCCTTAGAGCTGGGTAAAAAGAAACCTAGGTGTAATCCTAGCACTTTGGGAGGCCAAGGGGGGCAGATCATCTGAGGTCAGGAGTTCAAGACCAGCCAGGCCAACATGGCGAAACCACGTCTGTACTAAAAATACAAAACTTAGCCACGAGTGGTCGTGGGCACCTGTAATCCCAGCTACTCAGGAGGCTGAGGCAGGGAGAATTGCTTGAACCCGGGAGGTGGAGGTTGAAGTGAGCCAAGATCGCGCCACTGCACTCCAGTCTGGGCGACAGAGTGAGACTCCGTCTTAAAAAACAAACAAACAAACAAAAAACCTAGGTAAATTTCAGATAACACAAATAGTTTAAAGGGTAATTTGACCCCTCACAATTTAATGTAGTAGCATACAGGGGAAAAAAAGAAAAGAAAAGAAAAGAAAAAACAACAACAACAAAACACCAGGAAAATAACTTTGCTTTTTTCAAAAAAAAAAAAACTTTTCACCTTCAAAAAGTTCTTTCTGGCCATTCGATACGTATCTCACAAAACACAGCTGCTTTTCAAAAGTATTGTTAGGGGCTAGAAAGAGGTGTTTGTTTTAATAGATCTAAGAGTAGAATATAAAAAGGGAAGGAGTAGGAATTCGAGTGGTTTTTCACTTGAGAAAAAAAAAATTTCATCATGAAAGAGGGATCTGTTTTCTCTAGACCCTGGATAATTTCTGTCAGCTTTGGCTTGACTTTTATAATGAATACTTTAAACCCAAATTACAAGTTTAAATGAAGAGCTCTTAATCTAAAATTCTTTTAGTCCCAGCTAGAAATAATTTCAGGGATTCATGTGATGTTGAAATTACTAGTCATATGTTTTATTATGGTTAATCACAGCCACTATTAAAAGAAAGGTAATAATACATGTTTTCGTCTGCTAAGGTCAGCTGGTGAAACTGCAGTTCTTACACAGTTCTCACACAGCTGCAATGTTCTCACTAATTATCTAACCATCAGGACAAAGACTTGCTAGAGCCAGGCAGGTCAGGACAGCTCCTGTTGTAGGGTTCCCACTCGAAATAAGAGTTTTATAGACAATGTGACCTATTTATCATTAAATATGCTAACTTATTATAATTGCTGCCAGTTTTGAGAGTCAGTGTTATTATTCCTCTGTTTGAATAACTGCTCTTAATTGAAATACAGGTAACAAATTCTCAGGGACGGGAAATAATATTCATGAGTTTTCTCCTCTAATTCTTTCTTTTATTACCTTTTAGTTGCACATATTAACACATTTATTACTGTCACTGAGTTAATGCTTGCATTTTGAGAACACTCAAGTATTACTTGCATTTTATATTTGAATAAAACAAGATACTACAAAATCAAATGATACCATGTAAATAGAACTAATTCAGTGGCATAAATTACTTTGTTTTTCTTTTTTTGAGATCTCCTCTTGCTCTGTCACCAGGCTGGAGAGCAGTGGCACGATCTCCGCTCCCTGGGTTCAAGCGATTCCCCTGCTCAGCCTTCCAAGTAGCTGGGACTACGGGTGTGCACCACCATCCCTGAGTAATTTTTTGTATTTTAGTAGAGACGGGGTTTCACCATGTTGGCCAGGATGGTCTCGATCTCCTGACCTCGTGATCCACCAACCTCGGCCTCCCAAAGTGCTGGGATTACAGCGTGAGCCACCACGCCAGGCCCAATTACTTTGTTTTTCTAGCTGACTTATCTTGGCTGTGTGTAGTTCACCTTTCATCCTAATACTGCATTTTCATATGTCCAAAGATAGTGGTTTTTGAAAAAGCATTGTGGGGAAGAAAAGCAAATTCATTACCAGTGTGTGTTCATGCCAGTGCCCCTTCTATGATAAAAGGGATTCTGTGTAATCAATCTGCCACCAGGTGGCTGGCCGATCCCCTCCAGGAAATGGTGCCATATTGGGGATTCAGTGTTGGTCTTTGCTGCTGTCAAATTGAGCATTCATCAGTGATTTTAGCTGGATCAGCCTTAGTGAATGGCATTCCATATTGCTGAGCCCATGCATAATCTCCATCCCTATTGCAATAAGTTCTTTTGGGTGATCCCATTGGTTAAGTACTTGCATTTTGAGCTCTGTTGGTCTACAGGTCTTAGTTACCAAGGGGGATCCTCTGATTGGAGCTGCAGTTGGTTCACTTTCAGGTAAAGCCAGCTGGTCATGCAGAACCATCTGTAACTCAGGTCCCCATCTTTTCTTTCCCAATTAGCTGGTCATAGAAAACTTCCCTTAAGGACGTAGGTGCAGTTTGAGAGAAAGAAGGCTATGCTTCAGAAATGTGGGTTATGAGTATTTGTTTTACTTGCTCATGCAACTTCCTTGTGTCTTCAGGACCTCATCAAGGCAGATCTTGTGCGTACCACTTTTATTTGATTATGTAGTATTGTTATGTATATCCAGCCTTATGGCTTAGCAGGCCATAAAGGACATGATGTGCATGCAGGTCACATAGTAAGTTAGTGGCCCATTTTTAAGGGTTCAGTCTCTACTAAGGTTTAGTAGCAAGTGAGAATTTAGTTTTGTAAAAGAGGAGTAGTAGTAGTCTCCTACTAAAGGTGGCATAGCTTTGCTACCAAATCCTAACAGTTTGTGCTGTAATCCATTTATGAGAGACTGTCAAAGGCTCCATCCATACAAAAATCCTTGTCCATCACTGATGCTTTAAGTACCTTTAGATCTGTAAGGTCATAGAATCTAAGTGCACTGCAGCTTGCATGGCAGCCTGGGCCTGTTGCAAAGCCTTCTTCTGTTCTGGGCCTCCCTAAACACTGGCAGCTTTGCAGGTTGCTCCGTAAATGGGTTGTACTTGTACTCCCAAATGAGGTGTATGTTGCCTTCAAAATCTAAAGTGGTCCACTGGCATTGTGACTCTTTTTTAATGGTAGAAGGATCCAGACACAGCAACTTGTAATTCCTTTTGGAAGAGATGTGTCCCAGACAACTCAACCCCGGAAATCTCACTGAATTTTTGTAGGATGCATTTCTCACCTGCTGGCACAGAATTGTCCCACCATTATGTCTGGTATCATTGTCACTTCCTGCTTACTAGATCCAATTGGCACGATAGCATCAAATGTAATAAACTAGAGTGAAATGAGAAGTGATCAAGATTCCTTATACAAAGCTGAAAAGGTGATGTAGCCCTGAGTTAGGAAAGTGATGGTGTATAGCTAATCCCATCACTACCTCTGAGCTTCCAGCTTCCATTAACGAGGCATCCTGCAGGAGAAGCTGGATTCCTTCAATATGCACCTAGCTCAGGATTTAAAGAAGCTGAAGCAGGAGGCCCAGCAGGAGCTGGAGATGCTGTTGGCCTAGCTCCTGCCCCTGCCAATCGGTAAGCCAGCAGAAAAGTACAGATGTGCATAAGATGCATCAGGCCCTGCGCTGGCCTGAGTGTAAAGTAATATGGTCAATCTTTCACTTCAGGCTTCATTTGCAAGATGCTTCCTGTGGATCATGCTAAATAAGATATGCAGGGAAGAAGATTCTGGGAAATGTAGTTCCAGTTTAGCTACGTTGATATAAATCGGACTTATCACATCAGGATAGCTTTGATCCCAGATGTAGACAGGACAAAAGCCTTTCAGAGAAAAAAAAACCTCCCCTGAATTCCTGAAACAATGAACATGCCTATGAAGAGTAGAAAGCTCAACAAGGATTTCTTCCCATCTGCTTCATCAATAAAAAAAAGAAAGAATTACTATGATGGGCTGGTGAAGTCTGCGAAATACTACATTTGTGGGTTGAATGCCAAGAAGAGCAGGAGAAACAGTTGAAGACAGAAGAGAAAAAAAAAGAAAGAGAAAGAAAGAAAAGAAAAAGAAAAGGAAAGAAAAGAAAAGAAAGCAAAGCTGAGAAGCTATGTGATGGAGGTAACAAGCAGAGGTTAGTTTCCAGCAGAAGCAAGCAATGGTGATGAATAAAGCAACGGTGATGAATATGCAACACCTGTCAACAGAGAGGAGTGGCAGTGACCAAAAAGGGAAAAAAAGCAGCTTCTCTCTGGCTAGGAATATGTTTATCAGCCCTCAATTGAATGCTTCTAAAAATACTGGCATATGGAAACCCCATTCTTGCACATTAAAACAGGCAGAGACCAGATATGCATTGTCTCTTGCCTGCACTCTTAGCACTTTGGGAGGCCAAGACACATGGATCGTTTGAGTCCAGGAGTTCAAGAGCAGTCTGGACAATATGGTGAAACCCTGTCTCTACAAAACAAACAAACAAACAAAAACCCCCCAAAAACATAAAACAAAACAAAAAAATTTAAAAAAGCAAAAACGGAGAGGGTGGGGTGAGGTGGTGCATACCTGTAATCCTCACTTCGAGAGGTTGAGGCAGGAGGATGGCTTGAGCTCAGGAGTTCAAGGCCAGCCTCAGCAAAACAGCAAGACTCTACAAAAGATACTCTGAAAATGTCTCTATGAAAAAAAAAAAAAGCCAGGCATGATAGCACATACCTGTAGTCCCACTTATTCAGAGGCTGAGGTAGGAGGACCACTTGAGCTCAGAAATTCAAGGCTGCAGTGAACATGATCTCTGCACTCCAGCCTGGGCAAGAAGGCAAGACCCTGTCTCATAAAAATCAATCAATAAATAAGAAAACAGGCAGAAGTTAGGCAGCAAAGGGCCCCCAAGGAACAGTATTCAGGATCTTTGTCCAACATAAGAGGCACTAAATAAGATAGCTAATCTAAACTTTTTATAAAACGTACTTGTAAAAGGCCAGGTGCGGTGGCTCACACCTGTAATTTCAGCACTTGCCAGGCTGAGGCAAGAGGATCACTTGAGCCCAGGAGTTTGAGATCAGTCTGGGCAACATAGTGAGACTTCATCTTTACAAAAATTAAAAAATTAGCTGGGTGTGGTGGCTTACATCTTCAGTTCCAGCTACTTGGGAGACTGAGGCAGGAAGATCTCTTGAGCCCAGAAGATCAAGGTGCAGTGAGCTGTGATCTTACCACTGCACTCCAGCCTGGGTAGCAGAGTTAGACTGTGTCTCAGAAAAAAATAAAAAAATAAAAGTACTTGAAAACTATTCCTTCCTTAATACTTCCAGTTAAAATATTTTAATTAAATTTGGTCTAATTTTAATATTTATTTTTATATTTTAATAATAGCTATCATTAATTTAACCCATTATTGTCAAAAACTTGGATGTAACTATATATGTAACACTATAAATACTATTTAAAGTGCTGGATAGAATGGCTTTTACTGACTCTTCTGGTCCTATTTTAAGACAAACTCTCAGAAACTTAAGTGGGGAATTTGTACATCATGCAGCAAACTTAGTGTATCTCTTTCAAAAAGTCCAAAGAACTCACAAAACATTTTAATGATTTATGTGATATACAGGTAATAATTCTTACTAACTGCTAGATATAGGATACTTTAAAGATGATTATGAAGTCTGAATCTTTTAATTCAAAGAAAAATCCTGCAAAAACCACCAGTAACACTGTAAACCCCTTTATAGAAAATTATCTTTTTTTTTTTTTTTCCAGATTTTGTCTTTGGTCAATGCTCATGAGACGATTAGAGAAAAATGGGTAGGATATACCAAAGTTCTGATCTTAGTCACCCATGAGTTGTGGAACTTTTGGCAAGCTTCTTAACTTCTTTTAATTCTATTTTCTTTATCTATTACATAAAGAATCCAATAGTTAGCTCATAAGGTGTTATGAAGATTAAATTAAGTATATATGTTGACTTACAGACATGCAATACATTTTAGATGCTATTATTAACAGCAGATGATAAGAATCTTGGCCAGGTGCAGTTGCTCACGTTTGTCATCCCAGCACTTTGGGAGGCTGAGGCAGGCAGAAAACTTGAGGTCAGGAGTTCAAGACCTGGTCAACATGGTCGATATGGCAAAACCCTGTTTCTACTAAAAAAATACAAAAATTAGCTGGATGTGGTGGCGCATGCCTGTAGTCCCAGCTACTCGGGAGGTTGAGGCACAAGAATCACTTGAACCAAGGACGCAGAGGTTGCACAGTGAACTGAGATCACACCGTTGCACTCCAGCCTGGGCAACAGAGTGAGACTCTATCTCAAAAAAAAAAAAAAAAAAATTAAGGTTGTAATTATTTAAAGTAACTGAGATATTTATTATCAGTGGAAATTACTGACTGTTCTCCCTAAATTTGTACTCAAACATTCTTTGGACCTAGAGGGAGGTTTAAAGGAGAGTAACAAGAGGTGAGGATGGGATGGAATCTAGATATAAATAATTTTATTTATTTTTTATATCATTGATGACTAATTTTATCGCTATCTTTAATATTAATCTTTATCATAGGTCTCTGTGCTCATATAAATTATTCTGAAAATTATTAAATATACAAAACTAATTTAGGTATATTCTATTAAAAATGTATGCCATTTTCAAAAGCCAGTAGTTACTCTAAATTTTAAAATGTGTTTTAAAAATCTTTTTTCTACAGTAGTCCCTTAAATCATTTTCTTGTCATTTCTAAGTAGGCTCTAAAGGCGTGTAGTGTTTTTACAAAACAAAAAATTTTAAAAAGAAGAAAAATAATTTCTTAGTAGGTAAATATTGGTGTTCAAAAGTGTAGTTCTAGCAGTTAACAAATTCATGAAATTGACCGATTGTTTTTTGAAAAATGTTCATGCTTATTGACCCTGAACCAGATACGCGTGCACATTTCTGATTCAGCAGAGCTTATCATGACCTTGTTTATAATATTTGTTTAATAACGCTTATTGTGAACAGTTTCATAAAAAAAATGGTAACTTTCTTTGCCCTTGTTTCTATATTAATATAGTCACTGCCGCAGATAGGTGGAATTTGTGAAAAAATTACCTAACTGATATGTTCATGGGATTCCTGTCAGAATCACTCATATTTATTCTTCTTTCAAGGCTATCTGGGAGAGTTGGTGCAGACTAATCCAAGGCCTGAGCTTGTCAATGATTCCCTCCCTGCATTTTTTCTGGTAGTGCAAGTGAGGGAAAGAAAAAAGCTTTCAATAAATTCTTGTTACCCATGACAACATAGGCTTTCTGTATTTATTTGTTCATTTTTTAAATTTAATAACTTTATGTCGAGAAAATCAAATATCCATGTAAAATCAGTATCAAGGGAATGATGTAATACATTTCAATGACATTAGATTATTGGGGCAGATTACAAATGAGGGTGTGGCTCCTAGGCAAGCCCAAAGGGCCTCTAGGTCAAATAACTGACTGACTCAAAGCTAATTTGATATACAAGTCCACAAACAGCATAATTTTCCAGTTGGACTTTCTTATATGTATAATAAACCTGCAGTCATCTGGTAAAATGGAGTATTCTATTATCCTAGATAACAAATTCTTCTGACTATTTTCAAGTTAGCCATTAGAAAGTTTTTGTTGCAAAAGGTCATAGTTCTAAAATATATTTTATTTGTATCTGCTTTGGTAAACGGAGTTATGTGTGTATAAGTATATTTAATTTTAGTTTCAGGATCAAAAACAGTACATTGAAGGTAATTTAGCTTTTTACTTAAGTGATGGGATTATTACTGTATTCATAGTGAAAATTATCTTAATTTTTCGTGTAGGAGAACCCCATTATATTGCCATAAGTGAGGTTAAAAAAATGTCAGTAAGAAAAGGAAAGACTCAGATGATTGCAGGGATAATAAAATGACAGGTGAGCCGGTGCAGCTGGCTGGCTGGGAGGTTCGGGGGCCTAGGAGATGATTCCTAATTGCATTTTACATGGGATTTTGCATTACTATGAGGTCATGCAGTTTTACTCTACCTACTTGATTGCTTTATTGTTGCTGTTGTTGTGTTGTTTATTTTTCTTTTTAAAAAGAGCCATGAGGCTGGGCATGATGGGTCAGGCCTGCAATCCCAACACTTTGGGAGGCCAAGGAGGGAGGATTACTTGAGCCAGGAGTTTGAGACCAGCCTGGGCAACAGAGTGAGACCTCTTCTGTACAAAAAAAAAAAAAAAAAAAAAAAAAAAAAAAGCCTGGGTGTGGTGGTATGTGCCTGTATTCCCAGCTACTTGGGAGGCTAAGCTGGGAGGATTTCTTGAGCCCAGGAGGTCAAGGCTGTAGTGAGCCAAGAGCACGCCATTGCCTGGGCAACAGAGCAAGATGCTGTTTCTAAAAACAAACAAAAACGGGGCTATGAAAGATGTTTAAGTCTATGATCTTCAAAGCAGTGAGAAATAGAATTTTATATGCAAAATCTCATACAAACACCCTCTCATCCAATCCTCAGGACTCCATTATGATCTGTTACCTGTTATTACACTTTTGAAGTTGAAAATGAACTAGAGAACTAGTTATTTTGCCCACGGCCATGTAGCTAATAAGGGGCTATCACAGGATTTAAATCTAGATCTATCTGACAACAAAGTCAGTATGATTTCCACCCCACTACATTGCAAAGGCAAAGCAGTTTTTTCCCAAGGCTTTTGCTTTGCCTACATAACATCACCATTGCTGTCTTTATCTTTTTATTTTCTGTTATGACTGCATCATTAATTACCAAGTTTTTCATGTCACCTTTTACCTGTGTCTTTACTTACATGTGTGTGCATGTGTGTTTGTTGTTTTATTTTGTTGCTTTAGGAGGAGAATGTTGCATTTTCGACACCACACTCCTTACTTTTCGAATTATACATCTCCATAGTATTTATGTGCTTATTTATTTTTAAATATGTAGATTACTTTTAAAAGAATATAAAATATGGTAAAAGTGATTGTATTTTGGAAAAGGAGTTGAGCAGTAGTGTGAGAAAAAAACCTATTTTTCTTTGTATAATTTTTAGTTCCTTTGGAATATCATATAATATTGTACTATGTGCATATTTCATTGATTGAAAATTTAAAATGTTTCAGTTTTGCAGATATTTGGGATACTAAAGACTGTTAGAAACCGGTTGTAGTTCATAAATTTGAAACAGAAACAAAGACTTGGCATGTTGGCTCATGCCTGTAATTCCATCACTCTGGGGGGCTGAGGCAGGCCAGTTGCTTGAGTTCAGGAGTTCGAGACCAGCCTGGGCAACACGGCAAAACCCCCTCTCTGCAAAAAATTTAATAAAATTAGCTGGGCATGGTGACATGTGCTTGTAGGTCCAGCTCCTCTGGAGGCTGAAGTGAGAGGATCACTTGAGCCCTGGAGGCTGAGGCTGCAGTGAGTTGTGATTGTGCCTCTGCACTCCAGCATGGGCAAAAGACCTTGTCTCCAAAAAAAAAAAAAAATCTTAAATCATGGCTATGTTGCTAATTCATGGATTCACTGTTATACTAGATTTTATTAGGTGCCACATAATCCAAATTCTTTTGGTATTTAGAGCTTAAAAAACAGAATACGCATGCAACGATAACTGCAACATAGAATTTTAGAATCAGAAGATATCTTATAGATTATTTAGTAGTTGTAAGTAATCAAGAAAAAAAGCATGTCTTTGGACTCTATGTTCATCATGGCTTTTTTTTTTTTTTTTTTTTTTTTTGAGACAGGGTTCTCTTCTCATTGTGTCGCCCAGTCTGGAGTGCAGTGGTGCAATTTCGGCTCACTGCTGCCTTGACTTCCCAGGCTGAAGTGATCCTCCCACTTCAGGCTCTGGAGTAGCTGGGTCTACAGATACACACCACCACGCCTGGCCAATTTTTTTGTATCTTTTCTAAAGACAGAGTTCTGTCATGTCGCCCAGGCTAGTCTCAAACTCCTGGCTTCAAGTAATTCACCTGCCTCTACCTCTCAAAATGCTGGGATTACAGGTGTAAGCCACCATGCCCAGTCCATATGGTAAGGGTTGGCATGGTGAAATTAATTCACAGGAAAAAATGTACCCAGAAAAATGACTCTCATAATATGCTCTGAATATAATATATTTTCTCTTGGCCATATCTTCTTCTTCTTATTTATTTATTTTCTTTTGTTCAGTCTCCATAAAGACACTCAAAAATTGCCCATGCTGACTATATTTCAAGTCATCATGGTGGGGTATTGGGAAAAGTTTTCAATTAACAATAATCACACATTGGATAAACCTCATTGACTATGATACTGCCACTGTGCAGAGGTAGACCACATCTTTAGGAAAGACATTTACATGGAGAATTTGCATCGAGAAAATAATTGGCTTTATTTTCTGAAGGTTCTGACTCTGGGAATGCTTTATGTAACTGTTATGACACTTTGGAAGAAGATATTACTCAGTAGCAACAGATTATTTTAAATGTGACTATTATTAAGGTCTAGCTAAATGTGTGTATGACGGTGTGCATGTGTATTTTAAGTTTACCATGCTACCTTATCACAACCATAGTAAGCAGTGTCATGATCATAAGAAATTGACAATGGACAGTGATGCTCATGATAGCTGAAGGTATAAAACAGCAATGCCAGTTGAATATTTATTACTTTTTAAAAGGTGTTTAGAGTAAAAGAATCAGTAGTGGAAATAATTTATCAGGATAAAAATTCACTCTATTCATTTTATTTAGGTTAGATATTTTCTAATCACTTAAAAAGCATCTTAAATAAATTACTTTCACTTGGCATGAAATTTTTTTCCAGTCAGTGGTTTACATTTATTCTATTTTTGCTGTTTATTCCTTCTTGTATCTCATAATAATTTGTCTAAGAATACTTCTCTCTGAAATACATCCTTCAGATTTTTTTAAAGGTGGTGAGCTCTTTTTAGTTTTTGTCTCATATTTTGTCCTAATTCTGGTATGATATTTTATTTTTACTTTTTTTTTAAAATTTTAACATTTCTTTTAAAATTTCAATAGGTTTTCTCACCACCTGGAGGAACAGGTCATGTCTGGTTACATGAATAAGTTCTTCAGTGGTCATTTCTGAGATTTTGATGCATTCGTCACCCGGGCAGTGTACACTGTACCTGATGTGTAGTCTTTTATGCCCCGCCCCCTCCCACCCTTTCCTCTGAGTCCCCAAAGTCCATTGTATCATTCTTAGGACTTGATAAGAAATTTAAAGGCATTGAATGAATGAATTTAAAATGTATGCAACCTCGTCTTCACACGTTGGCAGTATTTCACGTTTTGGTAGTTTCTCTGGTCATTTTCCCCTGTGGCCGTCTTTAATAATGAGTCATACTCAGTGTAATAGAAATAATATCCATAAGCAAGAAAATCATTTATAGATTCTGCCAAATACATGAATTTACTGACACAGGAAAGAAAAATGGAACTATGATATGATTTTCACATCGGTAGACTATTTCCCCTAATAGCTCCTTGCTTTTAAAATTACTTATCTCCTTTCTATGTTGAGGAAAATGTGTCTTTGCTCATGGCTTTCCACTACTATGTAATGTCACATCCTGAGTTGACTCACACCCTGGCTAAACTTTCAATCTGATTTTTTTCTTTTTCCTCTCTCACTAGGGTATACTCTGACAGTTTTAACACAAGAATATCTTTGAGACAAATCTCAACATTGTTTTTTTTTTTTTTTTTTTTTTTGAGACAGAGTCTCCCTCTGTCACCCAGGCTGGAGTGCAGTGGTGTGATCTCTGCTCACTGCAACCTCTGCCTCCTGGGCTCAAGCGATTCTCCTGCCTCAGCCTCCTGAATAGCTGGGATTACGGGCACCTGCCACCAAGCCTGGCTCATTTTTGTATTTTTAGTAGAGACAGGGTTTCACCATGTTAGCCAGGCTGGTCTCAAACTCCTGACTTCAAATGATTCACCCACCTTGGCCTCCCAAAGTGCTGGGATTACAGGCATGAGCCACTGTGCCTGGCCAAATCTCAACTTTTCTGAATATTATTTTCTGTGCAACTCTAATCAATTGACTTTGAAAACTTAAAAAGATATTTCAGGAGAAATGAACAACTTTGTATTTTGGACATTATTTCTAAGGAAGTTTTGATTCAGTACATCTTACATCTGATTCTTTGACTTTTGTTTTAGGTCAGGTCAGATATAGCATATTTAGAAAAGATTGTTATATAACTTTACCTACTAAATTAACCACGTGAAAATTCCCTTTCTAAGAACAAGATAATGAGACCCTAAATCAAGTTCTGTGCAGAATTTAGGTACAGAAAATTAAATCATTTTTAGCACCCAGAGTTTTCTTTCAACACACTGGCACTTTCAACTGACTTCGCCAATTAAAAAAAATTAAATCAGTGTTTAAAAAATTGCTATTTGACACATCTGTGGTCTATTAAATAATGATTAATGTACAAAAAAACACAAACAAAATTTGTGGTTAAGTCATGACGGCACTAGTTATTTTAATCAGCATAAGTTTTCATACTTGTGAGAGCATAATGAGAATATTCTCATTAGCCTGGTATGTTATTACACTATTCTCAGAGGTACCTAGGGGTGGGTGGCCAGCAGATGATGTAACCTCTCAGGGAAAAGCAGTGCTCCTGGATATATATGGCAACCTCATTTTAGAACGTGTTCTTTTTCTAAGAAGTTTAAAGAGAGGATAACAGCAATTTCTTTCTCTGGATCATAGCATGCCACGTTAATACTCTTAAAGCATAAACGTATTTGAAGAATTAACTAAGCCACAGATCTTTTATGGATTAAAGCTTTATTGGCAATATTTTCTCTATAATTTAAATTTGTTTTTGATGGTACTTATGATAAGTTTAGCAATTAAAGAATCTTAATTGGTGTTTGGCTTAAATTTTTTTTTTGCAAAAGGGTTTCACTCTGTCACCCAAGCTGGAGTGCAATGGCTTGATCTTGGCTCACTGAAGTGTCTGCCTCCCAGGCTCAAGAGATCCTCTCACCTCAGTCTCCCAAATAGCTGGGACTATAAGCATGAGCCACCGTACCTGGCCAATTCTTAAATTTTATATAGAGACGGGCTTTTGCTATGTAGCCCAGGCTGGTCTCCAACTCCTGGGCTCAAGCAATCTTCCTACCTAGGCCTTCCAAAGTGCTGGGATTATAGTTGTGAGCCACCACCTCTGACCTGCTTGAATTTTTAAAAACACCAAAAGTCACTTATGGTCTAATAATAATAATAATTATTTTTTTTTTCAGATGGAGTCTCACTCTGTCACCCAGGATGGAGTGCAATGATGCGATCTCGGCTCACTGCAACCTCTGCCTCCCAGGTTCGTGCGATTCTCCTGCCTCAGCCTGCCAAATAGATGGGACTACAGGTGGGCGCCACCACGCCCAGCTAATTTTTGTATTTTTAGTGGAGACGGGGTTTCACCATGTTGGCCAGGGTGGTCTCGATCTCCTGACCTCGTGATCTGCCCGCTTCAGCCTCCCAAAGTGCTGGAATTACAGGCATGAGCCATCGTGCCCGGCCTGGTCTAATAATTCTATCCATTTCAGACTGAATTTACACCATCAAATCTGCCCATATATATTTGTGTGTGTTCTTAGCCATGATTCAATAAGCACCTACCAAGTTTTCATGCACTATACTTCCTGTTGGTGGTCCAAATATAAATAAAAGCTGGGCCTGCTCTCAGGGACCCTTACAGTCTAGATGAGGGAGAGACCTTCGTCGACTCTGTGGTAATAGCCTTTGTTAAATTCTATAGGAGGATAAGGTACTATGGGAACACGTAGGTAAAGTGGAGAGAGATGGTATCAAGGATTTACGAAGGGAGTAAAACTGCCGTGAGACTACAATGGCTGAACAAAAGTATCAAAAAGAGCCACTTCCGGCTCTTTTTGTTTTAGTTTTATTTTTTAAAATTTTGAAATATCAATTTGAAAACTGCTTCTAGATTCAGAAGAAGACCAATCCCACAAGTTGAGACTTGTGATTAAATAAATGTAAGGAATGCTGCATTCTCCACTTCCTTCTTAGAGATTCACTTGGCACATTAACAGATTAAAGGCCCGGAAAAACTGCATTAAATAAACCTGTTAATATTAACATGCTGTTTTTTTTAATGTACACGACTATGGAATATCCCTATTACAATCTCTCTTCTGCAGCATAATTTAGGAAAAGAATCAGTTTTCTTAAAGACAAGACAGTTACGAGGCATAGGGATAAGATAGAGAGAAATTTGAGGCTGGGGCCCATATAGAGAGATATAGATAAGATAGGATTTCATTAATAACAAATGTCTATTTTGAAATTAATATTTATTTTAAAATTATGGAATTTTTTGATGCCCTTGTGAAACGGGACAGGTTCCCTTGCCCTCTGGCACGGTGTGCGAAGGGGGTGTCGCTTGCTTCTTCAGTGCGCCACTGCTCAAACCTCCAGAGGAGCACACAGACGGGCAGGCTGCGGGGCTCTGACCCCACGGCAGTGTCTGGGGGTGAATGTTTACAGCTGAAGCCCCAGTGGGTGTGTGTTACAGTGTGCTCTTTTAGTTTTGCTCTTTTAGTTCGGCCATCTATAGGTGGCTTATGTTAGTCAGCTCAATTAGACCCCACCTTATCCCAAGGACAGAGGGCTTTCTGTATCCTGAGGTTCTTGCCTTGGTGTACCATAAGAATTGGATTCCACGTGGGCTTGGAGAATGAGTGCAAGGTTTAATTGAGTGGAAGTAGCTCTCAGCAGATGGGGGAGCCTGAAGAGAAATGGTTTTCCCCTGGAGTCGGGCCGCTTGGTGGCCAGGGGTCTCCTTCAGCGGCCCCAGCCAAACTCCACATCATTCTGCTGGTCAGTGGCCTGCATGCCGGTGCCTGTCGGTGATTTCCTCTCAAAGTCCAGCCACCTGTGTGTTCCTCCTCCTGTGCGTGCTCCTCCACCAATGTGTTCCTCTCAACATCCAGCCCCTTCTGTGTCTGCCTTGCTAGGGTCTCCGGTTTTTATAGGCACAGGATGGGGAGTGTGGCAGGCCAGGGTGGTCTTTGGAAATGCAACATTTGGGCTGGAAATCCCTGTCCGCACCTAGGTCTGTGGAGGTGGAGCCCTAGCTAGGGACCACACCCTCCTCTACCCTGCACTTCCCCTGTCCCTATCATTTAAAGGGACCTTCCGTTCTTTTCCCTTCCCTTCCCAGCATCTCCCTTCCATATCACTTGCTGTAAACATTTATGCAGAAAATTAAATTTTCATTTAATTTGAACTAGCAGAATACAGTTAATAACAATGTATTCTTGAAAGCTGCTAAGAGAATAGATTTAAAGTGTTCTCACTATAAAAAGATAAGTATGTGAAATAATGTTTATGTTAACAAGCTCAAATTAGCCATCCCACAATGTATATGTATTTAAAGACAACGTGCTGTACATCATAAATATATACAATTTTAATTTGTCAATTTAAAAAATTGCTTGCAAAAAAAGTTGAACCAGGAAATTCAACTTTTGTGAAAGTTTTTTGTGGTGGCTCACACCTGTAATCCCAGTACTTTGGGAGGCTAAGGTGGGAGGATTGCTTGATCCCAGAAGTTCAAAGCCAGCCTGGGCAACATGCTGAGACCCTGTCTCTAAGAATTTATTTTTGTAAATAAAGACTGTCATAAGAGATTCTTTAAATGGTATGTGCTGATTCTCTTCACTATGTGCAGTTTGAAAGAACTATGCAATCTCTTTTTTAAAGATCCTGGCAAAATACAGCCATGTTAGTTATATTTACTGCTGTCAGTTTTTTAGACAGTTATAGCTGTGAATAACATCAGTGGACAAAATCCATAAGATTTTGTCTTATGGATTAAGCTGTCTGTGGCTGGAAATTCTACAGTTTTTGAAAGCTAGAATTACTTGGGAGTGGCCATTCAAATTTGTCACGAAGGAGATAATAACCTCACTCTTTCCCCTTAAAATCTGACCCACACAAAATGCCAAAACGCTTATAATATGTTCAAATGAAGTCTGATTTTGTAACAGTTTCTAAAATTGGAAAAGGGATGGCATGTTGCAAAATTTACATAAACCATCTCATTCTCGCTGAGATGAAACATTTGTAGTAAACACTAAGAACTCTGTCATTCTCATGCTTTCATTTTACAAGGATTTGACACAGATTTTGGAGTAACATATTGTAGATACTCAGAGAGATCTCCTTTCCTTTAGCTTAGAGAAATATTTTTTCATGTTCCTCAAAACTTTGAATTTGCAGGTGACTGCAACATCAAGTCCACATTCCTCTCCAAAACACAGAAAATATTTTTATATGGAACACTAACACTAAAAATAGGAAAGCTTTTTTGGCTTGTAACTACAGAAAATTGTAACATTTAAGCAGAGGAGAGGAAGTTTAATTGCTATGTTGTTAGCTAAAGTCTTACTTTGCCTCTATAAATATGTTATGTTTAACCTATAAGGATCTGTTTTTACATTTCTTTAAGTGAATGAAAAATATGGTGCTATTTTTTTCTCATTTTGCATCATTTGACATTAAACATTTCTTTTTTACGTTATTCATCATCTGTTTCAGTTCTTAGCTTTCTCAAGAAGGAGTCTCTCTGTTTTTGTTTTTTTTTGTTTGTTTGTTTTGTTTTTTTTGAGATGGGGTTTTACTCTTTCTCCCGGGCTGGAGTACAGTGGCTTGATCAAGGTTCACTTCAGCCTTGACCTCCTGGGCTCAAGTGATCCTCCCACTTCAGCCTCCGAAGTAGCTTGGACCACAGGTATGCACCATCATACCCGGCTAATTTTTCTGTTTTTTGTAGAGACAAGGTTTCACCATGTTGCCCAGGCTGGGAGTTTCTCTATTCTTTACATGTCCTTTAGTTATTGATGTATAGTTAATTTCTTACCAAGTTTTCTTTTTATATACTTTTTCCATTTCTTATATTGTGATTATACAAGGTTGTGATGAGAAATTTGTTTTATCATAGCTTTGGGCATATTTATCCCCCTTCTTCATTTCCTAACCAATTAGAATGGATTCCTCTTTCTCTGTAGAATAACTACTTGCAGATTGTTAATAAAGATTTCTAATAGTCTCAGGAATATTGCATGCCCATAAATTCTGTCTTTAATGAATACCACTTTTCACACTCCATAAGAATTCTTGGAGGTAATAGTCAGACTAAAAACATCTCTACATGTAATTTTTTAAATCCTTCAACAAGAAGTAGCCAGGTGAAGAACACATTCTTTATAGGGGGCCTTCCCTTTATGCAGGGAGCACAGATCTAAAATGGGTTAGTATTGGAGAAATACACATTTGTCCCTTGAGGCCATTTGAAAAATAGCTGTAGATGGATGTAAAATTTGGATATGAGGAAATAAAAAGTTAGCTAAAATAGTTGATTTTGGAAGTCAGAACAACATACATATTTGGGTCAATAAAATGCTGCACTGAGCAAAGCTCTACCTCCTAACTATCTAATATCTATGTGGGAGGGAAAATTTGGACTCTGCAGAAAACAAGCCCAACAAGAATTAAAGAGCCAAATATTTAAATACTGTGTGATTCATTTTCTCTGAGTAACCCCACTAGGCTGTGAACGTGTCTTAATGCACACATACCAACTGAAGTCTTCGTGGGTCAGCTTGCCTTAGACAAAGCTGACTCAGGGAAGCATAAGCAGCAGCGTTGAGATAGATTCTAACTCATTTGTTTCTTCATACACTAGGGACTATTATAACATGTTAGTAAAAAAATTAACAGCCATAATAAAACAAAGAAATAAATGGTCAGTATGCCAACAATTTAAGCAGCTCCTCATTTGTCGATATTGCAAACAACATCAAAGTGCTGTTTCATAAAAACGTTTTTCAGAAATTTTACTGATACTGTTTTGATGTAAAACAATCTTTCATGCTTACTAAAACTTAATTTAAGCCATTTTAGAAGCCAGCATTTTAATGAAAAACAGTCTTTTGAATAATTTCATGTCAAATCAATGATTCCATAATTTTTAATGCAGACTTCTTTTTATGTTAGATTGCTTAGGAACCAAATAAGATATGTTTTGGGGAACTTCATATATAGAAGAATAGTGGCATTTGGGTCAAGTGTGATGGCTCACACCTCTAATCCCAACACTTTGGGAGGCCAAGGCAGGTAGATCGCTTTAGCCCAGGAGTTTGAGACCAGCCTAGGCAACATGACAAAACACCATCTCTACAAAAAATAAAATAAATAAAAATTAGCCAGTGGCATGTGCCTGTACTCCCAGCTACTTTGGAAGCTAAGGTGGAAGGATGACTTGAGCTTGGGAGGTCTAGGCTGCAGTGAGCCATGATCATACCAATGCACTCCAGCCTGGGTGACAGAGTGAGACTGTCTCAAGGAAAATAAAAAAAGAATAGTGACATTCCACATGTCTGATAAACTCTAACTCTGTTTATTTTCATAAAGAATTAAAAATACTTTTGGCCAGGCACTGAGGCTCATGCCTGTAACTTCAACTTTTTGGAGGCTAACGCAGGAGATTTGTTCGAGCCCAGGAGTTCAAGACAAGCCTAGGCAACATAGCAAGACCCTGTCTCTACAAAAACTTAAAAAATTAGCCAGGCAGGGTGGTGTGTACCTGTAGTCCTAGCTACTTGGGAGGTGGCGGTGGGAGGATCACTTGAGCCTGGGAGGCTGAGGCTGCAGTGAGTCATGGTCACACCACTGCACTTCAGCCTGGGTGACAGACAGAGCAAGACCCTGTCTCAAAAAAAAAAAAAAATTCTATATTTTTGGCATGCTAAATGATATGGTTTGGTTTGTCTCTGTGTTCCTACCCAAATCTCATCTCGAATTGTAATCCCCATAATCCCTAAGTCTTGAGAGAGAAACCAAGTGGGAGGTGATTGGATCATGGGTGTGGATTCCCTCATGCTGTTCTCATGCTAGTGAGTTCTCACGAGATCTGATGGTTTTATAAGACAGTTTTCCCTGCTCTTGCTCATTCTTCTCTTTCCTGCCGCCTTGTGAAGAAGGTACTTGCTTCTCCTTCCGCCATGATTGTAAGTTTCCTGAGGCCTCCCAACCATGTGGAAATGTGAGTCAATTAAACCTTTTTCCTTTATAAGTTACTCAGTTTCAGGTAGTATTTTTACAGCAGTGTAAGGACAGACTAATAACGCTAATCAAAAAATAATCAAGGGAAATCCAAATCAAAGATTTGTTTTAATCCCTATTACCTCAGTGATTATAGACATAGTTCAATTATTTTTGCATTTTCTTCTCTATTCACCTACTCTGATCGTGTTTTTAAAAATACATGTGTAAAAATATATTAAAAAATACATCTACTTTATTAGCACATATAAGCCATTACTAATTATATTTTCTCCTTTTATTCATTAGAGTATTGATGTCCTTTTAGTCATGCTTAAAACTCATTTGCTAATAAATTCTTCAAAAACAGCCCATGGGAATAGCATTCTCTTACTTCTTGCATGCTGTTAACAGCCTGTAGGCATCTTTCACACATAGAAGTCAGTTTTGTAGAGTTTAACATTTTTGACTCACATTTGCTTTCTCTGAATATATTTTGTTTTAAAATTATTTTATTTTTTATTTTTATATTTTTTTTGAGATGGAGTCTGGCTCTGTCACCCAGGCTGGAGTGCAATGGCGCGATCTTGGTGCACTGCATCCTCTGCCTCCCGGGTTCAAGCGATTCTCTTGCCTCAGCCTCCTGAGTAGCTGGGACTACAGGTGCATGCCACCACGCCCAGCTAATTTTTGTATTTTTAGTAGAGATGGGGTTTCACCATTTTGTCCAGGATGGTTTTGATCTCTTGACCTTGTGATCTGCCTGCCTCAGCCTCCCAAAGTGCTGGGATTACAGGCATGAGGCACTGCACTTGGCCTATTTTTATTTTTATTGTTAAGAGATGGGGCTGCTATGCTTCCCAGGCTGGTCTCAAACTCCAGGCCTCAAGTGATCTTCTTTCCTTGGCTTCCCAAAGTGCTGGAATTACAGATGTGAGCCACCACACCTGGCCCTGTGAATATCTTAAATACTTATTCTACTTTCTTCCAGCATTAAAATCTGCTGAGAAGTCTGTTGAGTCTAATTTTTGTTCCTTTATAAGTTACTTGTTACTTTTGCCCAGATACCCAAAGGTTTTTCAAGTCCAGTAATTTTACTAGAATATGTCTTAGTATTGATTATTCTAATCTAGATAGATATTCTTGGATATAAGATATGCTCTTTAAATTCAATTTTTTGAAAGTTTTTTTTATAATTTTCTTTTTTTTCCTTCTCTCACTTTGGTTTTCTTTTCTAGAGACTCCTGTTGACTGATATATCAGATTTTTTTCCTCAATCTTCAATGTTTGTCCCCTTCTCTTAAGTCTATTTTCCTTCATTTATTTTTAATATTTCACTCATTTTTAAACTTCTATTTCTTTTAAGGTATTTTTTGTTGTATTCACTTGTTTTTGTGCTGTTTTAGTTTAGCCTTCATTTCCAAAAATATTTTTAAGGGTTTACAACCAGCAACAATTATTTCTGAAAATATTTTTAAATTTCTAATTTTAAAAAAATTCTGTCAAGTTATTTCTGATTTTTCTAATTTAAGTAAGAATTTTGTTATTTCAAGTCATTATTTTCTTAATGTCTTTAGATTGTTTTTAAATAAGAAGTTATAGTTTTGATATATTTTGTGGGCATTTTTTTTGGGTGCTTTCATTTTCTGTAGACATATTATTCTGCTTCTTCTTCTTTTGGTTAGTTTTTTAGGGAATTTCACCTTGATTGCTGTAGTGGGTTGACTAGTGTCTCCCCAAAATTCATGTCTGTCCAGAACCTTGGAAATAAGATTCTAAATAAGTTTCTAAATTTGGAGATTTAACTAGGTTGTGATTAGTAAAATACCTCAATATGAAATTATCCTGGGTTTAGGGTAGGTTCTAAATCCAGTGATTGGTATCCTTATAAGAAGAGGAGAAGACAAAGAGAAAAACACAAAAAGCAGAAAGCAATGCAAAGATGGAGGCAGAGATTGGAGTGATGTGTCTACTACCACAAGAAACAATAAGGATTGCCCACAACCACCTAAAGCTAGGAGAAAGGCATTAGATGGATTCTGTCTCACAGCCTGTAAGAAGGAACCAGCCCTGCTGACATTTTGATTTTGGATTTCTGGTCTTCCGAACTGTCAGCCATCAATTTGTGGTACTATCTCACAGAAGCCCTAGGAAGTTAACACAGTCCTTTCCTGTTGTCCCTTTTTATGTGAAATTCATTTTCCTGGAATTTCAGGAGACTTGGTTCAGATGGCTTTTCTTTTTCTTTTAGAGACAGAATCTCACTGTGTCACCCAAGCTGGAGTGCAGTGGTGCAATCATGGCCATCCTCCTGCCTTGACTTTCCAATGTGTTGAGATTACAGGCGTGAGCCACTGCCCCCGGCTCTGAGGTGACTTTTCTAACTTCACAGAGCTCTTGCTCCTGTTGCGTGTATGTGTTCAATAGTATGGCAACTTGATTTCTGAGATTTCCCACCTCTGTGGCCCTACTTTTATTTCGATCTTCCCTTTCCTTCATATTCTGTTTAGTTTTGATTTTTGGGTCCCTGTCCTAGAATGAGGCCCTGGCTGCCCAGTGTTGAGAGTTCATGGAGGTAGCCTGCTTTGGCCTCTTCAGGACTCTATATGGACCTCTTGCACCCACTTGCTACCAGATTGGGCAAAATTTCAAGTTTTAGCTGCTGGTCACACATGGGCACGTCACATTTTCAAATGAATACCTATTGACTATTTTGGTTATTTTCTTTCTCCCTCACAGAGGCTGTTGTTTTTTTGTCCATACCCTCTTATTCTAGAGTTTGTGGGAAACCTTGTCATAATGTTTTGTATTAAATGTTGTCTGTGGGTTTTTGGTTTTGCTATATAATTGCCCTGTCTGTTTTTGAAAGAGGAGATTCAGGAACATTAAAAAATAAAAAAATTATATAGTCAATCACTGCCATCAATGTCCAAGGATTCCTTATGTCTAAATTTAACTGTAAACAGTTCCAGTTTGCACTATGGTGCTTTCCATTTAGCTAACATACATCTCCATGTATCATTTAATCATTGAATAATATCACTCCCTACCCTGGATACTTTCCTGAATTGAAGCAAGTGTGTTTTAGTATTTTTTGAAAAAAGTGTGGTGCTGCATGTATGTAGTCCCAGCTACTTGGGAGGCTGAGGCAGGAGGATTGTTTGAGGCCAGGAATTCAAGGCTGCAGTGTACTACTATTGCACTTGTGAATAGCCACTGGACTTCAGCCTGGGCAGTATAGTGAGACCTTGTCTCTAAAAAACCAAACAAGCAAAAAAACACAAAAATGAACTAAAACAAACAATAAAAGAGTAGTTGGTAACTTGAAATATTTAAAATATACTTAAAAGTTGGGTTTGGGATTTTAAATGGCTCATATAATCCCTGACTATTGTTGTACTTGATAGGAACATCTGCTATTTCTTTCTTCCCTCCCTTATTATTTTTAAATACAATTTTTGCTTTTTACCTGAATAGACATTTCTATAAAGAAAACATAAAAATGGACAAAAGATATGTGAAAAGGTGCTAAATATCATTAATTATCTGAGAACAACAAATCAAAACCACTCTGAGATACCATCTCATATCTGTTAGTATGGCTATTATCAAAATTCAGAAGATAAATGTTGATGAGGCTGTGGAGAAAAGGAAGCCCTTGGACAATGCTGATGGAAATGTAGACTGGTATAGCCATTATGGAAAGCAGTTTGGAGGTTTCTAAAGAAATTAAAAATGAAACTACTATATGACCCAGCAATCCTTCTGGGCATGTACCTAATGGAAAAGAAATCACCACCTTGTGAAGATACCTGCACTCCTACATTCATTGCAGCATTATTCACAATAGCCAAGATACAGAAACAACTCAAGTGTCTGTTGATGAATGAATAGATAAAGAAACTATGGTATATTTATGCAATATTATTCATCTTTAAAAAAGGAGACTCTTGCTGGGCATAGTGGCTCATGCCTGTAATTCCAGCACATTGGGAGGCCAAGGTGGGCAGATGACTTGAGCTCAGGAGCTGGAGACCAGGTTGGGCAATATGGCGAAAACTTGTCTCTACAAAAAATGCAAAAAAAAAAAAAAATTAGCTGGGCATGGGGTTGCGTGCCTATATAGTCCCAGCTCCTCGAGAGGCTGAAGTGGGAGGATCGCTTGAGCCTAGGGGGCTGAGGTTGCAGTGAGCCAAAGTCACGCCACTACATTCCAGCCTGGGTTACAGAGTGAGACTCTGTCTCAAAAAAATAGAATGGAATAGAATGGAATAGAATAAAATAAAATAAAATAAAATAAAATAAAATAAAATAAAATAAAATAAAATAAAATAAAATAGCAAAATAAAATAAATAAGGAGACCCTGCTATTTGCACAACATGGATCAACCTGGAGGACATCAAGCTAAGTGAAATAAGCCAGACACAAAAAAATATTGCATGATCTCATTTATATGTGCAATCTGAAAAAAAAGTCATTTATACAGAGATAAAAAATTAAACAATGGTTACAAGGTTGGTGCAGGAGGCAGAGGAGGGGAGGAAATGGGGAGATGTAGGTCAGAGGATACAAACTACTAGCAGGTATGTAGAATGAGCAAGACTAGAGGTCTCATGTACAACATGGAGACTATAGCTAATAAAATTGTACTGTATTTGGGATTCTTTTTTTTTTTTTTTTTTTTTTGAGATGGAGTCTTGTTCTTGTCACCCAGGCTGGAGTGCAGTGGTGTGATCTCAGCTCACTGCAATCTCTGCCTCCCAGGTTCAAGCAATTCTCCTGCCTCAGCCTCCTGAGTAGCTGGGATTATAGGCACCTGCCACCACTCCCGGCTAATTTTTGTAGTTTTAGTAGAGACGAGGTTTCACCATGTTGGCCACGATGGTCTCAAACTCCTGACCTCAGGTGATCCACCCATCTCAGCCTCCCAAAGTGTTGGGATTCTTGTTAAATGAGTAGATTTTAGATGCTCTTGCCACAAAAACAAGAACAAAGGTAAGTATGTAAAATGATAGATATGTTAATTTGCTCTACTATAGTAGCCATTTTACTATCTCTATGCATCCTATAACATTATGTTGTATACTTTAAATATACACAATAACATTTATTTTTTAAAAAGCATTGTTTCCTTTGTTCATAAATGGCAGATAAAAATATATTTTTCCTTTTATACATGCAGATTGTTTGAAAATTTATAGTTAAACATAAAGCTGTTTAAACACTAGTCTACTTCTGTCCCTAATCTCCATTTTCTTGATTCCAGAAAAAATAATTTTCATTTCTTATAATAGCCGATTCTTTGTCTATTGACCTCATATCACTAAATTACATTTTTATATTGCTCCTTCCTATTTTGTTTTTAGGCATTATTTCCTGACTTTCAGACAAGACTTTAGCTGTTTTTTTAATCACCTGGTGGCCTTCCTCATCCCAAGCCTCATACTTGCACTCTTCCTGTTTCCTCACCTCCCTATTTAGTTATATGATACTTTTGCTTCAATAAAAATATCTTGTTAGATCACTATCTGCATTGTTAGGACAATTTAAATGTTACTCACAACTTCCTCCACTGAGTTAATAATAGTCTTGTCATTTGTTTACTTGGTTTTCCATGTCCTTATCAATTTACACTGATTCTTTTATTTTATTTTTATTTTTATTTATTTATTTAGATAGGTGATAGATAGAAAGATTAGATAGATAGATAGATAGATAGATAGATAGATAGATAGAAAGAAAGAAAGAAAGAAAGAAAGAAAGAAACAGGGTCTCACTATGTTGCCCAGGCTGGTTTTGAACTCCTGGGTTTAAGCAATCCTCCTGCTCCAACCTCTCAAAATGCTCGGATTACAGATGTGAGCCACTGCACTTGGCCAAATTTAAACCAAGAGTCTATCGGTTGTCAAATGTGTTTAGATTCATGAGATCATACATTGCCCTCATCTTGGAGGCCTCTAGCCTGAAGCCCTTTTGGCTCCTCTGATTGTCATTGGCTGCCCTATGTATCTGGTACACAGCTATAGATCTGGGATATCCCATCACCATTCATTTGGAAATTCCCTTCTCACTTCTGAATCAGATCTTTTATTTCTTGCATCCAGCCTTTCTTATTTATTTATTTATTTATTTATTTATATTTTTTTGAGACTGGGTCTCACTCTATTGCCCAGACTGGAGTGAAATACTCTATTTCCTGATTTGTCTCTCTTCCAAGTTGTTTCTCTTGCTTTCTCTCTTCTCTCTGCATTTCTCAGATGTCTTGCAAGCCCTGGTGGACTGCTTTTGATTGAGAATGGAGATTAAAAAGCTATATGGTGGCTCTGAGTTCAAAGGTGGGTCTTAACTTTGAGATTCACAGACAGGATTACTTAATTGAGTAATTTTTCAGAGTCTTTAAGTCTTTTTCTCTTCTAAAATCTGTTGGAACATACAGTGGTGATAGTGGTGGTGATATGTCAACATTCATCACTTAGCAGGTTTATGAATACTTACCCTTCCTTTTTTCTTTTCTTTTTTTTTGGAGATGGAGTCTTGCTCTGTCACCCAGGCTGGAGTGCAGTGGCATGATCTCGGCTCACTGCAAGCTCCGCCTCCCGGGTTCAAGCAATTCTTGTGCCTCAGCCTCCCGGGTAGCTGGGACTACAGACCCACGCCCCTGCGCCTGGATATTTTTTTGTATTTTAGTAGAGACGGGGTTTCACCATGTTGCCCAGGCTGGTCTCAAATTCCTGACCTCAGGCAATTCGCCAGCCTTGGCCTCCCAAAGTGCTAGGATTACAGGCGTGAGCCACTGTGCCCCGCCTTATCCTCCCATTTTTGTTTGAACAGTACCCTTGTCCTCAGCTGGGCTTTCTGTACTACAGTTAAGGTAGCTTCTGTTTTAGCCTTTCTTGAGAATAAACCTTCAATCTCCTGTTAGAGAGTGAGAGGACTAGCCCCCAAGGAACAGGGGATAGAGAAAAAGATCTAGAAATCTAGCTTTTCAAACTCCTTTCACATATTTTGCCTTGTAGTTCTGTCCCCTCTATTCCCCCTTTCCAGAGATAAAGTCTAATTCCTGAGCTAAATGGAAATTCTCATTTTTTTCTCCTCCATTGTGAGGTTATGCCTTAAAAAAAATCCTTTCATCATAGTTTTTGTTTGTTTGTTTTTTTGCTTGTTTTTGAGACAGGGTCTTGCCCTGTCACCCAGACTAGAATAGAGTGGAGTGATCTCGGCTCACTGCAACCTCCAACTCCTGGGTTCAAGCAATTCTCCTGCCTCAGCCTCCTAAGTAGATGGGACTACGGGCATGTGCCACCACACCCAGCTAATTTTTGTAGTTTTAGTAGAGATGGGGTTTCACCATATTGTCCAAGCTGGTCTTGAACTCCTGGCCTCAAGTGATTCACCCTCCTCGGCCTCCCAAAGTGCTGACATTACAGGCATGAGCCACTGTGCCCAGCCCTTTCATGATAGTTTTAATGGAGATTCAGGAGTGAGAAAAATTAGACATAGCTCCACTAAACTCCCACCCAAATGGTGGCTCTGAAGTTTTAAGATGTATTTTGAATCCATTAATTCATAATACTTTGTATTGGCATTGTAAGATTTCACTTTCTTGAAGTAAAGTGATTTCTGTCTCTTCTATGAAAATCTTCCTAAAGAAAATTCTGGGTCTTGTTAGAAATTTGTATTTTTCTGCTCTCAGCAAGTTATACTGCATATTGCACTTAATACTAAAAAAGGATAAAATACAAACTTTTATTATATAAATGTTGAGTTTTTTCTCTTTACTCTTGGTGATTTGCACATTCATTCACCTTTCTTTCCATCTACATTAGTGGTTCTACCCAAGGGTGATTGTATCCTCTCGGGTACATTTGGTGATATCTGGGGACATTTCTGGTACATTTTTTTGTTGTCGTAACAGAGAGCTGCTACTGGCATCTGTCGGATAGGGACCAGGCATCCTGTAAAATCTGCCAAATTTCACAAGATAGCACTCTCTGGCTAAAAATTGTCTGACCCAAAATGTGAATAGCGCTGAGGTTAAGAAACTGCTTTCAACTGCATTCTCAACAAAGGTGATAATCTCCCCAAGGAGGCAAAAAGTGTTTCTTCAGGTTGGATGGTAGTGGGGGGCATTATTAACTACGATGGTTTGTGACCCTTCAAGGGGTCACAGTGTAAAAACAGATACATAATGTAACTGGTATCAAAATTTCATGGCAGAGACAACTACGGGGAAAAAAACCACTAAAATTTTTTTTAGGGGAGAAATAGTGAAATAAGGCCAAGAAACACTGCTTCAAACTGAAGAAGGTTTTGTTATTATTACCAGACAGGTTTGGCAGAACTGTGTTTGAGGTCCAGAATCAAGAGGAAGCTGGGAAGAAGAGGAGAACAATGAAATAAAGATTTAAGACTAGTGGAAGAGATTTTCTATATTATTTTGGAAAAGAGAGATACTGAAGAAAATGCACGGAGGTAAATGGGGCAAAAAAAGAATATAACGTGTATTATTCTAAAGAAAATTATGTGCCCTTTTCATGGTATTTGGGAAATTAAAATAAATACCTTGAATTATTTCCTTCCTTCCTTCCTTCCTTCCTTCCTTCCTTCCTTCCTTCCTTCCTTCCTTCCCTTCCTTCCTTCCTTCCCTTCCTTTCCTTTCTTCCTTCCCTTTCTTCCTTTCTTTCCTTCTTTCCTTCCTTCTTTGTCTCACTCTATTGCCCAGGCTGGAGTGCAATGGCATCATCATCACAGCTCCCTGCAGCCTCAAACTCCTGGGCTCAGGTGATCCACCTGCATCCACCTCCCACATAGGTGGAATCACAGGCATTCACCACCATGCCTGGCTGATTTGTTTTGTATTTTTCTGAATGCATGGGTTTTCGCCATGTTGCCCAGGCTGGTCTTGAACTCCTGGGTTAAAGCAATCCTCAACGCCTCGGCCTCTCAAAGTACTGAGATCCTTGAATTATTTTATAAGTTGCTTTAGATGCCAATCAATGCTTTTTGACAATCGCCTGGTTCTCCTACGGAACTGCATGTGTTTTGGAGCCAGTAGTGTTAAATAATAATAGCTGCTCATTATTAAAGATCAATTTAAAAATAATTCTGCCAAATAGAAGTATGACTCCTAATTTTTCAATAGAAATATTCTGTCTGAAGTCACAGAGCTTTCACAGACTCCACCTCAGTCTTCCCTAAGTTCCAACTGGACTTGGAATAAATCTGGCTTGACCAGTTACTAGCTGTGTGGCCTTGGAGATGCCATTTGCTATCACTGAGCTTAAATTTATTCATTTGAGGAGAAAGGAGATAAGAATCCTTTTTTCCAGAGCTGCTGATGAAAGTATTACAGATGATGTATGCAAAATGCCTTAACCCCAAAAATGAGAGCTATAATAATGTTATTTAAAAATTACATCTAAAGGAAAAGGTTTTTTACATAAAGCATTTTACTGTTATGTCACCCTGCATATTTATTCAATTGAACTATACAATCTCTTTATGACTTGATGCAGAGAAGCCTAATATAATAATAGATATCATCAAAATAAAAAAACCTCATTATTTAAAAATAATACGCCTAGCAGTAATTCAACCATTTTCTTTCATCAGATAAAGCATATTTGTTCCCAAGTTCTTAAAACTCTTGAAAAATCTTCAAGAGCTCTAAAATAATGATAGTATTACATATAAAACCTCCATTGAGTAGCTACTCAGGAAAATTGCTTCCCTTTTTGAACTTCACCAGTATTTATTAAATTAACATTTGTTATTAATTATACATTATTCTTATTTTTATTTTTTCAATCATTCAACCCAAAATGTCATAATCACACATTTTAAATACACTTTTGGAAATTCTACTTTTGCAATTTTCTATTGCAAAATAGAGTCTATGTCTTTTATTTCTATGCACCCCTTCTTTATAGCACCCAAGCTTCAGCACCATGGTAGATGTATAGGTGTGTTTATATTTGATACATTAGTTAATTAATATAGGTCTCTTATCTGGGGATATAATCTCTTCCCTTGTGGGAGTAAAATTCTTTTTTTATTATACTTTAAGTTCTAGGGTACATGTGCACAATGTGCAGGTTTGATACATAGGTATACATATGCCATGTTGGTTTGCTGCACCCATCAACTCATCATTTACATTAGGTGTTTCTCCTAATGCTATCCCTCCCCCAGCCCTCCACCCACCGACAGGCCACAGTGTGGGATGTTCCCCACCCTGTGTCCAAGTGATCTCATTGTTCAGTTCCCATCTGTAAGTGAGAACATGTGGTGTTTGGTTTTCTGTCCTTGTGATAGTTTGCTCAGAATGATGGTTTCCAGCTTCATCCATGTCCCTGCAAAGGACATGAACTCATTCTTTTTTAAGGCTGCATAGTATTCTATAGTGTATATGTGCAACATTTTCTTAATCCAGTCTATCATTGATGGACATTTGGGTTGGTTCCAAGTCTTTGCTATTGTGAATAGAGTCACAAGAAACATACATGTGCATGTGTCTTTATAGTAGCATGGTTTATAATCCTTTGGGTATATAACCAGTAATGGGATTGCTGGGTCAAATGGTAATTCTAGTTCTAGATCCTTGAGGAATCATCACACTCTCTTCCACAATGGTTGAACTAATTTACACTCAGTGAGAGTAAAATTCTTTTACAAGAATATCAGAAATCAAGATTTGTTTAGAAGCAGAATATTGAAAACATGATTGAATTGCTACAGTACAACTTAATGCAAGATAGTAAGCTCACCAGGGCCTAATTCACCAATGCACCACAGCCAACTGGTCAACTTGGTCAACTCGCATTGTACAATATGCTTGTGCTAATTACTTTAGAATTCAATATGACCTCTGGTGGCTGGGTGTGGGGGCTCATGTCTGTAATCCCAGCACTTTGGGAGGCTGAGGTGGGCCAATCACTTGAGGCCAGGAGTTTGAGACCAGTCTGGCCAACATGGCGAAAACTGTCTCAACTAAAAATACAAAATTTAGCTGGGCATGGTGGCTCATGCCTGTATTTTTAGCTACCTGGAAGCTGAGGCACAAGAGTCGCTTAAACCTGGGAGGCATAGGTTGCAGTGAGCCAAGATCATGCCACTGCATTCCAGTCTGGGCCACAGAGGGAGACTCTGTCTCAAAACAAAACTAAACAAGAATTCCGCGATGGCTCATGCCTGTAATCCCAACACTTTGGGAGACCGAGGCAGGCGGATCACTTGAGGTCAGAAGTTTCAGACCAGCCTGGCCAACAGGGTGAAACCCTGTCTGTACTGAAAATACAACAATTAGCCTGGTGTGTTGGCTGGTCCCTGTAATCCCAGCTATTCGGGAGGCTGAGGCAGGAGAATCGCTTGAACCCAGGAGATGGAGGTTGCAGTCAGCCAAGATTGCTTCACTACACTCCAACCTGGGTGACAGAGTGAGACTCCATCTCAAAAAAAAAAAAAAAAAAGAAAGAAAGAAAATAAAAGAATTCAATATGACCATATGACCATTGGGAGAGTTATACACCTTAGCAAGTTGTAGGCACCTGAAAACTTGGGTACAGCAGTGAAGTAAACAATGAGGAGCAGTCTACATCAATTTGTGATTGGGATAGAGCAGTGAGTGTATTTATTGATGTGTCAGATGCATATACCGCTGATAATATGGCAGCTCCATGGCTCTGAGTATTTGACCTCTCCTCAAGTGTTACTGTATTGTTTCTAGTTCATTTCCACACAACAGAATTTGCTTTTATTTTTAATTAATTAATTAATTATTTTGGTGCCGGGTTGAAAAAGCTCAGATTGAAGGGCACCCATGTTAGTTTCAGTTCCATTATGGGGACGGAGATAGCCCAAATCCAACAATCACAGTGTATGCTGTACAATTATTTCCAAGTGCTAATCTCAAGCCCTTGAAGCTATGGTACAGCTGGACATGACCTTGACAAGTTGAGGAATAATTTGATCATAGCAAAATCTAAAGACATTTGAGTCTGTATCCCTTGAGAAGTTGCTATTACAAAACCTTCTACTACATTCCAAATACGTGTGTTAAAAGTCTAACATAGTTGCTAGATAATTAGTGAGACTGCATGCATTGGAATGGCAAAAACTATGCACAAAAGAAGCTTTATCAGATCTCTGTTAAATAATTTGTCTTGTTCTAGATGTCATGAGAGGAGTCAGGATAGCCTTATAAAAATTATAGAAGATATAAATGTTTATCTTTTAAAATGGCTATTCTGCATAATGTACCAATTAGCAATGATGACTATAAGTGAGAGTTTAGTTTTTGTGGAACAGGTAAAGGAGAAAGTAGTCATGAAGGAATTATTGATAAGTGAGTCATGGCATCACACTATCTGTATAATGTTATCAGTTTCATCCCAGAGTGTAATATAATGCCTGCCATATGTGGTTATGAACTTATTTGTATTGCTGGGACTCCCATTATGCTAGAAAATAATCAGGATTCTGTGGCTGTATCACAAAAAAAAAATTATGTTTTTGACCACTGTTGTTTCAACATCATACACTTGCCTTTATGAAACTGTCTATATAAAACAGAATGATGTTCAATCTGTTGCAGTGAACACAGTAAAAGTCATCTGAAAGCATATTTTAAACCATTGCCTCTTTCTTGCTTTTAAAGAATAGTAATTTTGAGCATATTGTCTACCTTTTCCTTGAAGATAATAAAGCATTCATTCAACAAATACTAAAATATTTGTGAAGTGCCTTCAACATGCCAGGCACTGTTCTACGCCCCAGGGATGCAATAATAAAACAGAGAAAACCTGGCCCTCATGGAAACTACATTCTGGCAGAAGAGACTAACAATAGGCAATACAAAATAAATAAAAAAGGCTGGCAGCAGTAGTGTGTGCCTGTAGTCCCAGCTACTTGTTGAATGATATGGTTTTGCTCTGTGTCCCCATCCAGATCTCATCTTGAATTAAACTCCCATAATTCCCATGCATTGTGGGAGGGTCTTCATGATAGGTAATTGAATCATGGGGGCTGGTTTCCCCTATACTGTTCTTGTGATAGTGACTAAGTCTCATGAGATCTGATGGTTTAATAAGGGGAAACCCATTTTGCTTGGCACTCATTTCTCTCTCTTGCTGCCGGCATGTGAGATGTGCCCTTCACCGTCTGCCAGGATTGTGAGGCCTCCCCAGTCACGTGGAACTGTAAGTTCAATAAACCTCATTCTTTTGTAAATTGCCCAGTCTTGGGTATGTCTTTATCAGCAGCATGAAAACAGACTAATATAGTAAATTGGTACCAGAAGTGGGGTGTTGCTGAAAAGATACTCGAAAATGTGGAAGTAACTTTACAACTGGGTAACAGACAGAGGTTGGAATAGTTTGGAGGGCTCAGAAGAAGACAGGAAAATGTGGGAAAGGCTGGAACTTCCTAGAGACTTGCTGAATGGCTTTGTCCAAAATGCTGATAGCGATATGTACAATAAAGTCCAGGCTGAGGTGGTCTCAGATGGAAATGAGAAACTTGTTGGTACTGGAGAAAATGTGACTCTTGTTATATTTTAGCAAAAAGACTGGTGGCATTTTGCCCCCACCCTGGAGATGTGTGGATCTTTGAACTTGGGAGAGATGATTTAGGCTATCTGCCAGAAAAAATTTCTAAGCATCAAAGCATTCAAAAGGTGTCTTGGGTGCTCTTAAAGGCATTCAGTTTTATAAGAGAAGCAGAGCATAAAAGTTTGGAAAATTTGAAGCCTGACAATGTTGATAGAAAAGAAAAACCCATTTTCTGAAGAGAAATTCAAGCTGGCTGCAGAAATTTGCATAAGTAACAAGGAGCCAAATGTTAATCCCCAAGACAATGGGGGACATGTCTCCAGGGCATGTCAGAGGTCTCATAGCAGCCCCTGTCATCACAGGCTTGGAGGCTTAGGAGAAAATGGTTTCATGGGCTGGGCCCAGAGTCCCTGTGGTGTGTGCAGCCTAGGGACTTGGTGCCCTGCATTCCAGCTGCTCCAGCTGTGGCTGAAAGGGGCCAACATAGAGCTTGGGCTGTGGCTTCAGAGGGAGAAAGCCCCAACCCTTGACAGCCTCCATGCGGTGTTGATCCTGCAAGTGCACAGAAGTCAGGAATTGGGGTTTGGGAACCTCTGCCTGGATTTCAGAAGTTGTATGGAAACACAGGGAAGCCCAGGCAGAAGTTTGCTGCAGGGGCAGGGTGCTCATGGAGAACCTCTACTAGGGCAGTGCAGAAGGGAAACGTGGGGTTGGAGCTTCCACATAGAGTCCCTACCGGGGCACTGCCTAGTGGAGCTGTGAGAAGAGAGCCACCATCCTCCAGACCCCAGAATGGTAGATCCACCAACAGCTTGCATTGTGGACCTGGAAATGCTACAGACACTCAATGCCAGCCCATGAAAGCAGCTGGGAGGGGGGCTGTACCCTGCAAAGCCACAGGGGTGGAGCTGTCCAACACAATGGGAACCCACCCCTTGCATCAGCATGACCTGGATATGAGACATGGAGTCAGGGAGATCATTCTGGAGCTTTAAAATTTGACTGCCCTGCTGGATTTCTGACATGGATGGGGACTGTGGCCCCTTTGTTTTGGCCAATTACTCCCATTTGGAATGACTGTATTTTATTTTATTTTTTTATACTTTAAGTTTTAGGGTACATGTGCACAATGTGCAGGTTAGTTACATATGTATACATGTGCCATGCTGGTGTGCTGCACCCATTAACTCCTCATTTAGCATTAGGTATATCTCCTAATGCTATCCCTCCCCCTCCCCCCACCCCACAACAGTCCCCAGAGTGTGATATTCCCCTTCCTGTGTCCATGTGTTCTCATTGTTCAATTCCCAACTATGAGTGAGAACATGAGGTGTTTGGTTTTTTGTCCTTGTGATAGTTTACTGAGAATGATGATTTCCATTTACATCCATGTCCCTACAAAGGACATGAACTCATCATTTTTTATGGCTGCATAGTATTCCATGGTGTATATGTGCCACATTTTCTTAATCCAGTCTATCATTGTTGGACATTTGGGTTGGTTCCAAGTCTTTGCTATTGTGAATAGTGTGGCAATAAACATACGTGTGCATGTGTCTTTATAGCAGCATGATTTATAGTCCTTTGGGTATATACCCAGTAATGGGATGGCTGGGTCAAATGGTATTTCTAGTTCTAGATCCCTGAGGAATCCCCACACTGACTTCCACAATGGTTGAACTAGTTTACAGTCCCACCAACAGTGTAAAAGTGTTCCTATTTCTCCACATCCTCTCCAGCACCTGTTGTTTCCTGACTTTTTAATGATCACCATTCTAACTGGTGTGAGATGGTATCTCATTGTGGTTTTGATTTGCATTTCTCTGATGGCCAGTGATGATGAGCATTTTTTCATGTGTTTTTTGGCTGCATAAATGTCTTCTTTTGAGAAGTGTCTGTTCATGTCCTTCACCCACTTTTTGATGGGGTTGTTTGATTTTTTCTTGTAAATTTGTTTGAATTCATTGTAGATTCTGGATATTAGCCCTTTGTCAGATGAGTAGGTTGCGAAAATTTTCTCCCATTTTGTAGGTTGCCTATTCACTCTGATTGTAGTTTCTTTTGCTGTGCAGAAGCTCTTTAGTTTAATTAGATCCCATTTGTCAATTTTGGCTTTTGTTGCCATTGCTTTTGGTGTTTTAGACAGGAAGTCCTTGCCCATGCCTATGTCCTGAATGGTAATGCCTAGGTTTTCTTCGAGGGTTTTTATGGTTTTAGGTCTAATGTTTAAGTCTTTAATCCATCTTGAATTAATTTTTGTATAAGGTGTAAGGAAGGGATCCAGTTTCAGCTTTCTATATATGGCTAGCCATTTTCCCAGCACCATTTATTAAATAGGGAATCCTTTCCCCATTTCTTGTTTTTGTCAGGTTTGTCAAAGATCAGATAGTTGTAGATATGCGGCGTTCTTTCTGAGGGCTCTGTTCTGTTCCATTGGTCTATATCTCTGTTTTGGTACCAGTACCATGCTGTTTTGGTTACTGTAGCCTTGTAGTATAGTTTGAAGTCAGGTAGCATGATGCCTCCAGCTTTGTTCTTTTGGCTTAGGATTGACTTGGCGATGAGGGCTCTTTTCTGGTTCCATATGAACTTTAGAGTAGTTTTTTCCAATTCTGTGAAGAAAGTCATTGGTAGCTTGATGGGGATGGCATTGAATCTATAAATTACCTTGGGCAGTATGGCCATTTTCATGATATTGATTCTTCCTACCCATGAGCATGGAATATTCTTCCATTTGTTTGTATCCTCTTTTATTTCATTGAGCAGTGGTTTGTAGTTCTCCTTGAAGAGGTCCTTCACGTCCCTTGTAAGTTGGATTCCTAGGTATTTTATTCTCTTTGAAGCAATTGTGAATGGGAGTTCACTCATGATTTGGCTCTCTGTTTGTCTGTTATTGGTGTATAAGAATGCTTCTGATTTCTGTACATTGATTTTGTATCCTGAGACTTTGCTGAAGTTGCCTATCAGCTTAAGGAGATTTTGGGCTGAGACAATGGGGTTTTCTAGATATACAATCATGTCATCTGCAAACAGGGACAATTTGACTTCCTCTTTTCCTAATTGAATACCCTTTATTTCCTTCTCCTCCCTAATTGCCCTGGCCAGAACTTCCAACACTATGTTGAATAGGAGTGGTGAGAGAGGGCATCCCTGTCTTGTGCCAGTTTTCAAAGGGAATGCTTCCAGTTTTTGCCCATTCAGTATGATATTTGCTGTGGGTTTGTCATAGATAGCTCTTATTATTTTGAGATACGTCCCATCAATACCTAATTTATTGAGAGTTTTTAGCATGAAGGGTTGTTGAATTTTGTCAAAGGCCTTTTCTGCATCTATTGAGATAATCATGTGGTTTTTGTTTTTGGTTCTGTTTATATGCTGGATTACATTTATTGATTTGTGTATATTGAACCAGCCTTGCATCCCAGGGATGAAGCCCACTTGATCATGGTGGATAAGCTTTTTGATGTGCTGCTGGATTCAGTTTGCCAGTATTTTATTGAGGATTTTTGCATCAATGTTCATCAAGGATATTGGTCTAAAATTCTCTTTTTTGGTTGTGTCTCTGCCCGGCTTTGGTATCAGGATGATGCTGGCCTCATAAAATGAGTTAGGGAGGATTCCCTCTTTTTCTATTGATTGGAATAGTTTCAGAAGGAATGGTACCAGTTCCTCCTTGTACCTCTGGTAGAATTCAGCTGTGAATCCCTCTGGTCCTGGACTCTTTTTGGTTGGTAAGCTGTTGATTATTGCCACAATTTCAGATCCTGTTATTGGTCTATTCAGAGATTCAAATTCTTCCTGGTTTAGTCTTGGGAGGGTGTATGTGTCGAGGAATTTATCCATTTCTTCTAGATTTTCTAGTTTATCTGCTTAGAGGTGTTTATAGTATTCTCTGATGGTAGTTTGTATTTCTGTGGGATCGGTGGTGATATCCCCTTTATCATTTTTTATTGCATCTATTTGATTCTTCTCTCTTTTCTTCTTTATTAGTCTTGCTAGTGGTCTATCAATTTTGTTGATCTTTTCAGAAAACCAGCTGCTGGATTTGTTAATTTTTTGAAGGGTTTTTTGTGTCTCTATTTCCTTCAGTTCTGCTCTGATTTTAGTTATTTCTTGCCTTTTGAATGTGTTTGCTCTTGCTTCTCTAGTTCTTTTAATTGTGATATTAGGGTGTCAATTTTGGATCTTTCCTGCTTTCTCTTGTGGGCATTTAGTGCTATAAATTTCCCTCTACACACTGCTTTGAATGTGTCCCAGAGATTCTGGTATGTTGTGTCTTTGTTCCTGTTGGTTTCAAAGAAGATCTTTTTTTCTGCCTTCATTTCTTTAGGTACCCAGTAGTCATTCAGGAGCAGGTTGTTCAGTTTCCATGTAGTTGAATGGTTTTGAGTGAGTTTCTTAATCCTGAGTTCTAGTTTGATTACACTGTGGTCTGAGAGACAGTTTGTTATAATTTCTGTTCTTTTACATTTGCTGAGGAGAGCTTTACTTCCAACTATGTGGTCAATTTTGGAATAGGTGTGGTGTGGTGCTGAAAAAAATGTATATTCTGTTGATTTGGGGTGGAGAGTTCTGTAGATGTCAATTAGGTCCACTTGGTGCAGAGCTGAGTTCAATTCCTGGGTATCCTTGTTAACTTTCTGTCTCGTTGATCTGTCTAATGTTGACAGTGGGGTGTTAAAGTCCCTCATTATTATTGTGTGGGAGTCTAAGTCTCTTTGTAGGTCACTCAGGACTTGCTTTATGAATCTGGGTGCTCCTGTATTGGGTGCATATATATTTAGGATAGTTAGCTCTTCTGTTGGATTGATCCCTTTACCATTATGTAATGGCCTTCTTTGTCTCTTTTGATCTTTGTTGGTTTAAAGTCTGTTTTATCAGAGACTAGGATTGCAACCCCTGCCTTTTTTTGTTTTCCATTTGCTTGGTAGATATTCCTCAATCCTTTTATTTTGAGCCTATGTATGTCTCTGCATGTGAGATGGGTTTCCTGAATACAGCACACTGATGGGTCTTGACTCTATCTAATTTGCTAGTCTGTGTCTTTTAATTCAGGCATTTAGTCCATTTACATTTAAAGTTAATATTGTTATGTGTGAATTTGATCCTGTCATTATGATGTTAGCTGGTTATTTTGCTCATTAGTTGATGCAGTTTCTTCCTAGCCTCGATGGTCTTTACAATTTGGCATGTTTTTGCAGTGGCTGGTACCGGTTGTTCCTTTCCATGTTTAGTGCTTCCTTCAGGAGCTCTTTTAGGGCAGGCCTGGTGGTGACAAAATCTCCTAGCATTTGCTTGTCTGTAAAGGATTTTATTTCTCCTTCACTTATGAAGCTTAGTTTGGCTAGATATGAAATTCTGGGTTGAAAATTCTTTTCTTTAAGAATGTTGAATATTGGCCCCCACTCTCTTCTGGCTTGTAGAGTTTCTGCCGAGAGATCTGCTGTTGGTCTGATGGGCTTCCCTTTGTGGGTAACCTGACCTTTCTCTTTGGCTGCCCTTAACATTTTTTCCTTCATCTCAACTTTGGTGAATCTGACAGTTACGTGTCTTGGAGTTGCTCTTCTTGAGGAGTATCTTTGTGGCGTTCTCTGTATTTCCTGAATCTGAGTGTTGGCCTGCCTTGCTAGACTGGGGAAGTTCTCCTGGATAATATCCTGCAGAGTGTTTTCCAACTTGGTTCCATTCTCCCTGTCACTTTCAGGTACACCAATCAGACATAGATTTGGTCTTTTCACATAGTCCCATATTTCTTGGAGGCTTTGTTCATTTCTTTTTATTCTTTTTTCTCTAAACTTCCCTTCTCACTTCATTTCATTCATGTCATCTTCCATCGCTGATACCCTTTCTTCCAGTTGATCGCATCATCTCCTGAGGCTTCTGCATTCTTCACATAGTTCTCGAGCCTTGGCTTTCAGCTCCATCAGCTCCTTTAAGCACTTCTCTGTATTGGTTATTCTAGTTATACATTCGTCTAAATTTTTTTCAAAGTTTTTAACTTCTTTGCCTTTGGTTTGAATTTTCTCCTGTAGCTCGGAGTAGTTTGATCGTCTGACGCCTTCTTCTCTCAACTTGTCAAAGTCATTCTCCATCCAGCTTTGTTCTGTTGCTGGTGAGGAACTGCGTTCCTTTTGCGGAGGAGAGGCGCTCTGCTTTTTAGAGTTTCCAGTTTTTCTGCTCTGTTTTTTCCACATCTTTGTGGTTTTATCTACTTTTGGTCTTTGATGATGGTGATGTACAGATGGGTTTTTGGTGTGGATGTCCTTTCTGTTTGTTAGTTTTCCTTCTAACAGACAGGACCCTCAGCTGCAGGTCTGTTGGAGTTTGCTAGAGGTCCACTCCAGACCCTGTTTGCCTGGGTAACAGCAGCGGTGGCTCAGGTATTTCTTTATAGCAATGTGAAGGACTAATACAGAAAACTGGTACTGGGAGTGGGGCATTCCTATAAGGATACCTGAAAATGTGAAAGCAGCTTTGGAACCAGGCAACAGGCAGAGGTCAGAACGGTTTGGAGGGCTCAGAAGAAGACAGAAAGATGAGGAAAAAATTGAAACTTCCTAAAGACCTGTTGAATTGTTGTGACCAAAATGCAGAAAGTGATATGGACAGTGAAGACCAACCTGCAGAGATCTCAGATAGAAATGAGTAACTTATTGGGAATTGGAGCAAAGATCACTTTTGTTATGCATTACCAAAGAGGTTGGCAGCATTGTGCTCCTGCTTGAGAAATCTCTGGAACTTTGAACTTCAGAGTGATGATTTAGGGTATCCAGCAGAAGAAATTCTAAGTAGGAAAGTGTTCAAAATATGGCCTGGGTGATTCTACCAGCCTTTTCTCATATGCTTGAGCAAAGAAATAACCCAAAACTGGAACTTATAATTAAAAGGGAAGCAAAACATAAAAGTTTGAAAAATTTGTGAGTCCAGCCTTGTGGTAGAAAAGGAAAACCCATTTTCTGGGGATGAACTCAAGCTGGCTGCAGAAATTTGCATAAGTAAAGAGGAGCAGAGTATTAATAGCCAAGACAATGGAGAAACATTTCAGACACCTTTGTGGCAGCCCCTCCCATCACAGGCTTAGAGGCCTAGCAGGGACGAATAATTTTGTGGGCCAGGACCAGGACTCTGCTACCCTGCACAGCCTCAGGACATGGCTCCCTGCATACTGGCCACTCCAGCTCCAGCTGTGGCTCAAAGGGGCCCAGATACTGCTCAGATTGCTGCTTCAGTGGTTGCAAGCCATAAGCCTTGGTGACTTCCATGTGGTGTTAAGCCTGCCAGTGCACAGAGTGGAAGAGTTGAGGCTTAGGAGCCTCCACCTAGACTCCAGAAGATGTATGAAAAAGCCCAGATGTCCAGGCAGAAGCCTGCTGCAGGGGTGGGCCTACATAGAGAACCTCTGCTACGGCAGTGCAGAGGAGAAGTGCATGGTTGGAGGCCCCAGAGTCCCCACTGAGCACTGACTAGTGCAGCTCTGAGAAGAGAGCCATCATCCCCCAGACCCCAGAATGGTAGATCCACGACCAGCTTGCACCATGCCCCTGGAAAAGCCACAGGCACTCACTGCCAGCTCGTGAAAGCAGCCATGGGGGCTGTACCCAGCAGAGCCACAGGTGCAGAACTGCCCAAGGCCTTGGGAGCCAACCCCTTGCACCAGTGTCCCCTCGACGTGGGACATGGAGTCAAAAGAGATTATTTTGGAATTTTAAGATGTAATGAGTGCCCTGTTTGGTTTCAGACTTGCATGGTTTGTAATCCCTTTCTTTTGGCTGATATCTCCCTTTTGGAACAGGAATATTTACCCAATGCTTGTACGCCCATTGTATCCTGGGGGTAACAAACTTGTTTTTGATTTTGCAGGCTGATAGGCAGAAGGGACTAGCCTTATCTCAGATGAGACTTTGGACTTTTGAACTAAGGCTGGAATGAGTTAAGACTTCAGGGGACTATTCGGAAAACATGATTGTATTTTGCAGTGTAAGAAGGAAATGAGATTTGGGAGGGGTCAGGTGCAGAATGATATGGTTTGGATCTGTTTCCCTGTCTAAATCTCATGTCAAATTGTAATCCCCAATGTTGGAGGTAGAGTCTGGTGGGAGGTGATTGGATCATGGGGGCAGATTTTCCTATTGGTGCTGTTCTCATAATTGAGTGAGTTCTCAAGTGATCTGGTTGTTTAAAAGTACGTAGCACCTCCCACATCTCACTCTTTCTTCTGCTTTGGCCATGTGAGACATCTCACTCCCCTTTTGCCTTCTGCCATGATTGAAAGTTTCCTGAGGTCTCCCCAGCAGCTGAGCAGGTGTCAGCATCATACTTCCTGTACAGCCTGCAGAACCGTAAGCAATTAAACTTCTTTTCTTCACAAATTACCCAGCCTCAGGTATTTCTTTATAGCAATGTGAGAATGGACCAATGCAAATATGTTAGAAAGCTAGAAAAAAAAATAGGGGAAGAAGGATATGTAATGTTAGGAGAATTTGTATTTTCACAAAGTGGCAAGAAAAACTTTTGTTGAGGAAATGACTTTAGAGTAAGTATGTAAAAGAGTGAAAGAGCTAGCATATGTCTGTGGAAAAAGAATCCTAAATAGGGGTCACAGCAAGTACAAAAACCCTGAGATGAGAATGTGTTTGGCAAGTTGGAGATAAAGGAAGAAGGCAGTGTGACTAGCATAGTGAGCAGAAGGGCAGAGTCATAGGATATGAGGTCAGAGAGATAAGAAAAGCCAGATCATGGAGGGGCCTTCAGGTCATGGCAAGGACTTGGGTTTTATTATGCACATTTTATTTTTCCTTTTCTTTTTGACCTTTACTCAGATACTCAGATAGCAAAATCATTCATGTAGCCTCAACAAGAATTTGTACTGTTACAGTAGGAATGAGAAAGGAGAAGAAAATTGTACTTTTTTGGTAGGGAGGGGAAGAAGAAGGAGGATGTTCTGAGCTAGTAATAAAACAGGAATGCTCAAAGAAAGAAAGTTAATATTAGGCTTGATTTTGTTTCTTTCACTTTCAAGCAGGCTCATGAGTATCAAAAGGAAAGATTCTGAGGGGAGTAAAACACTGTTTATGCTATTAACAGCTCTAGAAAGAAAATAGAGGTAGAGACTGAAGACCACTGCCCCATCTCAGGAGGGGCTGAAGGATTTAGGAAGGAAGAGGGGGTGGTTGGGTGTGACCGAAGTTTTGTGTGGAGGGGAAGTCGAGGTGGAAGTGTAGAGGGGGCATGTGCTGATGGAGAAGTGGAAGTCTGCAGTAGAGGCAGCAAGGCTGAATACCTTTGGTAGACATTGAGAGGGAACATATGCAAGCCAGTGTCTGTGGAATTGTTGGGGATGGACCCTACATCTACTCTGCCTGCTCCCTGGGGGATTATCCATCAGAAGGACATTCATATGTGCCCTGAGACTTTGCTGTACTCTCTGCACCACCACCATGCACGGATCCCTACAAGAACCTATAAAATAGCTCCCGTTCACAGCCTGGACTCTTGTCATAATCCTGCAAACAAAGAGATGGGGTCAAGTTGGGGCACTGAATCTTTGGAGAGAAAGAGTCCTGGCTTCATGCTCAGAAGAGGCAGGACAGTAGAGCAAACAGCCTGGTTATACCATTAGGTAGAGTTGGCTTACTGGTGGCCAAGTATTTATTTTTAAAATGCTTATGGATATGAAAATATTAACATTTTCCTTTTCGTTTTGACTTGTTCTCTGGTAGGCAGAATCATTCCCGTCGCCTCAAAAAGAATTAGTATTTTTACATTAGGAATGCAAAGAGAAGGAGGCAGTATTCTTGTGGGGGGTGGGGGAGGGTCATGTTCCAGACTACTAATAAAGAAGAAGTTTTAAAAGAATAATAAAATAAATAAAAATAATACATAAATAAATGTTACTTTTGTTGGGCAAGAAAATTAGTACTTTAATTAGTGATATGAAATATAGATAACTTATCTTTTGTCTAGGATGCATAGCAGATATATTTGGACAGGATATTTATTTAGATATGTAGATAGAACAAACATAGCAACTTTGAGAGACTTTATAAAGAAAAACATATTTTAGATGCGTACTCCTGGAAAAGCAGTTTCATTAACTTTCATTTTGTGAAGGAACAGTTTAATTGTAAAGTAAATTCATTTATTTTATATATATATAATATATATATTTTATATATAAAATATATACATTATATATAATATATATATAATATATATTATATATATTTTATATATAATATATATTATATATATTATATATTATATATATTTTATATATATTTTATATTTTATATATATATTTTATATATTATATATATTTTATATATATTTTTATATATTTTATATATATAGTACTATAATATGACAGGGACCTTTCCAGGTGCTAGAGGTACAATGGTGAACACAGCAAAGTTTTTGTCCTCAAAATTTTATGTTTCAATAAATTAGTAAATAAATGGCTAAATAAAATACTTACAGATTGAACCAAGTTTTTAAAAATTAATTAACCTGGATTGTATAAACTATAGTATTTAGATTAAAATGATCTAATTAATTTATGAATTCACACATCAATTTAGGGATCTGCAAATAGTAGCCCATGGTTCAGCCAATGGGTCAAATCTGAACTGCCACCTGTTTTTTAAAGTTTTATTGGAACACAGACACATACCTATTTATTACATCTGTCTGTAGCCGTTTTTGACCTACAACAGTGGAGTTGAAAAGTTGCAATAGATACCTCTGGCCCACAAAGCCAGATATTTACTATCTGATACTTTTCAAAACATGTTTGCTGACCCCTGGATTAATTCAAATATAATTTGAGATAATGAAGTTTGAAAATTTTTTAAAATCGCACAAGCAAAACTGTTTAAGATAGTGTAGGAGATGAAGTCCTATTTTTGTGTCAGATGGTGTTTTTATCAAAAGCTCAAAAGTCATATATGTACATATGGAGACGTGCATTCAAAGCTTTGAGTTTCCTAAATACTATTAAATAAGAAATACGGTAGAATAGTTACTGTGCCAGTAATGAAATTGCCATTGCAAAATTTTGAGAGTAAGAGAAATCTGACATAGTTGACTTCACCTTGCTTCCAATCTGCAAGCTGTCCTTGGTCATTACTGGGCATAGGTCAAGCTAACTTTGGGAGGAATTAGTTTATAGTTTAACTTGAAAGGAAAGATGATAATAGTCCCTCCTTAAAACTTAACTCCCTCAGCTGGGTGTGGTGGCTCACGCCAGCACTTTGGGAGGTCGAGGCGGGTGGATGGCTTGAACTCAGGAATTTGAGACTAGCTTGGGCAATGTGGTAAAACCCTGTCTCTACCAAAAATACAAAAAATTAGCTGGGTGTAGTGGTATGCCCCTGTGGTCCCAACTACTCAGAAGGCTGAGGTGTGAGGATGCTTGAGCCCAGGGAGGCGGATGTTGCGCTGAGCTGAGATGGCACCACTTCACTCCAACCTGGGTGACAGAGTGAGACCCCATCTCAAAACAACAACAACAAAAACCCAAATAAACAAACAACAATAAAAGAACCAAAACTAACCCTCTCTTTGCTCAGGGACTGAAAGCCACCTTTGTAAAGCTAATGAAAGGCCACAAGAATAGGTTTATGGGAGGAGTGTAAACTCTGATAAAATGTAGGCATAGTTTCTATAATCCCTTACTGTTAAGGAGTCATATGACCAGAGATCACAAGATTTGTGACTTTCCCAATTACTCTTATCAGCAACATCACTACTGTAGAACCTAAGATTTTCAGACTGACCCCATCTGGACTGGTGACTTATGGCTCAACTGGTCCTGTGCTTCCATCCAGAGGCCGACTCAGTGCACGAGGATGGAGGACAACTTTCCATCACCCTATGATTTCATCCCTAACGAATGAGCAGCACCCATTCCCCAGCCTCCTGCCCACCAAATTGTCCATAAGAACGCCTAGTCTCTGAGCCTGTGCAGAGACTGATTTGTGTGATAACTCCCATTCTCTTTCATGGGCCAGCTTTGTGCCAGTTAAACTCTTTTCCTACTGCAATGCTGTGGTCTCAGTGGATTGATTTTGTTTCTGCAATGAGCAGGAGTCACTTATTAAAAAGTACATAATTTTTTTGTTCTTAAGTTACATATGATTTTTTTTCTTTTACTGGATAGTTACGATAAATCTTAGTTTAAGCAATTTTTGATAAGGTTTAAGAACACATTTTGTTTGTTTGTTTTTTCCAAGATGGAGTCTTGCTCTGTTGCCCAGGCTGGAGTGCAGAGGCATGATCTCAGCTCACTGCAACCTCTGCCTCCTGGGTTCAAGCAATTCTCCCTGCCTCAGACTCCTGAGTAGCTGGGACTACAGGTGCCCGCCACACGCCTGGCTAATTTTTGGTAGAGACGGGGTTTCACTATGTTGGCCAGATTGGTCTCAAACTCTCGACCTCAGGTGATCTGCCTGACTTGGCCTCCCAAAGTACTAGGATTACAGGTGTGAGCCACTGCACCCAGCCAGAAAACATGTTATGAGAGCAATAGAAGAGATAGAAGAGCATACAGTATTTAAGAACCAAAGTTCTAGATTCCAGCTTGTTATCATTGTTCACCTACACCTCTAGTAGACTCCCACTGGTTTCCCAGAGGCTAATGTTGCTCTACTTCAGTGCATTCCCCCTAGGTTCTGTGATTGCTTTCAGTTGAATGTTATGCTTGATTCCTATCATTTACACTTATTTTCTTTTCATCATCTATTCCAGACGTGTTCCTTTCCCCTACATTTCTACATTATATTATATATACTGCTTCAGAAAAAAAATTATCATTTTACTTGTTAAAGATGGTAAGGCAGACTTTACTCAAGGTAGGCCATGATGATAGGTATAGGGACTGCAATTGGGTCTTACAGTGGGGGACAGAGAGTGGACTCCAGTTTGTTTCCAGCAAGGGAAAGTTAGAATTTTTTTTTTCTTTTTGCTCCCCAAGAAAAGTATACAAGTGGAGATTTATAACCAAGGAGCAGGCTGGAGGTCAGTGGATGGGAAATTACTAGGAGGAGACATCAAGTATTAGGGGATCTCTGGCTCTACTTAGTAGTTTTATTGCTGAAGGGAAGATGGTGAGATCAGATATCAAGGGTAGTTAGAGACCCCAGTATCAGGGGTAGGGAATTTTTGGTAAACTGGCTAGCAGGATTTTTGATCTCACAGTTCTACAAGGATGGAGAGGGACCCTGAAGGTTGGTCCTAGTCAGAAAGGACTGGAAAGCCTCTCTAAAGTTTTGGTCAAAGGAGAGAGTCTTTGACAATATCAATAGTATATTAATATTTAAGAAAAGGGAAGAAGGGCCACTGGCATTTCTACATTTTTCTGTCCTTTTAGTCTGTTTTTATTCACATATGAAATTTTCTTTTGAAAATTTATTGAACTTTTGACCTTTCTGTCACTCTGGTTCTGTTTTCATTCTTCTGTGTTCCTCTTTCTTCATTTCATCATAATTTACCCACTCATGATCATAGTATTTCCTTTTAATTCCCATATAGTATTTACAGCACCCATCATTTTGGTGATACCACACAAATGCTCTGAGTATGTGATTAGGGAATAGAGGGTGGAGGGAGCTCTTCTAAGATTTCAAAGCCTCATTTTGTAATCTGCCTGACTCTGCAACCCTTCAATTCACACAGTTGAGTCCATTTAATTCCTATCTGTAAATTCAACTCAACCTCTCAGACCAATCACCCTTAGGTAGTTTGAATTAAAAAAAAAAACTTGGCAATAATGTCATATCAAGTGAGCTTAGATCCTTGTTCTCAGTCTTTGTTTTACAGATAAAATATATAATTATTCTTGTTACTGCATGACTTTGAAGAACTGGTTCCTTTTATTCTCCAATAACTGATGATGAACTCTGTATGTATACTGTTGTGTCTCAGTTCCCCTAAAATTGGGAGCGAGGAGTTTAGCTTGGTTATTCATGTCTTGCCCCTTCAACCCATTTGGTACCTGAGACCACACATCTTCTGGTAAGACCTCCGTGACCTGACCCTGCCTTGGGAGAAGCAACTTGATTAAATTGAGATAAATCATTAAAAGCAAACAAAAAAAAATTGTCCTGTTGGAATAATCAATTACTCATGAGGATGGTTCTAGAATTGGTCTATTGGAAGTAAACCAGACATTAACTGTTCACATCTAGGTCTTAGGTTGGAGAAAATAATGAACCTCTATTCTTCACATTTCTTTGTGACCTTTGAGTACTGCTATAGAAAATGAAAACAAAACAAAACAAGAAAAGTCCAGGATAACTACTACTTGTTAAATTTATAGTTAACCACTTCACTTGGACCATGAACACTGCTGGACAATGTTTTCTTTTTCCCAAGCGAGTTTATCCTTCTGCTCTTCATTGTGGTGATTTCAAGACTAGTGAATTTACCTCAAATATCTGACTTCAGCTATATTTCCTCTACCTCTCATATCCTTTTCTTCAGTGGATCCTCATAGAGAAAAGAGAAACCCTCAGATAGAAACTTCTTCAGTATTCCAGCACCAAATTTGCACACTGCTATGCAATATTACCTTTCTGCCTTTCCTGCCATTTTAATGGAAAAGGTTTGCCTCCTCCTCTCTCAGGCTACTCCCCCTATCTCTGCACTGGGTTTGAGAATTATCCTCCCTTTTTTCCAGTGTCATTGATTTCTAAGCAAATGCACTCTGGTGATCTTCCTCTTAATTCTCAGGCTACTTCAGTATTTTTTGTTGACTTCTGCTTTTCTATCCATTCACAGAAATGCTATTTTCCATTAGGGCTCCATATTCTACCCCATTGTCCCCAGGTAATCTTTTTTTTTTTCACACTAATTGTGTAATTTTCTAAGGCGATCATTAGTTTTATTTACCTGAGCTTATTTGCATGATAGTAAAAATTGCATACAATAATAAGAGTGAAGCTGGATGGGCTAGGTGGTTCACACCTGTAATCATAGCACTTTGAGGGGCTGAGGCAGGTAGATTGCTGAGCCCAGGAGTTAGAGACCAGTCTGGGCAACATAGTAAAACCCTGTCTCTACAAAAAAATACAAAAATTAGCCAGGCATACTGGTGTGTACCTGTGGTCCCAGCTACTTGGGGGCCTGAAGTGGAAGAATTGCTTGAGCCTGGGAGTTCAAGGTTGCAGTGAGCTGTGATCATGCCACTGCACTCCAGCCTGGGCAACACAGCAAGACCCTATCTCCAAAAAAAAAAGTATTAATTACTTGGATAACATGTAAAACTTTTTATAAGAAACTATGTAAACTAAGTAATCTTTATCTCCTCTCACAGCTTCTGTATTATCTATCTCTGTGTGTGTGTGTGTGTGTGTGTGTGTGTGTGTGTTTGTGTGTGTGTGTGTGGTGTACCATTCCTGGAGGCACTGCAATACTAGGTAGATGTATGGAATGGAAGGAGCAAGCTTCTATTCCATCTCCCTGCTCAAAAATACATTTAATATATTGTCCTTGAATAGAGGACATATCAGATTTTAAGCTGTTAAGAACAGATACCACATTTGATCTTAGCTAAAAGGCCAAGAAGAAATTATTTATATTGTGAAACCTCTCAATTAAAAATTTCTAATTCAAATCTTTCTTGTGATCTCCAGTCATATAAACCTAAGAGAATGATTTATACATCCAGTTTGCTGGCTCACAAGGAATCTCAACTTCAACTTATCCAAACCTGCATTTATTAAGTTCTCTTCCCAATCCCCACTAAATTACCTGCTCCTTACCCTATGTTTTTTTCTATTTAGTATCTGACTTGCTTAAGTCAGCAAAATGGAATATCTTTCTTTACTACTTCTACTTATCTCCAGCCTCCATCATGTTAACTTGAGGGTGTGTGTGTGTGTTCGCGTGTTTGTCGAGGTGGGTATCTAACCTGATCACTCAGGTCGTGTCCCTTCACTCAGTTTGGTAGCTGAAACCAAATGTCTTCAAACAAGTTCTCTGTGACCTGATACTGCCTTCAGGGAGGAGCAACTTGATTAAATTTAGATGAGTCTTTAAAAACAACAAAACTTTTCTTACCCTTTTAGAACAACTCAGTTATTCAAGAGAATGAGTTTAGAATTGATCTTGTTGAAATAAGCCAAATCTTTCCTCTTCGCATCTAAGTCGGAGAAAGTAATAGACATGCATGCTTCACATTTCTTCCTAAGCCTCTGAACACTGCTGCAGAAATTTATAACAATTCTTAAATTTCTTAAGCCTGTGGAAGAGGCAGTGCCACTGCCTTAGTTCTTGTCACTTCCTCAATTCCAGATGCATTTGATGTCTCTCTACCTTTTTACTTTTCATTTCAATTTGTAAGTTCCAGTTTAGGTGTCTGTTTTCTTCTGCTAATTTGGCTAGTTTGTGCTCTTCTTTGGTTAGAGCTGTAATTATCCATCTTTGTCTTTCTAGTTAGTAACTTGTTTCAGTGCCCGGAGCTCATAAGGGAGTAAATAACTGAACAGTTGAATGACCCCCCTAATATTCAGCCACCCTGAACTCCACCTCCTCCCTGCCTTTTGAAAGACTGCCTGTGTATCTCATCTCTAGGTCCCAAGTATATTTAGTCTAAATTATCTGGATGCTTGCTAAAAGTAGGATTGCCTATTACACAGATTCTACTATCTCTCAGCTCAGTCTTGCTAACATGTACATTTTGGTCTTCCAGACTCTCAAACTGAGTGCCCATGACCTGTGGAACTATGTGTGTGATTACAAGAACATAAATGTCCTGTGTTATGTCGGTTTGGGCCACTTTTTAGTTCTTTGAGACAAAATATATATATTAAAACAGGAAAATATGCAGCTAAAGCAAAATTTGGGGTAATTTTAAAAGCAAAGTATAAGATTTCAATGCATGAAACTTCAAAAATATTTTATGGTGGGATGGGACAGTCTCTGCTAAATCCTCATATCCCTGAGGATATACCATTCCCTATTCTGTTTTGGGATAGTGAACTTCAGATGTTAAGTCTGAAAGCACTGTAGGTAGGTGTTGTCTGTGTGTGTATGTGTGTGTGTGTGTGTGTGTGTATGTGTGTGTATGTAGAAGGAAGGTTTTCCATGAAGATTCTACAGAAAGGATTTTTGAGTTTTGGCCTAAAAAAGTAACATTAAGGAAATCATAAAACCTCTTCAGAGTTTAGCACACCAGGGATAGCACTAAATGGCTTTCTAGTATCAAGATATAACCATTTTAATAAAGGAAGATGAAATATCTTAAATCATCCTTCCCAGCAGCCATTATGAAGCCAAATGCCTCACTGCCCTGCTTATTAGTTGCTTGTGATGGGAATACGGGAGTAATCTGTCCCGCATGAAGCTAGAAATCTCTCTTGGTATGTCTAGATTTAAGACAATAGGATTTGAATATTATCATATTAATATATAAGTAAAACCAACAGAGCATCACAAAATTAGCATTAGTAATCTTGTTTAAGGAATGTCCCTGAGGATTTAAAAATCCCTTTAGAGAAATCATAAGGCATGCTTCTATGTTTTTCTGTCACGGGTAACCACAACAGAGATTGCATGTGTTCCATAATTTTTACCAAAAGAAACAGTTGGAGACCTGAATTTTGAGGGTTTTGTTTTTTAATAAGTCCTTACTTCACAAATGAGTTAGATTCATATATATTAAAAAATAATCATTTTTCTTCCATATAAGACTAACTAAGCATGAATTTAGCTGTCTTTTCAATTTTTGCACGGAAGTATTTTAGGTTCATTCAGTTTCATTTATTTATTTATTTTCTAAGGAAGAAGTCTGTGAGGATTCAGTAGAATCCAGAGAACACTGACTAGCTTTGAATACTGAAAACTTCCTCCTTCAACTTGGTTCTTGGTTTTTGGTATCCATTAAATAGGGAGGCCATGCACTAACTCCAGTCTTTCTATCTTAAATAAGCTGTGATAGTACTGTAATAAACAAGGCTCTAGATGGAGGTTTTCCAAATGCAGCTCAAATGAACAGGTGATATCTCTTGTGTTTAGATTTGTTCAGTAAAGTTTACATCGCATGTGTGTGTTAGAGTATGTATGTGTGAGTTTGTGTGTGTATAACATATATTTATTTTCATTTTTATTATTATCTTTTTTTTTTTTTTTTTGAGACAGAGTCTCGCTCTTTCACCCAGGCCGGAGTCAGTGGCGCTATCTCGGCTCACTGGCTCACTGCAAGCTCCGCCTCCCGGGTTCACCCCATTCTCCTGCCTCAGCCTCCTGAGTAGCTGGGACTATAGGCGCCCGCCACGGCGCCCGGCTAATTTTTTGGGTTTTTAGTAGAGACGGGGTTTCACCGTGTTAGCCAGGATGGTCTCGATTTCCTGACCTCGTGCTCCGCCCGCCTCGGCCTCCCAAAGTGCTGGGATTACAGACGTGTTATCTTTTAAATAAAGACAAGGTCGCACTCTGTTGTCCAGGCTGGTCTTAAACTTCTGAGCCCAAGTGATCCTCCTGCCTCAGCCTCCTGAAGTGTTGAGATTACAGGTGTAAGCCACTACTCCTGGCCTATTTATTTATTTAGAGACAGAATCTTGCTCTGTGGCCCAGATTCTACCTCAACTGCAGCCTCCACCTCCTGGGCTCAAACAATCCTCCCACCTCAGTCTCCCGAATAACTGAGACTACAGACAATGCACAATCACACCCAGGCAATTTTTAAATTATTATTATTATTTGTAGATTGGGGGTGGGGGGGTCTCATTGTATTGCCCAGGCTGGTCTCAAACTCCTGGGCTCGAGAAATCCTACGTCCATGGCTCCCCAAAGTGCTGGGATTACAGATGTGAGCCACCATGCCTGGCCATCATATATTTATATAAACTTATCCAATGAAAATATATCGACGTAAGCAGGTTCAGGCCAAGCTCTGTAGTTTTTGATAGTTTCTCTTTCTGAAGATACTATTTAAAGAGTGGAAAAGGTAGGAGATAAAATGTGAAACAAATATGGTTCTTAGATATTAAATATCTTCACCAAAACAGAGCAAAAGTGTTAGGAAAAATCTTTTTGCTCATTGTTGGCTAACACAAGTTAGGATTTACTCGAAATAAGTCTTGTGTTCTTATTTTGTTGTGTTCAGACAGCCAAATTCTTTACTGTAATTCAAAGAATGTATAGCCAGTGTTGATGACATAATAAAAGGGGAAAATAAATGTAATAAATTTCCAAATTATCCTTCTTAAACTCACTGAAAAAGAGTCTAAGGATAATGTTTATTAAATGTACATGCACTTCTTTGGAAATATGTCAAGACTATTTAAAAACACACACAAGGCCGGGTGTGGTGGCTCATGCCTGTAATCCCAGCACTTTGGAAGGCTGAGGTGGGTGGAAGGATCACTTGAGGCCAGGGGTTTGAGAACAGCCTGGGTAACATAGCAAGACCCAGTCTCTACAAAAAGTTTAAAAAATTAGCCAGGCATGGTGGTGTACATGTGTAGTCCCAGTTACTTCAGAGGCTGAGGTGAGAGGATTGTTTGAACCTCTAGGAGTTGAGGTTACAGTGAGCTATGATAGCACCACTGTACTCTAGCCTGGGTGACAGAACAAGACCCTGTCTCAAAAATAAATAAATAAATCACACACACACACACACACACACACACACACACACACACACACGATTATGGGCTACAATCTGAAAGCCTTGGTAGAGTTTATTTATACATAATTTAAAAATGTGTGCACAGAAAATATTTCTATGATTAAATAATGACATTAAAACAGTAATACTTCAACACTGGCAATAGGTTCAGATGAGTTTTGTGAGTCAAACCAAAGATTCTTGGTAAGAAACATCAGTAAATTATAAATAGCAAGATAAAAATAGAAAACCATTAGCTCAGCAGGAGCTGTGTATGTGGGAGAGAAGAGAGCAAAGAGAAGTTGCATACATACTACAGATGACATTAAAAATCTAGTTTATTTAAGAAGAAAACTGAATACTAAAAAAATGGTATTTGAAACATTTTAATGGTATATTGTGGACTTTTTTCTACAGTGATACAGTAGGTATTATTATCTGTCGCTTACGTCAAATAGAACAATGCAATAAGAATGACCTGTGATGATAATGAACTGCTCTGAAAAATCAGCCTGGTAAATTAACTTTTATGTTGACAAATCTTTCTTAGAAGTCAGTCTCTTCGCAGACTTATCTAGGCAAGGTTTCTTGTAACTCCCTCCCCACCCTTTCCTGTAGGTCATTGTTCTTAGAGGGAGTCACTAAAGGAAGTTCATCCTTCCTTAACCTTATACTTTAGCTAAGGAGAGAAAAAGATAAGGACATTTTTTTTTTTCCTTTTGTATGTTTGTAAGCTTCCCTGAGACCACAGTGGAGAACTGGGCTGAGGTCAGTGATGAAGAAGGCAAAAGCAACTATTAAAATAATGGTAGTGGGCTGGGTGCGGTGGCTAACACCTGTTATCCCAGCACTTTGGGAGGCTGAGGCAGGCGGATCACCTGAGGTGGGGAGTTCAAGTCCAGCCTGACCAACATGGAGAAACCCCGTCTCTACTGAAAATACAGAATTAGCTGGGCGTGGTGGCACATGCCTGTAATCCCAGGTACTCAGGAGGCTGAGGCAGGAGAATCGCTTGAACCCAGGAGGCAGAGGTTGCGGTGAGCTGACATCATGCCATCGCACTCCAGCCTGGGCAACAAGAAATTCCATCTCAAAAAAAAAAAAAAAAAAAAACTCCATCTCAAAAAACAAAACAAAACAAAACAAAACAAAACAATAATAACAATAATGGTAGTTGTAGTAAACAGCAATCTTTCCCAAATCTCAGAGTATCTCCCATAAATTACTACATTTCATTGATCCTCATAGTAAACCTTTTAGTAGTGTTGAAAATTATTTATATGAAATGGTTCATTAAATTTTTCTCTTCATTTACTTGTTGAGTCCCAAAGACCAATAATTTGTGCTCCTACCGAAGATGTCTGTCCTCTTCCCGAAAGGGAACAGCTTGGGGACTAACAGAGATAGACACCAGTCTAGAGACATGTGCAAGATTAATGATTATAATTTTATAGTTTTGTTTGTTTGTTCTTAGACTGAATCTCGCTTTATCGCCCAGGCTGGAGTGCAGTGGCAAGTTCCCAGCTCACTGCAACCTCCGCCTCCCGGGTTCAAGTGATTCTCGTGCCTCAGCCTCCTAAGTAGATGAGACTACAGGCATGTGCCACCACACCCAGATAATTTTTGTATTTTTAGTGGAGACCGGGTTTCAACATGTTGGCTAGGCTGGTCTCAAACTCCTGACCTCAAGTGATCCACCCAACTCGGCCTCCCAAAGTGCTGGGATTACAGGTATGAGCCACTGCACTCCACCCAATTCTATAGTTCTTGAAAAAAGGACTGACATACACTTATTATGGCTTTAAGGAACAGGTAGACAGCTAAACATATTTACTTGTTTCATTTTTTAAATGCTAGTAAAATATCAACATACCACAGATAAATTATAAAATTGTCAAACCTATACAAAGTAGAGGATAACATAAGGAATCTCATGTATTCATCACCCAGGTTTAACCATTTTCCCAGGTATTTTCCAATTTTCTCAGTAAATATTTCAATATGCATCTCAAATATAAAGACTGATTAAAAAATAACCACTTTCACACTGAAAATTTTGAAAATGATCCAAATGAAAATATTTACAGTGTCTTCACTTTAGATATTTCATTTGACATGAGAAAGTGTGGTATGATTTGGAGAAAAACATGAACCTGAAATAACCCAGTCCTCTCAGTTCTTTCTACAGGCTTAGTCCAATTGCACAGAAAAATAAACCAGGTCACTCCAGTAAAACAGTTGGTTTCTTTTCAGCTTTTTCATCTTCATTAGGGTTATGGATATATGAATGCAGATGCTGCAGAGTTAAAAGATAGAGTTTGTATATAACTTGACTTTCCTGAGATCAGCATATTGACCATTGAGACTCATTTGGAAGCATTAATGGAGCATACAACACTGAGAAATAAAACTCAGGAGATTGTGGTGAATGGTAAAAGAAGTCACTTTTGCCAGAAAACTCTAACAAAGTTTTTTTTTTTTTTTTTTTTTTTTTTAAGACAGGGTCTCACTCTCTCACCCAGGCTGGAATGTAGTGGCCTGAACACAGCTCACCGCAACCTCTACCTCCCGGGCTTAAGCAATCCTCCCACCTCGGCCTCCTGTGTAGCTGGGACCACAGGCGGGTGTCACTATGCCTGGTTATTATTATCTTTTTAATTTTTTTTGTAGAGACAGGGTCTCACTATGTTGCCGAGGCTGGTCTCAAACTCCTGGACTCAAGTGATCCTCCTGCCTCAACCTCCCAAAGTTCTGGGATTATAGGCATGAGCCACCACAGCAACCTAGAAAGAATATCTTTAAAGTTGCAGAGTGCAGGCAGGGATGTTATGTAACACCAATGAAAGATACTATTATCTGACACCAGTGTCACTCACTTTGGGGTATAATAAGAATTTTAATGATGACGATAATAATGATGATTTTTGAGACAAGATCTTTCTCTGTACTGGAGTGCAGTGGCTTGAACACAGGCTCACTGCAACCTCCACCAGGGGGGCTCAAGCAATCCTTCTATCTTAGCCACCTCAGTAGCTGGGACTACTGGTGTGCACCACGATGCCCGGCTATTTTTTTTTTTTTTAATTTTTTGTACAGTCAGGGTCTCACTATTTTGCCCAGGCTAGTCTCAAACTCATGGATGCAAGTGATTCTTTCACCTTGATTTCCCAAAGTGCTAGGATTATAGGTACAGGCACTTTGCTTGAACTAGGCATGAGCCACCACATCAGCCTAGAAAAAAACTTTTTAAAGTTTTTTAAAGTTGCAGAATGCTGGCAGAGATGTTACATAATACCATTGGGAAGATAACAATTTTCCGACATGGTTAATCTTTTTTTTTTTTTTTGAGATGAGGTCTCTCTCTGTTGCCCAGGCTAGAGTCTCCAGTGGTGTATTCCGGCTCACTGCAGCCTCAACCTCCCAGATACAAGCTATCCTCCCACCTAGCTGGGACCACAGGCATGCACCACCACACCCAGCTACTTTTTAAAAATTTTTGGAGAGACGTAGTCTCTTTATGTTGCCCAGTCTTATCTCAAATTCATGGGTTCAAGTGATCTTCCTGCCTCGGCCTCCCAAAGTGCTAATGTTACATGTGTTGAGTCACTGTACCTGGCCTTAACTTTCTTCCTTTGCTTGCTCTGTCAAGTAAAAATGTATTTTTCTCCATACCTTCCTTTGTGTGAGAATGTAGAAGTAGTTTGGTTTAGAACTGTGTGTTTTTGTTTTTGTTTTTTTTTAAGAGATAAGGTCTTGCTATGTTGCCCAGGCTGAACTCAAACTCCTGGGCTCAAACAATCTTCCCATTTCAGCCTCCTGGGTAGCTGGGAGTAGCTGGCGCTTACCACTGCACTCAGCCTAATGGTTAACTTAATATGTCAACTGGGCTAGGTTATGATACTTAGATGTTTGATCAAACACGAATCTACATGTTGCTGTGAAGGTATTTTTTGGATATGATTAACATTCAAGTCAGTAGACTTTGAGTGAAGTGGATTATCCCCTATAATGTGGGTGGGCCTCATTCAATCAGTTGAAGCACAAGTTTGAGGTCCCCTGAGAAAGAAAGGATTCTGCCTCCAGATAGGCTTCAGGTTTGAGAATGTAACATCAACACTTCCCTGGGTTTCCAGGCTGCTGGCCTACCCTGCAGATTTCAGATTTGCTATCCTTTGCAATTGCATGAGCCAATTCCTTAAAATAAATCCATCTTGCTCTCTCACTTTCTCTCCGTCTCATATATCTATATATATATACACACATCCTATTGGTCTTATTTCTCTGGAGAACCCTAATACATAATGAACTCTTTTGTGATGTAGAAAAACAATTGCATCTAAACAATGATATATATTTTGACCAGGCTCTCAGCAAATCTGGAATCAAAAGATGTGAGTATTGTAAAAAAAACTTGGAGGTAATTTGCTCAAATTTTTAAACTATACATTGTTAAAAATTATAATAATAAGAGCCAAATGATTCACGTGTATTATATATAATCTTCATAACAACCAAGGATAATATTATACAATTTTATATATGAGAAGATGAGGCTCAGAGAAGTAAGTAAGTTTTCCAAGATGCTTGTTGCTGAGTCTGTATTGGAATTCAATATTATTTGAATCAAGTTTATTGTTTATTAAATTAGATGGCTCTTTTTTAATGCAGCTTTTAAATGCTTAAATATTTTTGGTGATACAGAGGCCACTATATGAAGACTGTCCATAGATATATCTATATATTTAACATCTTTCTTAGAAAGGTCTTCCATTTTTTGAGCTGAACTTTATCATGTATTTTGCCCTCTATAGCTACATTTCATTATGTTAGCTCTTCATAGCTATTTTACACAAAACAGTTCTTTAAAAACAATTTTTTTTAATAGGAAACAATTTTCAGATTCCTTCCCTCCAGATTGCTTGTACTAATCTCTGGCTAGCTGTTTGGTGGTAAGTTCCAGCAACTATTTTAAAAGTTTGACTCTAGGCCAGGCATGGTGGCTCACGCCTGCAATCCTAGCACTTTAGGAGGCTAAGACCAGAGGATCACTTGAGCCCAGGAGTTCAAGACCAGCCTGGGCAACATAGGGAGACCATGTCTCTACAACAAATACAAAAAACAGCCAGGCATGGTGGTGCACACCTGTGGTCCCAGTTACTCAAGAGGCTGATGTGAGAGAATTGCTTAAGCCCAGGAGGCAGAGGCTGCAGGAGCTGTGATTGTGCCACTGCACTTCAGCCTGGATAACAGAGACCTTTTTTTAAAAAAAAAAGTTTGACTCTAGTATCTTCTACCTAGAGAACAATGAAATACTTTTCCCTCTTGTTTTAGATACTGTGCTATCTTAATGTAGTCTATGATTTACTAGCTTTCTAATGTAGTCTTCTGTCTCTTTTTTGTATATTCCTTTTTAAGGACTGGTCACTCATGTTTATATCTGTATGATAGATATTTGCAGGACTTTGCATTTATCCACATTAAAATTTATATGATTAGTTTCAACCTAATGATTAAGTCTGCCATGATATTTAAAATTGTATGTTCTGCCTTTTTCAATGCACAAGTTTGGTAATCATGCTCTGTTAACTTACAGAAAGTTTAGTTTAGACATGTTAAATTTAAATATTGGAGTAACATGCTGATAGAAAAATGTGATGAGACTGATGGGAGAAAAATAAGGTTTTGGGCTTTATTTGCATTGAAACCCTAGTTGAAATTGTTATTAGTAAATTCGTGTTATGAAAAAATCCATTAAAAAAAGGAGAACATCAAGAATTGATCTTTGAGAAACAATTACGTTTAAACATGAGAAAGCTCACTTCAAGTAGAGAAGAGAAAGAAAAAAATATTTAAGCATTGGAATCAGCTCTTTTCTGAAACATGGTAGGGGTTCAATAAACATTTTTAGAAGTAGAATCTGTGCAAGAAGGAAAGGAGGAAAGCTTTGAGAGGAAGGGAAAAAAACCCTCAAAATGATATAGCATTGAGAAAGAGTGCAGTCTACACTGTCAACAATTGCAGACAGATCAAGGAGAATGAGAAGTGATTTGGCAATCATAAAAAAGGTTACCAGTGACATCAGAAGTAGCAGCTTTAGCCAAATGTTTGAGAAAAAAGTCACAATAGGAAGTGTGGAGGAGTGAATTGATGATGAGGACGCAGAGGTTGAGTGCAGATTACTTTGTCCAGAAGTTTAGTGCTTTAAGAAAGCTATTGGCCATTTGCTCTGCAGAGCAGTGAGACTGAATAAGTAGAATCAAACGATTTTGTAGTTTGAGTAGAAAAATTCACTAGTAGGGAGACTGATGATGTTAGAGAAAGAGGAATAATTAAAGATATACTATCTTGGGAAAAGCAGCCGGGATTGGATAAAGAACTGAGCGGAGGTTGTGAGGATGAACGTATTTTCCACAGAGTAATCAGGGAAATGCAGGTGGATGGGTTAAAATTCTGTGTCACATTCAGGTCAAGATTAAGCTGTTACCAGGGAGACAGAAACAAAGTGATTAAAATTGGGTCAGGAGAACTTCAGTAGCTTGATAATGAAGCGGTAATGATGGGATTGTAGTCATGGTTGTCTCAAAATATGTTGAATTAGCATTGGGGAGTATATTAGTGTGCTAGGGTTGCTATAAACAACAGTATAGCACCCTGGGTGGCTTAAACAACAGAAGTTTGTTTTCTCACAATTCTGGAATCTAGAAGTTCAAGATCAAGGTGTTGGCTAGGTCAATCTTCTGAGGCCTCTCTTGGCTTGTAGATGGTCATCCTCTCCTTGTCTTCACATGATCTTTTTGCTGTGCGTGTGTCCTCAACTCATCTTCTTACGAAGACACCAGTTCTATTGAATTAGGGCCCACTCAGATAATCTCACTTTGTTTACCTCTTTAAAGGTCCTATGTTCAAATAGAGTCACATTCTGAGGTACTAGGGGTTAGGACTTTAACACATTAATTTTCCTGGGGGGCACAATTCAGCCATAAAAGAAAGAATGCAGTTAACAACAGACAAAAGAATTCCATTTCTTTGCTTTTCTTTCTTTCTTTTTTTGGAAACAGGGTGTTGCTCTGTCGCCCAGGCTGGAGTGCAGTGGTGTGACTGTGGGTCACTGCAGGCTCAAGTGATTCTCCCACCTCAGCCTCATGAGTAGCTGGGACTACAGGTGTGTGACACTACACCCAGCTAATTTTTCTTTCCTTTTCTTTTCTTTTTCTTTTTTTTTTTTTTTTTTTTGAGACAGGGTCTCTGTCACCAAGGCTGGAATGCAGTGGTGCAATCTTGGCTCACTGCAACCTCTGCCTCCTGGGTTCAAGCAATTCTTGTGCCTCAGCTTCCTGGGTAGCTGGGATTACAGGCATGTGCCACCATGCCTGGGTAATTTTTGTATGTTTAGTAGAGACAGGGTTTCACCATGTTGTCCAGGCAGGTCTCAAACTCCTGGCCTCATGTGATCGACCCGCCTCAGCCTCCCAAAGTGTTGGGATTACAAATGTGAGCCACTGCACCCAACCCAGAATTCCATTTCTTTATTTTCTTATGTAGATGAATATGTTGTGGGAGTAGAACTTCTTAAAACTTTAGTGTGTATGTTTGGCAGAACAATGGCCCTGAAAGATATCCACGTCCTAATCCCTGGAACCTGTGACTATGTTGCCTTACATGGTGAAAATAACTTTTAGATGTGAAAGGTAAAGATTTTGAAATGACGGGATTATCCTGGATAATCTGAATGAGCTTAATCTATTCACATTGATCTTTAAAGCAGAGAAGCTTTCTGGAAGTTCAGGGTCAGAGGGAGATGTGATTATGGAGGAATGGTCAGAGAGATGTGACACACCTGGCTTTGAAGATGGAGGAAGGTAGCAGTGAGAGAAGGAATGTGGGCAGCTTCCAGAAGCTAGAAAAGGCAAGGAAGCAGATTTTCCCCTGCAGGGTCTAGAAAGGAACGTAGCCCTGGGCACCTTGATTTTAGCTCAGTGAAACCTGTGTTGCACTTCTGACTTATAGACCTGTAACATAATATATTTGTTTTGCTTTAAATCACTAAATTTGTGGTAATTCATCACAGCAGCTCTAGGAAATTAATAGGATGTGAGTAGGAATCACCTGGCTGTCTGTTGAAAATGCCGATCCTGATTCAGTAGGTCCGGGGTGGGTCCTAGGAATCGGCGTTTCTAACAAGCTCCAACGTGATGAACCACTCCTGCTGGATTGTGAACCACATGTTGGGTAACAAAGTTTGAGGCTCATGTATTCAAACCTCCTCATATTACAGATTGAAGCTTAAAAGAACTTATCAAACATTATTCAGATGGATATTGATAGTGCTGTCTTGAACTCCCAGTGCAGTACTTTTCTCACTGCACACTGACCCACCACAAAAAAAAAAAAAAAAAAAAAAAAAAAAAAAAAAAAAAAAAAACCCGCAAAAGAAAAGCCCATCTGGCAAGGAGAAGTGCCAGTGCAGTGTTTTTGCCAGTGTTTGGAATAATTGGCTCCAGAGCCTCTGCGTGTTTATGGTGCCTGCTGAGGAGGTCTGCCTGACACTTAGCTGATACAAATTGTTGTTAATTACCAACACTTTAGTAGACCAACAGCTGTCCGCTATGAGCAACAGCCAATAATAGCCCTCTTGGTTCCTAGGGGTTTCTAAGTTCCTACGTGTCAGCAAATTCAAGAGAAAAATGCCAAGGCAAATGGGCCTTTTACTGTGACAATTTAACAGAGTAATTTTCAGGAGGAGGCTCAGAAACTGTAGATCTGTAGATCATCTGTAAACACAGAACTGTAAGCATGGAGGGAATGTTCCTAGGGACCTGAAGGATATGTCCTATGTTTATCTTGTTGCCCAAGGCTCTCTGTAATTATGTGAGAGCAGAAAGTCAGCTGATCTCCTGGCAGATGGCACTGGCAAAAGAGTTTGAGAAAAACTATCAAGCTTATTAAAAAGGATAAAGAACTTCCACATAGCATGCAACAAAAACCCAATGTGGAAATGAGAAAGGAAAGGGTTCTAGGAATGTGGCCAGATCTTGTGATGAGAAGTTGGTGAACAGGAGATTATAAGGAGAATGGAGGAGAAACTGCACAAGCGAAGCTACTTGGAAACCTCACACTCTACAGAACAATAGGAAGATTAATAGGCTCCAGAAAAAAGGTTCTCAAAAAACTTAGTCCATGAGTATCACATGAGGAGGAGTCTGCTAAAAATGCACATTCCTTGGATCCTACCCCTGAGATTCTTGTAAACCTTTTGTTATAGAAAATTCCAAACTTGCTGGGTGCAGTGGCTCTCGCCTGTAATCCCAGCAATTTGGGAGGCCAAGGCAGTTGGATCACTTGAGGTCAGGAGTTTGAGACCAGCCTGGCCAACATGGTGAAACCCCATCTCTACTAAAAATACAAAAATTAGCTGGGCGTGGTGGGACATGCCTGTAATCCCAGCTACCTGGGAGGCTAAGCCAAGAGAATTGCTTCAACCAGGGAGGTGGAGGTTGCAGTGAGCTGAGGTCATGCCACTGCACTCCAGCCTGGGTGACAAAGCAAGACTCTGTCTCAAAAAAAAAAAAGAAAAAAAGAAGATTCCGAACTTACATGAAAGTAGAGAGCATACTATGTGGAACCCCACACACTCATGCTCAAACTCAGTCATTCCTTTGTAGGGGGATGTTGTGTGCATTGCGCAATGCTTTGCAGCAACCCTGGCCTTTATTCACTAGATACCAATGGCACTGCCCCTTTTCCATTTGTGACAACCAAAAGTGTCTCCAGATATTGCCAAATATCCCCCAATGTACAAAATCCCCGATGGAGAACCTCTGGTTTAGAGTATAGAATGGCCTTTAATTTACTCAAATTAACTTATCTGAGACTAAGCAATGAGACTAAATGATAGAATAAAATTGATATAAGTAAGCCAATGCTAGAAATAAAAATTGACTTCAAATTTGAGCAACAAAACTCCTCCTCATAATTATTTTATTTTCAGGGACAAATTAAAGACCCAAACTGAGTGTTTTAATCATTTATGGCTAAACTTGTAGAAATTAAAGATTATGGTTATTTTCTGTTCTGTGTCAGTCAGAGGGGTCTCAGTCAGATGCCGGAGTATGTGGGAGTCCTGCAGCTGAAGACTCTTTCAGTGCATTAGCTGAAATCAATTGCATTAAGCCAACCTCATGCCTCCTATGTGCCCTTCTTGTAGAGAGTCTGAAAAGTTAACAGAACCCTTAAGGCTATCACAGCCCTTGCCCCACACTCATAAACATGAACATTCTCTAGTATCCAATAAATGGTAAAATAAAGATTCATGTTATTATCATCACCCAAGGACCACAGTGGACACTGACGACTTTCTAAGTGGAAACAGGTCTTTCAGACTTGGAAAATCTTCTTGGCTTCACTCTCCGAAGCATGCTGGTTGGTCTATGTCAGTTGTCTAACTCAACCTGTGACTTAAAATTTGACAGGGAGACTTCCATAAAGATATTAATTAAGGCATTTATTATATTTTGGGGAAACAATCCCCTAATTCAACTGCCTTCTTTTTGGAAGGGCAAGTGAGGAAAGGGAGACATGCATAGGAAACCAGGTGGCATCCTGATTCACCAGGTTCTTATCTGAGATTCTTTTTTCCCCATGTTGCATGTTTAAAAAATATTCTTCACTTCTAGTTTTTTTTTGTTTTGTTTTGTTTTTTGAAGCTTGTATTCCTGGCATCCCTGAATTGAAAATAAGACTGTTTAGTGGGACAATTGCCACACTCTCTATTGAGCAAGTTGCCACTCCTCATTCATAGCAAATTTCATACCCAAGCATTTCTTGTTTCACAGGCCCCTCTCTAGTTCCTGTATTTCTCCATGTTACCTGCTGCCATTGCATTTTCCTTTGGGAATCCTCGGTTCCATGCTATACACTTTGTCAGAACAGTTACCTTTGCAGCCCGGGCCATCACATGTTGTGATGTCTCTGATGTCATGTGTCTCTGAGGTGCCAAACACACACCTACATTTTTTTCTGAGTTTTTCCTCTGAAATTTGAACATTTGATGTTCTTGCAGAAACTCCATCTTATATTTATTCTTAATGTATGAGTATTATTACATTACGTTTTGGAGTGTTTCTGATATCCAAAACACATTGGAAGCCTTTGCTTATGAGTTTTCTGATGCTTTTTTTCCCCTGTCTTTAGCATAGATGATACATTTTGACAAGCCCTTGATATTGAAATCTTATTTTGCTGGCTCAGAACATACATGAAATTTGCAACTTGTCAAGACTTGAATTTATTGCTGCATTCTCTCAGCTCTGCCACCCCTCCCCACCCCAAGATACTTGCAGACAAGCAGTTTAAAGGCTACAAGGTGGGACCAAGAAATTGATGTTGGCTGGGGAGGAGTAGTGAGTGTCAGATTAAATTCATATCAAGAACTCATCAAAATTTACCTGTCCATGGACACATTGTAGGAGAAAGAAATAAAGAACAGTAAGGAATGACATTTATTATAGCTAATATTTTATAGGAACAGAGTTAGCTTGCTATTTTGGCATATTTGCACAGATAGAAGAGAATACAGCAGTTAAAATAAGGGAAATAGGGATATACAATGATTTTAATACCACCTAAGTTTGTTTTTTCTTTTTGAGACAGGGCCTCACTCTGTCACCCAGACTGGACTGCAGTGGTACAATTGAGTGGGACAGGGGTCCCCAGAGAAACTCCAACCGGGCCCTGCACTGGGAGGAATGCATACAGGGGTGGAGCCACGGAAGTTCGCACCATTTGCAGCAGGGAGGAGCCTGGCCCCTCCTCTTCCTGGGTGGAACCTGGGATTCAATCACTGGGGCGGGAAGCATACACGAGAAGGGCTCTTGCTCTACTGAGTCCCCTGTTTTTCCTTTTTGCCCAATAGATCCCATTATTCTCACCCTTCAAATTGTCTGCGAGCCTAATCTTTTGTGGCCGTGTGACAAGGACTCCATCTTTAGCTGAACTAAAGATAACTTCTGCAACATAATCTCAGCTCATTGCAGCTTCGACCTCCTGGAGCTCAAGCAATCCTCCCACCTCTCAGCCTCCTGGGTAGCTGGGACCACAGGCACCTGTCACCATGCCAGGCCAAGTTTTGTATTTTTTGTAGAGATGGGATTTTGTCATCTTGCCCAGGCTGGTCATGAACTCCTGGGCTTAAGCAATCCCCCTGCCTTGGCCTCCCAAAATGCTGGGATTGCAGGCATGAGCCACTGCGTCCAGCCTTCCACCCAAGTATTTTAATGTCACATTGAAAACTACTAGCAATAACCTCATAGGCCAGGTGTGGTGGCTCATGCCTGTAATCCCAGCACTTTGGGAGGCTGAGGTGGGAGGATCACTTGAGGCCAGGAGCCTGAGAACAGCCTGGGCAACATAGCAAGACACTGTCTCTAAAGAAAAATTAAAAAAAAAAAAAACAAAACTAGCCAGGCATCGTGAGGCACAGCTGTAGTCCCAGCTACCTGGAATGCTGAGATGGGAGAAATCACTTGAGCTCAGGAGTTAGAGGTTGCATTGAGCTATGATGATGCCATTGCACTCCAGCCTGGGTAACAGAGTGAGACCTTGTCTCTACAAAACCCATAAATATATATAATGTTTATGGCTTCCAAGGGGTTAGATGAAAAAAAAAACCTTCCTCATGCTTCTGTTTGTTGAACAATTTTTTGGCTCATCTGAATATTTATTTTGTTTATTTGGTAGAAATGTTCACCGCTAAGACAATATGCAATGAGTAACACACTGAGAATTATATCTTTTTTTTATGTATTTTTAAAGGAGTGACTTGATCATCTTTTTTTGTCTTTTCCTTTCTAGAAGTGTATGTATTATCATTTGAATAAAATTCTCATTTAAGTAAATAATATTACAAAAGCTGTCTCATGCCTTGTACCTAGGTATATATTGATATGTAAGGTATTTTAGTGTAATAAAAAATAACAGTTTTCATTGTAGAACTCAAGAGGTGAGATAGATATTTGCTTATACCTCTTAGACAACTGACACAAATCTTACACATTGGTTCTCTGTTTGGTGTGGAGAGTTTAAAGAGGGAGAGAAGGACTAATGCTTTATCAGTTAGGATGCTTTTGGTTGGAAGCATCTGAATATAAATTTAATCTGACTAAACAATAATGGATTTTATTCACTCATATAAACATACATGCCGTAAGATTTAGTCATAGTTTAATCAGGGTTCTAGCAATATTTCTCTTTTCTCTCAACTTTGAATCATCAGTGTCACATTATCCTCAGGCCGTCATGCCTCATGCTTTCAAGATGGCTGACAATAGCTTCTGGGGAAATGTGCTTTCAGTTTACATTCTGTGAGAGGCAGAGAAAAGAGTTTTCCATTACTGCTTCTTAGGAGTAAGAGGAATCTTTTCCGGAAGTATTCAGCAACCTTCTCTTCCTCATAACTGAATGGCCAGAATCAGACCATTCTGAATCAGTCACCAACAAGAGAAATGAGATTATCCTTAGATGGATCAGGCCTGTCCCTTGAATTAAGAATAAGTCCCCAAATTGTATAACTGCTACTCATTGGGAGCAAATTGAAATGGATATTGGGGGGTCAATACAATATTCACTAAAAATGTCTTTCTTGAATCGGATTATAGAAATCTAAAAAAGTGAATTTTTAAGTAGGAAGAATCTTCATTGAAAAAAGCAACTTTTCACCTATGAGTTTACCGAAGAAAGAAACTTGCTTGGGGTCAATTTACTCCTATTTGGTAACTCAGTTTTCTAGTCTGCTGGAGCAATGGTATTCAAATTGTAATGTTCTCAATAAAATCTTCAGTCTGCCCCCCAAGTTAGAAGTTAGAACTGGCATGGTAGCCACTGAGTCCTAAGGACTTACTGCTTTCATGACCCCAAGAAATGGAGAGGACTAACCTTGCTGAGAGAGCATGCAGTCCCTAGGAGTCAGGGATATGTTGTGGTAGATGATGGATTCATATCTTTTTTAAGCTCCATGTAAGAAGATTCTACACCTCTATCCCATTGAGTTAGAGTTTGTGATATAAGTTGCTTTGGGTAATAGAATATAAGTGGAAGCAACATATGGAGTGTCTAAGCAGATGCTTTATGAGGCATTGTAAAGCTGCATAAAACCTCTCTTCACTTTGCCATAAAAATGACGTGTTCCAAAGTGGGGCATCTTCAACCTAAGTCTCAGAATAAGCAGGCACATGGAACAAAACAGCAGGCAACCCAGGGTTGCCAACATGAAAGGTGGGTAAGAAATAAACCTTTGTTGTTGTAATTCACTGAGGTTTGGGGGAGATAAGACAGATTGTGTGTTCTGTAGTATAATTTACAAAAGTTGGTTTTAATATCGGTTTGGCTACAAGAAAAAAAAAATCTGTGTTATCTTAGATCAGACTATTTTCACCTATAAAATGTAAAAAAGAAAGAAAGGTCTCAGACTATATCCAGGATGCTTAACATTTTGACTGCCAAACCCAAATTCTCTAAAACCTTTGTCAACAAATTAAATTGAATATTTTAGAGAAAATATCATATTTCATGTTTTTTAAATAAAGAGATTAGTAACTTTAAGTCAGCATGAGATAAACCATGTTCTCATGATAAATATATGATTCTTGCCAAAGGAAGAATCTTCACTAGCCTAAACTACCCCATTGCAAATGTATATGTAATTTCTGAGTCTTTTTAATATACAGAAAATAGCTCCATTAATCCTTACCATTTTGACTTCCTAATGGGGTCTAAAATGTCTCTTTTCTAACACTAACATTCTATTTTGTACTATAGTACTACAGTTACTTTCTTTTCTTTTTTTTTTTTGAGACAGAGTCTTGCTCTGTCACCCAGGCTGGAGTGCAGTGGCTCAATCTCGGCTCAGTGTAATCTCCGTATCCTGAGTTCAAGCAATTATCCTGCCTCAGCCTTCTGAGTAGCTGGAATTACAGGCATATGCCGCCATGCCCAGCTCAGGTATTTTTTGTGAAAATGGGGTTTCACCATGTTGGCCAGGCTGGTCTTAAACTCCTGGCCTCAGGTGATCCACCCGCCTCGGCCTCCCAAAGTGCTGGAATTACAGGCATGAGTCACCACGCCCAGCCTTATTTTGTACTATAGTTTCTTTTTCTTTTGCCTAATTTTAAGTACCAAATCTGATAAGTGATTTAATTTAAATGTAAGTATAGTTACATTGCTACAGTTCTAGGGATTTTGTTAAGTAGATACTTTTCATTTTCTAGTTTTATGTAACAAAATAAGAAAAATTTAATTCTTTCAAAAATAGGAAAACAAACATAATTTACAAGGGTAATTGGACCACAGCACACAGACACATACATACACACACGTGCTGCCACCACCTCCACCACTACACATCTAAAACTATCTTTTGTTAATGGGACTTTCACTGATCTTGTCCTACAGATATGTTTGGATAATATCTCTTGTATAAGGACACCTGTTTTTTGCTTGCTTGTTTTTACAGTGTTTAAAATAAAGGACAGAAAAATAGCATATGAAAACCAATTCAAAACGAAACATAAATGAAGACTTTCTCTTGATTAGGGTACACTGGAAGCTGCCATGCTTGTTCCAACATGGGTAACATGGGAGCACTGAGGCCTCATAACTGGACTCTTGGGAGTGGAGAAATAACCACCAGATCAGGTTAGAAGAAGACAACTAATTATATACAAATCTATGGAAGATAGTGGGAAAGACGAAGAAACAAAGCATGAATAAATGCTTTATAGCTTATGCAAATTTTAAGTGTTTTCTCTGAATAGTTGTTTAGGCCAATAATAGATATTAGTAACTTAAATGCCCTTATAAGCAGAGGACATTTTATATTCAAGGTTCCAATTCATTTTTTAAGTACATTTAAAATGCTAGAGATGTGAATCAAACACATTATCCCATTTTTTGTCCCAAATACTCTAATACATAAACATGTGAATCTGTGTTTGATCTACATGTGGCAAGGGTAAGAGATGGGGATGGTGGAGAAACAGCAGAAACAGCTGTAGGGAGATAATTCTATTAAATTTTGCATTAGCAAACCAGGCTCTATTTCAGAAAATCCTGATAGTAAATATCTTTACCACTGCAAACTTATGTCTCTATTTTTAAGTGACATTTTAAGCATCTAACATCTGTACACTGAGTTTTATTACAAACAGCAACATTTAGACAAATTAAACCTAACTAAAATCAACATTTATATTACCATGTTCAGTTTCAAGAGCAGCAAACAAGTTGGAAGTCCTAATGAGACAATATCTGAGAGCTTATTACATCACTACGCATACATGTGGGCGCAGAGGAAATGGCTGGGACATTTCGATGGTCAAATGTTCGATGTGTTTATACTCAGCCAGATAGTGATTTTCTAACTTCGTATGGATTATAAACAAACAGCAAATAACTCTCTAACGGGGTGCAGTATTTTGTGAAGGTCAGCAGAAAGCTAGCCTTGAATGAAAATGAGGAAAACATGTGTTTTGTATTTAGCAAAGTCACATTAATTAATATTTAAAATAACTACAAATTAACTTCTTATCAACCAGGCCTCCTGAACAAGCAGGGAGTTTGCATTACTGGATAGGGATGGGGGTTTCTGGAGATCTCTGCCAAAATTGGGGCTGGACTGGAACCTGAGGTTCTTAAATTCTCACTAATAGTTTTCAGGAGAGAATCTGGAGTTGAAAGTCCAAGTCGTCATTCCAGCCAAAGGGTCAATCTGGAGAAACTAGGCACAGAAAGAGGAATTAGACATGAGGCAATGATTTAATCAAAGGCACGTAGACTCAACAAAGGGGTTTCTGGCAATATTCTGTGAGATGTAGATGCTGGTGTTCTATAACCTCTGACTACACTGTAGATGATGAAGAAGCTAGTTGTTAAGGTGCCAAGGTGGTTTGTTGTAAACCAGAAGTTGCAAAATGTTATGTTTTGCATATTTGATCCATTTGTTTGATCCATATAGTACTTCTCCAAAAAGTGATTTAAAGAAATTTGCATTAATTGTCAACATTTATCACGAAGATATTTTGTCTGTGTATCTTGACTTACAAATTTTCTGAAAATATTAGAAGATTTAGCATTACCAAACATGCTGGCATGCAGAGTATCCATAACCTTGTGCTGAGTTGCTCCTGCCTCTTGCAATGGACATGCACTCGCCTGTTCCACGAGTCCCCAACAATCCCCACTCTAATAGATGGCAGACTATTACCATCATACTTTTACCTTTTACCATCATACTCGTTTTGTTGTTTTGCTTGCAGCGGAATTAAGACAAATCTGAGATACTTCTTAAATCTGTTCTGTGTTTTTAATTTTTTTTCTTTTTAACTCCCACTCATGACAACATATTCTATTTTTTAAATATAAGATTGAAAAGATTTTTAATTTTATTTGCAGATATGGCATCTTGTTGTGTTTCCCAGGCAGGTCTTGAACCCTGGCCTCAAGCAGTCTTCCCACCTTGGCCTCCCAAAGTGCTGGGATTACAGGTGTGAGTTAACATGCCCAATCTTCATAAACATTTTTAAAGCCTTTTATTAGAAAACATTTCAAACATATAGAAAACGAGATAAAATAGTTCAATAAATCCTCACTTTCCTATTTCACAGATTTAACTAGCATTACTCAAGTCCAGTCTTGTTTTTCTATGCCCCCTCCCTACTACTTTCCAACATACTTTTAAAGCAAATTTTGGGCATCCTATCATTTTGTCTGTAAATACTTGAGCATGTAACAAGAGAGATAGGGACTCTTTTATAAAACCTAACTGCACAGCCATTCATTATCAAACATAAACATTAACAATAAGTATTTAATATCATCAAATACTCAGGGTGCTCAAATTTGCAGTTGTTTTATATATGTATATGTATTACAGTTTGTTTAAATCAGCATTTGTATCTATTTATATATATTTTATAGTTTAAGTCAGGATTAAAATAAAGTCTATACTAGGTAGTTGGTTGATATATCTTTTAAACCTCTTCTAATATATAGCTTCTCACTATTTCTCTCCCCGACCCCTAGCAGCTGTAAATAAACCAGTTTGGTTGTTTTGTGGAATTTTTTACAGTCCAAGATTTGCTGATTACCTCCCCATGGCGTAATTTAGCATGGTCCTCTATCATCTGCATTTCCTGTAAATTGACTTGAAGTTTTTAGAAATAATATTTTATAGGTAGTAGAGTGTCCTCATTAGTATTTTAGTTTGCAAACCTTGGTCTAAACTAATTCTAAATCATCAATATATTGTTCTAATGCAGAAGTATTATACAACAGGGTACAAAATAAATGACCTGAGTTACCTTATAATAAGGGAAAGAAAGCGAGGAAATAATTTATAATTATGAATGGTTTTATTTACACATCTCAGTCTGAACTCCAATTTATAAATAGCAGAATCTTGTAGACATTGTGGATTCACTTGTGAAATAAACCATGTGCATGATGTCCAGGAGTAATTGCTTTATTTACTTTGAATTTCAAAGGATACCTCTTTTGAGATTATCCATGTGGAAACACCCAATGAAATGATTTAAAACTAAAGGGATGATGTATTTACCTGAATTTTTTGATTTCAGGATAGGAAGATGAAATGAAAACTAGCATTTATTGGCTAAAACATGCTAAGATGTTTCAAATGCATTATCTCATTTGATTATTACAATAACTCTCTTAGGTTGTATTATCTCAATTTTTTACTGAAGGAAATACAATTTGTAATTCCAAAAGTTACATAAAAAAACTCCAGACTTTTTCTACTATAACATTTTAAGAAACCAAAAGTAAGAGGGAAAATGCATGGAGGGGAAAAAATGTTTTCTTAGTCATCAAAATGAGTATCACAGAATTTCTGGGTCCATTTTGTGTAAGGAAATCCAACCCAGGAAATTGATTTATTTTTTTTCATTCTTAATAAAATATATTATACCAAGGGAAATATAAATATATTATACCAAGGGAAAGGTTACTATACCATAGTAACCAGGAGAGGCTAGGCATTGCAGCAATAACCAGTTAATCCTGAAATCAGTGGCTTAACCTAAAGGTTTGTTTGTCTCTCACTTCTGCAGGTCGATTGTAGGTCAATAGGAGGAGGGAATGAAAGAGGTCTGTTCCACGTAGTTGCTCAGGGACTAGTCATCTCAGTGATGAGGCCTCTCCACTTGTAGCTTGTCATAGTCTGTTTGCGTTGCTATAACAAAATATCAGAGACGGGATAATTTATAAAGAATAGAAATTTATTTCTTATGGTTCTGGAGGTCAGGAAGTCCAAGATCAAGGGGAGAGCATTCGGTGTCTCGTGAAAGCCTTCTTGCTGAGTCTTCACATAGTAGAAGAGTGGAAGGGCCAGAAAAGGGTCTGGTTTCCTGGAGCCCTTTTACAGTATAGTAATCCCATTTATGAGGGCTCTACCCTCATGTCTTAATCGCCTCCCAAACGTCCCACCTCCTGCTACTATCACATTCGGTCTGAGGTTCCAATATATAAATTTAAATACATTCAAACTATAGCATAGCTACACCTAGAATAAGTGACATTGGAGGTATCTGCAGAAGGGGAAGACAGAACTTACATCCACAATTAAATGTCTAGGACTAGAAATGACACAGATCACATAAGTTTACAGCCCACTGACCAAAATTAGACAAATAGCTTCATCTAACTATAAGGGAGCTAGGAAGTATAATTCTCCATGTGCCCAGGAAGGCAAAGAGATTGGTTATGCTTTTCTTGAGTCAGACTCCCTGGAAACATACTGAGATGAAGATTTGGATGCAGTAAGTGTGTTATAAGGTTTTCTCAGAAACACCTGTAAGGGAATGAAGGAAGCAGGTTTGAAAAGAGGGAGAGATTGAATTGTGCTGCACTTTCAACAGAGGCCAAGGTGATGTTTTAGGGAGCTGGGGATCTGAGATTTCTCTTCAAAGTTGTTCTAAATTAAGAAAAGGTGGCAAAGTCTATGTATTATACCATCTAGTCATTGCATACAGGTTGCCCCTAGCTTCAAGGTTTTTTTTTTTTTTTTTTTTTTTTTTTTTGAGACCAAGTCTTGTTCTGTCACCCAGGCTGGAGTGCAGTGGCCTGATCACGGCTCACTGCAACCTCTGCCTCCCGGGTTCAAGCGATTCTTTTGCCTCAGCCTCCCAAGTAGCTGGGACCACAGGCAAGCGCCACCATGCCTGGCTAATTTTTGTATTTTTAGTAGAGACAGGGTTTCACCATATTGGCCAGGCTGGTCTCAGACTCCTGACCTCATGATCCACCTGCCTCAGCCTCCCAAAGTGCTGGGATTACAGGGGTGAGCCACCGTACCGGGCCCCTAGCTTTAAGTTTAATGAGATTATAATTTGTTATCTGATAGTTACTATCTATAAAGCACATTTAATAGGTTAAATCATATTAATGTTAATACACCAGATCAATCTAATTTACTTCAAGTTGTATTTTTTTTCTTCTCATTTGGTGAGAGATTTGGAAGCTGTAATTATATTTGCTTTAAGTCACTAAGGAATTATAAGATAAAAATTCCTTATTAAAATTTTACCATTGCATATGTTGCAAAAGATAATTTTTATTTTATGAACATTAAGTTTTCAAATAAATAGTTTCATCCTCTAAGGAAAGACTGATAGATCAGTTATTTCTAATCCTAGAAATTCCAACTCAAGACAACCGAGAAATTGTCATCTACATGTGATGTCATTATTTGTCTTTTTGCTTTTACTTCTAAGGCATGCTGTGATATTAGTAATGAGGAGTATATTACCACAGCAGATGTTTAAGAGAGAAAAATGCCGCAGGTCTAGTAAAATATTTCTTAAGGTTTGGAAATTTTTTTTTCTTTTTTGTATTTATTATTTTGTATATAACTATGGAAATGTAAAGAAGAGTAGAAGGCAAGATAAATAGTTTTTTTAAAGTGTGATTCATAGATTCTTATTCCATATTCATGTCCAATAAATTATTTTCTACTCCCAAGAAGAAGCAGAAGAAAATCCTTATTTAAATAGCTTTTTTTTTTTTTTTTTTTTTTTTTCTGAGACAGAGTCTCCCTGTGTCACCCAGGCTGGAGTGCAGTAGTGTGATCTCGGCTGACTGCAACCTCCATCACCCAGGTTCAAAGGATTCTCTTGTCTCAGCCTTCTGAGTAGCCTGGGTTATAGGTACTTGCTGCCATGCCCAGAGAATTTTTGTATTTTTAATACAGACAGGATTTCACCACATTGGCCAGGCTAGTCTCGAACTCCTGACCTCAAGTGATCTGCCCAACTCAGCCTCCCAAAGTGTTGGGATTACAGGCGTGAGCCACCGCGCCCAGTCCAGTATTTTGAAATATATAAAACTTAGGTAACGTTGTGGTTTGGCTGAGAGATTTACTGTGAAATGGCCACAATTTATTACATTGTAGTTCTCTTAGGAAATTATTTTTCTCTTTTACTGTATTTGCTTTATGCAAATGCTTGAATGAGTTTATGAACATGGTCAGCCAATTTACATCAAGATCTGCACTGCCAGTAAGGTAGCCAATGGTCACATGTAGCTATTTTTTTTCTTTTTATAATTTCAACTTTTATTTTAGATTCAGTTACATGTGCATGTGTGTTATATTGTGTGATGCCAAGGTTGGGGATACCAATGGTCCTGTCATCCAGGTAGTGAACATAGTACCTAAAAGGTCATTTTTCAAACCCTTGCCCCCTTCCTTCCCTCCCACCTCTAGTAGTATCCAGTGTCTATTTTTGCCATCTTTATGTCCATGAGTACCTAATGTTTAGCACCCACTTATAAGTGAGAACATGTGGTATTTGGTTTTCTGTTCCCTCATTAATTCACTTAGAATAATGGCCTCCAGCTGCATCCATGTTGCTGCAAAGGACATGATTTCATCATTTTTATGGCTGTGCAGTATTCCATGGTATATATATATATATATATATATATATATATATATATATATATATACTGCACAGCCGTGTGTGTGTGTGTGTGTGTGTGTGTGTGTGTGTGTGTTTCACATTTTCTTTATCCAGTCCACTGTTGATAGGCACCTAGGCTGATTCCATGTCTTTGTTATTGTGAATAGTGCTGCAATGAATGTATGAGTGAAGGTGTCTTTTTGGGAAAATGATTTCATTGCTTTTGCATATATGCCCAGTAATGAGATTGCTGGTCGAATGATGGTTACTTCTGTTTTAAATTCTCTGAGAAATCTTCAAACTACTGTCCACAGTGGCTGAGCTAATTTACATTCTCACCAACAGTGTGTAAGTGTTCCCTTTTCTTTGCAGCCTCACCAGCATCTGTTGTTTTTTGACTTTTTAGTAATAGCCATTCTGACTGGTGTGATATGGTATCTCATCGTGATTTTGGTTTACATTTCTCCAGTGATTAGCTCTTTTTTCTTTGAGACAGGTTATCGCTATGTTGCCCAGGTTGGACTGAAATTCTTGAACTTAAGTGATTCTCCTGCCTTAGCCTGCTGAGTAGCTGGGACTACAGGCAAGCACCACTACGTCTGGCTCATGTGTAGCTGTTTAGCACACATGAAATGTGGTTAGTCTGAATTGCGATATACGTGGAAAATACACTCTAGATTTTGAAGACTTACTATGAAAAAAGGAATATAAAATATCTCATTAATTTTTTATTGATTACATCTTGAAAATGATATATTGGGTTACATAAATTATTAACATTAATTTGACCTGTTTGTTTTCTTTCTTTATGTGTCTATTAGAAAATTTAAAATTATATATGTGACTTGAGTTCATGGCTCTTGTATTTCTATTAGACACTGCAGTCTAGATGCTTTAGTGTTTTCTCTTTTGTTTTCTTTCTTTTTTGCCCACACTCACTCATTCACTCTCTCATACACGCAAACAGCTAGATGCTTTGGATTTTTCTTCAATTCTTTCTTATGAAAGTCTTCAAATAAGTTGAAACAATTTTATGGTGAGCATCTATATATTCTGCAACCAACATTTTATTATACTTGTTTTATCACTTATCTAACCATCTAGCCATTTTTCTATTCATCGAACAATCCATCTTTTTTTTAATGTGTTTCAGTTATGTTGCAGACACCATTATACATTCCTCTAGATACTTCAGCATGTAGACACTTTAGCTTTGGACTCTATTAAAAATTGAAAATCCCTTTAGCCACGTTTCTTCTTCTTTAGATTTGATTGTCTTGGTGTAGAGAGGCATAAACAGACTAAATGTATCAAATTGGGTTTAATAAATCTTCTGAGTAAAAGGAACATTTAATCTCTGTTGACATTAAAGCAAAGATCGAGATTACTCAGCAAAGATTTGGAAATCCTATAACATTAAATACAAATTAGAAGAAAAATACAAAAAAACCTGCTTTCTTCATAGCAAGAAAAGAGGCAGAAGATCCAGTCTGAGTTCCATGCCAACTGTGTGATTATGGGATGGTCATATAACCTCTTTGAACTCCTGCTTTCAATATAATGCTTGTCTCACAAGCATATAGAGATTATAGGAAGCAATGTGTGTAACTGACCTACTGGTGTTTCTGGCAAATACCAACTTTTAAATGTAAACTTAACTGGAAATCAATGCAAAATATTTGCAATATTATCTGGTAGGTGAATCAGAGGATCTTTGGCTATGTAGAAATATCTTTAAAAAGAAAAATGATTATTCTTGTAGAATGTTCGTTGTTTACAAACATACTCAGGAAGACACGTTATGTAATACTCTCAAAAGAAAGGTCTATTTGTCTCCTCTTCGTTTTACTTATAAATCTCTTAAATCACTGACTTCTGCCAACATTTACAGGATTGAACTTCCCAAACAATTTGCACTTGTGCTTGTGCTCAGATTGTAGACTCTAAGAGAAAACATGTTTACTCAATTGTTGGTGATTCACTAACAGATGATGTGCTGGTTTAAAGGCCAGTACAGTCAAGGAATAGAAAATAAAATCTTAGTCAAGGAATAGATAGCTGTGTTTTCTACTTTTTGTGTATAGCTATATTTTCAAACTATTAAATATCCTTTAAAAGTTTTATTATATTTAAAACTTTTTATTTGATCAAGGCAACACATGCACATACTTTTTAAAAAGCTTAACACATAAAACCAGAGGTCCTTTCCCTTTATAGCTCCCTTGCCCTTATTACTGCTGCATAAAGGCAACTATTTTCAACTTTGAAAACAATTTTATAGTGTTTATTTAAATATTTATTTTGCCTTTTTAAAAATAATAATCTACTACTTTTTCTAATTATAGAGACAGAGTCTATCTGTGTTGATCAGAGTGATCCTTGAACTCCTGGCCTCAAGCAATCCTCCTGCCTTGGTCTCCCAAAGCGCTGGGATTATTGGTGTGATCCACTGTGCCTGGCCTACTTACGTATTTCTAAATATTGTACAAGTATTGATGGTTCCTGGTTCATTCAATTTAGTTATTTTATATTCACCTCTTTAAAAGAAGGTAGAGATTTTAGTTCTTTTACATTCCCCTTATCTATCCCCACATCTGCCCAATAGTTAGAACGTAATTTTAAAAATCCTTAGTTAAAGGAGTTGCTATGGTTATGTAATTTTTTTTAAATTGTGAAGCCAAATAGTATAGGTATGAGCTTGATTTTTACACTTTTACATATTTCTGAAGTTAATTCTCATTTCATATTTTTTCATTTATTTCATTTCTTTGAACCAGGAGCTAAGTTTTCTACCCCTTCCAGTAGTTCTGCAAAATGCTTCTCATAGATTTCTACAATTTAATCTTGCCAAAATAATCTTTTTTTTGTTTTTGTTTTGTTTTGTTTTGGAAGACATTTCTCTTGAAACCATGTGTCCTCCTACTCCAGTTTGGACCAATGGCTCTCTAGGCATGCCCTAAACTTTGGAATTTCCTTCATGTCTTTTCTCATGTTTGACCTCAATTTCTTAAGACTCAGGCTTTCTTCCCTTTTGGTTTAATCACACACTTTAGTAGAGAACTTTTTCTGAGAGCTTCTTGAAAAAAACATAAAGAAAAAATAATTTTTTTTGAGTTTTTGAATCTTTAAAAAAGTATTTTATCTTACCTTTGGTTAGTATTTGGTTGTCTATAGAATTTAGGATTGAAAGTCATTTTCACTAAGAACTTTAAAGGCATAGTCTTTGTCTTCTAGCATTTAATGTTACAATTGAGAAGCCCATTCTTCGTCCTTTTTATGTAATTTTATATTTTTAAAAGTTTGAAAGCTGTTAAGATCTTCTTTTCAAACTTAAATTTTTGAGATTTCATAATAAAATGCACAGTCATGAGTCCTACTGTACCCCATTAATTTCACTGCGTATTATTTTTATCCATTTTGAAAAATATTCTTTTCTGTCTTTCTTTGATGATAGTTTTCTTCCCACTTTTATTATTATTATTATTAACTCATTTTGGGATAGATATTTGTTGAATGTGGGATATTTTGGATCAATTCTCCATTTTTTTCTTTTGCTTTCCTACTATTTATTGTTTTGGGCCTTTTAATTATATTTTCTAGGAAAACAGACTTCATGTTGTAACCCATTTGTTGAATATTTTATTTGGAGGTATAATTTTTACTTTTCAAGACAACCCTTTTATGATTATTTGTTTTATGGTTATTTCTATTTTTCTCTTTCTTTCACTTTCCTTTCTTTTTTCTTTTCTTTCTTTCTTTTTTTTTTCTTTTTTTGAGACAGGGTCTTGCTCTGTTGCCCAGGCTGGGGTACAGTGGCATCATCTTGGCTCACTGCAACCTCTGCCTCCCTGGTTCAAGTCCTCCCACCTCAGCACCCACACCCCTACCCCTGACCCCGAGTAGCTGAGACTACAGGTTCACGCCATGCCACCATGCCTGGCTAATTTTCTAATTTTTTTTTTTTTTTTTTCAGAAATGGGGTCTCTCTATGTTGCCCAGGCTGGTCTTGAACTCCTGAGCCCAAGCATTCCACCAGCCTTGGCCTCCCAAAGTGCTGGGATTACAGGCATGAGCCACTGTGCCTGGCCATGAATATTTTTATTTTCATCATTGTCTTTTATGTTTAATGTTCTCAGTATATATTCAGAAGTGGAACACCAATCGATAAAGGGCTTGGCAGATCTTTGTATTGGGGCAGGTTGCCCATTGGACTGGTGGACCTATATGATTTTTTAAGAGTGGGTTAGTGTTCCTAGAGGATAATCCTCCAGATTCCTGCTTTAAGATTATGTCTAGCAGCTGGCATTTGAGGGCTGAGTAGTTCTGGGAGCTGTTTACTTCACAATTCAGCGTGTAGGTTTTTACTAAATCCATATCATTTCTCCCATTAACACCCAGAAACTAAGTCTAATATCTTACTCCAGAATTGCTTTGGATTTGTTTTTCAACTCTGAAAGACTTCAGGTTAAACTTCTTAAAAAAATCAATTCTTGCAGTGTACCTAGTTACCTAATAGCACAAAGATGGGACAAACTGAGGGTCTTACTGCTCCTTTCAAAGATTTGCAAATATTACTGCTGTTTTGAAACCCCTTACATGCTCACCTTCAGAGATACCTGATACTTCCAATTGCTGAAACTTTCAGGGGACCTGAACAACAAACTAGATTACTTTGCATCAGGATATATATATATATTTTGTCCCAAGCACTTGGATTTGGACTCTTTTGCTTCTCCTAAGAAATATTCCATCTTTTCATCTGCTAGGTTTATAATCTATTGTGGATGCAGTTACAAATGTCTTCTGGTTTCATTAAAGAAGGAATTTGTGCTTCAGTTTCTTGTTCTCTTGGATTTTGTTTTCTTTGTTTGGTATATTTTTTAGTGCAGGGGAAGGGATGGAGACTGAGGTCCCAGAGCAGCCTATGTACCACCCACCTGGTCCCCTCTTCTCCTGCTTCCCCCTTCTTGTTCTCTTTTATTTTGGATGGTGATTTTTAAGAGAAGAAATCAGAAGAGTTTACTTAACCATCCAATGATATTTTCCTTTTTTTTTTTTTTTATCATTTTCTCTTCCCTTTTCATGTTTATCTATTTCTTAGTCTTTTTCTTCTTTCCTACCTTAAATATTACATTAATTTTAAATTATTTCACCTACTTGCTGACTAAATAAATATTATCTTAACCTAGAATTATTTTCCATGGCTAACTAAATGCTTTCTTCACAGAGATGTGGTCTCAGCTTGACTGCTACCTTCTTTTGAAGGCTTTTTCCAAACCTTTAAAACTGGGATAGATTCCGTTACCATATGTAGCCTTAATACCATTGTAGCATTTGCTATATTATATTAAAGTTAGTGGCTTACTTGCCTTTTTACAATTTCACTAAGAGTAGGGACTGCTTCTTGGTCATTACTGTATTCCCAACACTTAGCTCAATTATCTCAAATGTAGTAGACACTTGAGAAATATTTGTTGCTTTAATGAATGTTAAAATGCACAAGTTCTATCAGTGTAGGACAGTAAAACATTTTAGTTTATTAGACTTACTACTGTTACTATTTAGATTATTGTAGGAAATGATAAAAACTAAAATTTTTAAATACATCCCAGCACTAATAATCTTTTTATTCTTTTACTGTAATAAGTGAAAATGAGACTTCTCAAATGTTTCAAAGAATACCTTTGAATAATTTCATTAATACTTTTTTATACTTTCCTTTGCGTTGTTTTAGCTTAAGTTGTTTTAAACTTTAATGACTTTGCTTTTCAGCTCTTAACTGTAGGGCATTTTTGTAATTTCTATATACTGCCTGCTTTCTCCTCACTGGGCAGAACTTCATAAAAGAAAAGATACAGGCATTATAATATACGTCTTCAGACTGGGATAAAAATAACTGAGTGGTAAGATTTATATGCATGAAATATTTATGCTAGAATGAAGAATCTTTCACATTATCACATATAATTATGATTATCTCTCCCAGATTACTTCTTGGCTTCCAAAACAAAATGCTTTCCCAGGCTAAACTTCAAAGTAGGTAATAGCTTCAAAGAGATAGAAATTTAGCCCAGACAACAAAACAAAACGAAACAAAACCATAAAACAAAACAAATCGAGATGGCTCAGGGGTAAGAGACTTGACCAAAAATGTGGCGTTAGTCTTTAGAAGCTTTATTAAGAAAACTTCGAAAGTCAATTACCCATTTGTAGTTTGCCCCTCGAATACTGCACGGGCAGTGAGCTGCACTTTTTTTTTCTAAACAACAAATGGGTTAAAAATAATTCAACTTAATAATAATTGGAAAGGAGCAGCAGGTAATCAGTCACTCATGCTAATGCTTTGTGCTTTTCTTAAGGAATACTGCTTTATGTTGCTTTTACAGTATGAGGAATTTGATGCTTACCCAAATTTTTAAATTAAGATGAAAACATAATACAATGCACCACAGTCAAAATAAACAACTTTGAACACAGCCCAGATAAAATGGTTTTGTATTTTCACTGATGGAAATACCTATTGAGACATCCGAAGGGATTTAAACTGCATTCACTTAAGCAACCGGAATATTTAGTTTTGATGTTATCAGCACCATGGGCAGGTTGTCTCCTGAACATGCTTGACTGAAAAATAGTTTGGCTTAGCTTAGTGTTTTGCTCATCAAAGGATAAAGCATTACTGGACATTTTTATGGATAATTTTTTTAAATGTCGTGAATATAGTGAACTATGTATCTTCCCTAAATTAATGTTTCCCAGATCCCCTTTGGCATACTTATGTGCACATTCAGTAACAGTAGAATGAAAAGAAGGGTGGGGTTTATTTAGGTTTAAAGTCTGTAGAAGGAAGAGACAGTATACACTTCACACACACACACACACACACACACACACACACACACAAACCTAAAGGTTATCTTTATTATACATGCAATATATGCTCATTAATGAACATTTATCAAAAATAAACTGAAAAGAAAAAAACAAAATGCTCCTAGTTGCGTTTTATACCCATACGACGATTGTTAATGTTTTACCATATTTTGTTTAAAACATTATTTTCTACACATTTATTGTTGATATTATTTATTTTAGATATATGTTTAGATATAACAATCTTTTAACTATGATAGGCCAGGTGCAGTAGCTCATGCCTGTAACCTCAGCCCTTTAGGAGGCTGAGGTGGGAGGATCACTTGAGCCCATGAGTTTGATACCAGCCTGGGCAACACAGTGAGACCCATATCTCTACAAAAAAGGTAAAAATCAGTTGGGTGTGGTGGCATGCTCCTGTAGTCCCAGCTGCTTGGGAGGCTGAGGTGGGAGGATTGCTTGAGCCCGGGAGATGGGGTCTCACCATGTTGCCCAGGCTGGTCTTGAACTCCTGAGCTCAAGTGATCTGCCTGCCTCAGCCTCCCAGAGTGCTGGGATTACAAGCATGAGCCACCGTGTCCAGCCTAAAATGTACATTTGAAACTCCATTGACTGATTCCACCTACATACAAGATGTTATGCAGATTATACTGTTTCAAAACCATGAATATTTATTAGTCCACACATAGTACCTGACCCAAAATAGGCTCTAAAATGATATTTCTTTTATTTATTTATTGTAAAGACAGGGTCTCACTATGTTGCTCAGGCTGATCTTGAATTCCTGGCCTCAAGAAATCCTCCTGCCTTGACCTCCCAAAGTTCTGGGATTACAGACATGAGTCACTGTGCCCGGACTAAAATAAGTAATATTTCTTGAGGAGATGAATAATGTTTTTAACAGCAATAGATTGTGAAAATACTTGGTCTCTGCTCAAAAGATCTTATAATATTGTTGGAACGATGTCAACACATAAAAATGTGACGTGTTGAAATGAGGGTAAGGATAAGTTCAGAGAAGGCAGTGGCCGGCAGGGCATGGAGCTGTGAGAAACAATTCCCGAAGAAAACAAGATTTGAGATGGACCATGAAGCTGAGTAGAATTTATGTTGTTTAGCTTAGAGGTAGAGATATCACAGATGGAAACAATAGCAGGAACAAAAGCTGAGAGAAGCTATTGGACACAATATATCCAGAAAAATAGCATGAAAGGAGGACTAATTGAAGAATAATATACCGATAGCTTAGGTCTAGGGATAAAGCTACATGACAGCTTTCACGGGATAAGCAGAGCTCAAGTAAGTAGTTATAACTGTGATGACATTTACAAAGCTGAAGTTGTACAGCAGGTGTATGGGAGTATAGCTGGCACATTGAACCCATTGGACACATGAGTGTGCAGACTGCACCTGTATGTTGTCTCTCATTATCCCTTTAAAATTTGGAGGGAGGTGATTTTCTGCTCCCATGAATACTTGGACAATGTCATTTTACATTTATGGTCACTTTAGATTACAAACATGTTCTAAGCCAGAAATTAGAGTGCTTGCCCCTTCTCATAGTCAAGTTTCTAGCTCCATTCCATGTAAATGCTGTGCTCCCTCAGGTTTTCAGTAGGGGTAGAGGTGTGGTTGCCTCCTTCTTTCTCATTCCTTTTTTACTAGTTGCTATTCCTGACTCTTCTGGGGAAGGGCTGAAGGTGTGAGGAAGAAAAATAGGAAAGAGGAAGAGAACATTTCTTATTGGATTAGGACTATTCTAAATTGATTCCTTGGTCCTGGGCCTGGCCCTTGTCTAAAACTGACTCTTTTGAGGGTGATTTTGGATGTTCTTAGTAGAGTCTCTCACCTGTACTTTCCTTGCCTAAGGTGCTGTCTTCTCTTGCAGGTTGCATACACGTTCCTCACATGCCCTAAGAACCATGGGATACTTTTAGCTTCTCTCCACTGAGGTCTTCCTCCCTGCCCCTACGCCTAGATGGTCCTGATAGAACCTAAGTTGGCTCCACAACTTCTTTTCATTGTGCATGGCCCACACCTGCTCTTGGGGACCTTCACACAGCATTTGCCCTATTGATGATGGGAGTGCAGGCAGATTCCAAAGAAACTCATCTTCTTCAGATCATCTCTTAGTATGACAACCATCTCACATTCTTTTTGGCATTTCTGTACAGCATGTCAGACACCAGTCCCCTATATATTCTCTTAACTGTAGAAGATGAATAGCAAACTCTTTAAAAACTCTCCTTCAAGCCACTTTCACTAGGTTTCAGGTGTGAATAGACAATGGAGAGGTCCTCCCAGTGGTGGGTATTGGTCTCGCAGCCCAGCTATTCCCAATAAATCATCTTGAAAAACCTTTGATCTCCATATAAATGAAAGGTTAAGGAGTCATGAACTGGGTTTGACGTTTTTCTCTAAAGGTTTCCATCGTGGTTTTCTACCTCACCTTAATGCCATTTTAGGAATTCACCCAAAACTTCTATTTTAAATCTTCTTCCAGGAGAATATATGTAAAATACAGGACCTAACTTTGTCTGTGAGACCAGCAAAAATATTCCTAAGGAAATGAAGAGGGAAATTTCAATGAAGCAAAGAAAAGAACATTTCAAGAATGGAAGATTACTGAATAGTGTTAAAGGCTTATAAGAAGGCAAGTAAGAGAAGGACTGAGAACTCATTTCTTTGGCAACCTTGGAAAGAACAAATACCATGAGAAGTGTAGGTGGAAATTAACTAGTATGAGGCTGAAAAAAGAATAAGTAAGGAAATGAAGACCACGAACTTTCAAACTTCAGAAAATTTTGAAGTGAAGAGGAGTTGTGGATTCTTTTCAAATAGGAAAGAAAGTGCTATAGGAAGAAGTTGGTAGATTAAAAAGTGGTTGATGATACCAGTAAGAGAAGTAATAATTTAAAGGATAGATAGTGAATTCAAAAAGACTAGAGGGGCTGGAATCCAAAGTTGAGGTAAAGCTTAGCCTTGGGCAAGAGAAACACCTCCTAGTCATGTATTAAGAGAAAAGAATTAGTGCACATTTAGGGGAGATTTGAAGATTTGGTATTTGGAAGCTGAAGAGTTCATGACTTGATGGCTTCTACTTCCTCAGTTTAATAGTAAAGTCCTAGATTAAGTAATTTTGGGTGGGGGAGGTAATTGGGAGAAATAACATGAACTTGAATAACAGAAGGCCTTGTCGGGTGGATCACCTGAGTTTTCAATGAGTCATTAGATTTCCAGTTTGCCTGACCAACATGGTGAAATCTTGTCTCTACTAAGAATACAAAAATTAACTGGCTTGGTGGCGTGTGCCTGTAGTCCCAGCTACTCAGGAGGTTGAGACAGGAGAATTGCTTGAACCTGGGAGGTGGAGGTTGCAGTGAGCTGAAATCACGCCACTGCACTCCAGCCTGGGTGACAGAGCGAGACTCCGTCTCAAAAAAAAAAGGAGAAGGCCTTAAATATCTTCTTAAGTCTGAATTTGACATGATAGGAGAGGAAAAATTATAAAATATGTAAATTTGGAGTTATTTTGATTGATAATTTCAGACAGTGCTTACTCTGCACAAGAACCTGTACAAGTGCTTTGCAAACACACACCAATCCAATTCCGTGTCTCCACTCACCTGGGACTACTCTTAACTTCCAATCCATTCTTTCACCCCCACAAACCATTCTCAGTACAGCAGCCAAAGTAGAGTTTACAAGAATACAAACCATGTCAACATCCCTGTTTTAAGCACAAGGTCTTGCATGGCTTCCCAGTGCCTGGAGGTAAGTCTCACATGGTCTGGACCCTGCCAGTCCCTGCAACTTCATCTTCTGTTGTGTGGTACATTGTTTTGGAACTCTGGTAAATAGATCTGTTTTTATTTCACTTAAGGTTTCTAACAAGGTTTTTACAGGAATATGAGAAAGCTGTTGGGATTTATTTCAGATTATTTCTGAACATTACTTAGGTAATTTTTTGTAATACACATGTAAAATGAATACACTGAAAGAAACCAATTCTCCCCCAAACCCTGAATTTCTTTTTCATAGAGCTTGAACTCTTATTTAAGTTTCAGTAAAAAAAAAAAAAAAAAAAAAAAAAAAAAAAGGAAAAGCTCTTATAAAGTGTTGTATTCTCACTACCCAAGTAGGGATAGGGTAAACCAATGCATGGTAATGAGAATTATGAGAAAATGCTGACACTTTGTTTTATACTTGTCTATTTATTCAAATCTCTCTCCTCTCACCCTATTTTGTTTTTATGCCTCTGTCAACCTGAATAAGTATGTATTGGGCAGAATATCAAAATAAATTTTCTGTTATTTTTAGTCTTATTTCATATTTAAATAAACCTGTAAATTTGGGGTAGTTTTACTAACCCATTAACATTTTCTGTGGGGATAAAAAAAAAGTCTGTGAAGTTTTACCACGGCGAGAATTTTTTTCCTCTTTTTTCTTTCTGTCATTTTTTTAAAAAAGCTAATGTAAAAAAATGTGGCAGTACATCCTTAAGTCTTAAGATTCCCCAAAATGAACAAACAAAAGATGATAAAAGACATTGGTTTAGTTTTAGTACTTCTTTGTATTCCAAAATAAATACGTAAAACAGGAAATAATTCCTACTTAAATATTCTTGGGCAAGATCATTAGACAATATTTATTAATTTAGTGTGATCTACATAAACTGACACTTTTGGCTATTTTGAAAATTTTTCAATGAGTCATTAGATTTCCAATTTGCACGTTTTAAAGAAAATGTTTTTAAAAATGTGGATGTTCAAGTAAGAAGATATCTCAAATTCATGTATTTGAAACACTTGATATATATTTTTCTATGACTTGTGAGTTACTACTCATTTTTTTGAGTTTTTTTTAAATGTCCCAATAATTTGGTTAACTTTTGCAAATAACACCTATGCAGTAATCAGTAATGAAATAAATATCACTCACCAAAGTCATAAAATAAAACTTAATTCAAGATAGTAGCATTCTTCTACTTTTTCTTCCACTCTGCTTTCTTCCACTTTTTAGATATATAGATATAGATAGATACAGATATAGATATAGACAGATTCTGGCTTTGTTACTGGGCATTTGCATGCAAGTATATATTTTGTTTTGACAAATCATTTTTCTACTCTACCTTAGTAGCTTTCATGACCTCTACTGACTCAATAGATTATAAGAGAAGACACACTGCTGTACTGATTTTTAAAATTGTATATTTGCTTTAGAGAGAAATAAATTGAATAGGAAGGACTAGAAAAAATGATTTAACCAAATACTAAGAGAGCAAATTTGATACATGTTGATCAGGTACTAATTCAGCTCATCCTTTCCTCTTCAGCAGGCTACTCCGGTTTACTCAGAATGTGAGGGGAGACAGGCGTCTATCTTTACATGTGGCCTAGTGACCAGAAGCATCAGCATCACCTAGGAACTTGTTAGAAATGCAAATCTGTGAGCACCATCTCAGACTTGCTGTATTAGTCAGCGTTCTGCAGAAAAACAGAACATATTCATCTATATCTATCTATATCTGTATCTATATATCTGAAGATTTGTAATAGGAATTGGCTCACATAATTATGGAGGCCAAGAAGTCCCACAATCTGCCTGCTACGTGTATGTTGGAGATCCAGAAAAGCCAGTGGTGTAATTCAGTCTGAGTCTGAAGGCCACTGGGGAGCCAATGACATATAACCAAACCTGAGGTCATGAGAAGATGAAATGATATAGCCAAGCTCAAGAAGTTAGGCAGGAACAAAGGGGAAATTCCTCCTTTCTCAGCCTTTTGTTCTATTCAGGCCCTCCATGGATTGGATGATGCCCAACCACACTGGGGAGGGCAATCTACTTTACTGAGTCCACCGACTCAAATGCTAATTTCATTCAGAAACATCCTCCCAGACACACCCAGAAACAATGTTTAATTTGAGTACTCCCACAGCCCACCCAAGTTGGCACATAAAATTAAGCATCACACTTGCTTAATGAAAAGCCAGAGTGTGAGGTCTAGTACTTGTACTTTAACAGAGCTTCCAGATAATTCTGATTCTGGCACAGTTACCAAGAAAAGAACAGTGCTCCATGCAGAAGAATATAATTGATTTATTACATTGATTTATTACAAATATAAATATGTGAAATCAATGATGTAAATTGTGAAAATTATGTTATGGTTTTTGTTTGTTCCACACGAGTGTAAACCTCACAAATTTTTCAAGTGGATTTTCAAACATTTTAAACCCTATACCTTTTTTCTCACAAAAACATTTTATTCAGAATTATGGAAATTAGAACCAATCACAGATAGGACTACTTTAGCACAACCAAAACCACCCGTCTTGTCACCCTCACTTCTTAAGACCTCTTAAGGTCCGTAACGTTTCTTCAAGATTCATAATAAAATCAGAGCAAGCCCTGTAATATTGCTTCAGCAAAGCATGACGTATCAATTGCACCATCTGGGGAGAAACCTATGTGGTCTTATACATGAAATCTATGCTATTTCAATTGAACTCCCACAGCTAACTTCACCCCAATATTTTAGCCACACTAAGACTATGGGAAGGAACAAGCACTCAGAAATGCAGGGTGGTCAGCCAATTTGCATAATATGAATTCAATAGGTTTAAAATTTTTTATTTAACATTTATTTAGAGAAGAAGCTGTTAGTCTCATGGGGGCAGGGTAGGGTAGGTTAAAGCCAGTGATGGGGCCTCAGCTCTGCTCTGCAAAACCTACTTTACAAATTAAAGCTCCTCTTTTAAGTTGGACCCACCCTCTGACAGAGACAGTTTAATGACCATCTGTTTTTATTCAAAATACTCCTTGGGGGAAGGAGGCATCTCACCTCACACTCCAAGCGGCTTATCAAAGTATTTCCTTCCAACCAAAGACAAACATGTTCCCTGAGAAGAGAGCTGGTAGATATTTTCTTTCTTCATTTTTTTACATGTCCTGGAATGGTTCAGCAACCTAATAATGTTTTATCAATCCTCGTGAGCACTTCTCTCAGATCCTGGCTTTCATGCATGTCCGTGTGAAGAGACCACCAAACAGGCTTTGTGTGAGCAACATGGCTGTTTATTTCACCTGGGTGCAGGTGGGCTGAGTCCGAAGAGAGTCAGCGAAGGGAGATAAGGGTGGAGCCATTTCATAGGATTCGGGTAGGTAAAGGAAAATTACAGTCAAAGAGGGTTTATTCTCTGGCGGGCAGGAGTGGGGGTCACAAAGTGCTCTGTGGGGGTGCTTTTGAGCCAGGATGAGCCAGGAAAAGGACTTTCACAAGGTAATGTCATCACTTAAGGCAAGGACCGGCCATTTACACTTCTTTTGTGGTGGAATGTCATCAGTTAAGGTGGGGCAGGGCATATTCACTTCTTTTGTGATTCTTCAGTTACTTCAGGCCATCTGGGTGTATACGTGCAAGTCACAGGGGATGTGATGGCTTGGCTTGGGCTCAGAGGCCTGACATTCCTGCCTTCTTATATTAATAAGAAAAATAAAACAAAATGGTGTTGAAGTGTTGGGGCGGTGAAAATTTTTGGGGGGTGGTACGGAGAGAGAATGGGCGATGTTTCTCAGGGCTGCTTCAAGTGGGATTAGGGGCGGCGTGGGAACCTAGAGTGGGAGAGATTAAGCTGAAGGGAGGTCTTGTGGTAAGGGGTGATATTGTGGGGATGTTAGAAGAAACATTTGTCTTATAGAATGATTGGTGATGGCCTGGATACGGTTTTGGATGAATTGAGAAACTAAATGGAATAACAGAAGGAGAAAAACAGGTATAAAAGATCGAAGAATTGGGACGACTCAGGACATCTGATTAGACAGTGCCTAAAGAGATTCAGCATAGTCCTGCCAGCAAAGATTATTTATTTACTTCAAGAGTTAAGAGTGGCAGTTTGGGGATAGCACCAGGAGATATCAGCTGTGATGGCTTGGAAAAACAGTGTAAACTGGCAGTGTAAACAAGAGCAGGGCATGTATGAGTAGTTGAGAACGGTGAATAGGAGTATGACTAGACAGAAGATAGTAGGGATGACAAGTTTTTTTGGGGCACAGTCTAACTTGGTCTGGTGTCTAGAATGAGACTGGGGCCTAATAAAAAGGAGCGTCTATACAGGAGCTCAAATGGGCTGTACCCTGCAGCATTCCAAGGACGGGCCTGAATTCTGAGAAGGGAAAGTGGTAAAAGTATTGTCCAGTCCTTTTTAAGTTGGTGGCTGAGCTTGGTGAGGTGTGTTTTTAAAAGACCTTTAGTCCATTCTACTTTTCTTGAAGACAGAGGACCGTAAGGGATATAAAGGTTTCACTGAATACTAAGAGCCTGAAAAACTGCTTGGCTGATTTGACTAATAAAGGCTCGTCTGTTATCAGACTGTATTGAGGTGGGAAGGCTAAACTGAGGAATTATGTCTGACAGAAGGGAAGAAATGACTGTGGTGGCCTTCTCAGACCCTGTAGGAAAGGCCTCTACCTATCCAGTGAAAGTATCTAACTAGACTAAGAGGTATTTTAGTTATCCGACTCAGGGCATGTTGAGTAAAGCTAATTTGCCAGTCCTGGGTGGGGCAAATCCTCGAGCTTGATGTGTAGGGAAGGGAGGGGGCCTGAATAATCCCTGAGGAGTAGTAGAATAGCAGATGGAACACTGAGAAGTTATTTCCTTGAGGATAGATTTCCACGATGGAAAGGAAATGAGAGGTTCTGAGAGGCGGGCTAGTGGCTTGTTCTATAGCATAACCTGCCTTTGCTGGTGTGTGTCGATTAGGCCTGGTGGAATCGCCATCACTAAATCAAGCGTGATCAGGGTGAGGAACAGGAAAGAAGGAAATTTGGGGAAATGGGGTGAATGTCAGGTGGATCAGAGAGATACAGTCATGGGGGTCAGGTGTGGTATCAGGAATAATGTGGGAGACCGGATTGAAGTCTGGGCCAGGAACAACGGTAATTGTGGGAGACTCAACAAAGAGTGAGTATAGCTGAAGGAGCCAGGAAGCAGAAAGTATATGCATCAGGTATGAGGAAGCAAATAGATTTTGGAAGTTATGAGAACTATAGAGAGTGAGTTGAACATAGTTTGTGATTTTTAGGGCCTCTAAAAGTATTAAAGCAGCAGCAGCCACTGCACGCAGACATGAGGGCTAGGCTAAAACAGTAAGGTCAAGTTGTTTGGACAGAAAGGCTAAAGGGTGTGGTCCTGGCTCCTGTGTAAGAATTCAGACCATGCTAACCATGCCTAGGAAGGAAAGGAGTTGTTGTTTTGTAGAAGGTGCTGGGGTTTGAGAGATCAGTCGGACACGATTGGCAGGGAGAGCACGTGTGATTTATGAGAATTATGCCGAGATAGGTAACAGATGAGGAAGAAATTTGGGCTTGATTGAAGTAATGGGGGCTGTCTGTGAAGCTTTGCAGCAGTACAGCCTAGGTAATTTGCTGAGCTTGATGGGTGTCAGGGTCAGTCCAAGTGAAAGTGAAGAGAGGCTGGTATTAAGGGTGCAAAGGAATAGTAAAGAAAGCATGTTTGAGATCTAGAAGAGAATAATGGGTTATAGAGGCAGGTATTGAGGATAGGAGAGTATATGGGTTTGGCACCACGGGGTGGATAGGCAAAACAATTTGGTTGATAAGGTGCAGATCCTGAACTAACTTGTAAGGCTTGTCTGGTTTTAGGACAGGTAAAATGGGGGAATTGTAAGGAGAGTTTATAGGCTTTAAAAGGCCATGCTGTAGCAGGCGAGTGATAACAGGCTTTAATCTTTTTAAAGCATGCTGCGGGATGGGATATTGGCATTGAGTGGGGTAAGGGTGATTAGGTTTTAATGAGATGGTAAGGGGTGCATGATCGGTCGCCAAGGAGGGAGTAGAGGTATCTTATACTTGTGGGTTAAGGGGGGTGGATACAAGAGGAGGATGCAAAGGAGGCTTTGGATTGGGAAGAAGGGCGGCAATGAGATATAGCTGTAGTCCAGGAATAGTCAGGGAAGCAGATAATTTAGTTAAAGTGTCTCAGCCTAATAAGGGAACTGGGCAGGTGGGGATAACTAAAAAGGAGTGCTTAAAAGAGTATTGTCTAAGTTGGCACCAGAGTTGGGGAGTTTTAAGAGGTTTAGAAGCCTGGCCGTCAATACCCACAACAGTTATGGAGGCAAGGGAAACAGGCCCTTGAAAAGAAGGTAATGTGGAGTGGGTAGCCTCCGTATTGATTAAGAAGGGGACGGGCTTACCTTCCACTGTGAGAGTTACCTGAAGCTTGGCGTCCGTGATGGTCTAGGGGGCTTCCAAGGCGATCGGGCAGTGTCAGTCTTCAGCTGCTAAGCCGAGAAGATCTGGGAAGGAGTCAGTCAGAGAGCCTTGGGCCAGAGTTCCAGGGGCTCTGGGAGTGGCTGCCAGGTGAGTTGAACAGTCCGATTTTCAGTGGGGTCCCACAGAGATGGGACGTGGCTTAGGAGGAATCCCGGGCTGCGGGCATTCCTTGGCCCAGAGGCCAGATTTCCGGCACATGTAGCAAGCTCCTGTGGGAGGAGGTTCTAGAGGAATGCCTGGCCGCTGCGGTTCAGGTGTTTGGAAGTTCTTGTGTGCTGGAGATGTGGCTGGGGTTTGTCTCACAGTGGAGGCAAGGAATTGCAACTTTTTTCTATCATTGTACACCTTGAAGGTGAGGTTAATTAAATCCTGTTGTGGGGTTTGAGGGCCAGAATTTAATTTTTGGAGTTTTATTTAATGTCGGGAGCAGATTGGGTAATAAAATGTATTTTGAGAATAAGACGGCCTTTTGACTTTTTAGGGTCTAGGGCTGTAAAGTGTCTCAGGGTTGCTGCCAAACAAGTCATGAACTGGGCTGGATTTTTATATTTGATGAAAAAGAGCCTAAACGCTATCCGATTTGGGATAAAGAAAAAGGAGCATTAACCTTGACTATGCCTTTGGCTCCAGCCACCTTTTTAAGAGTAAATTGCTGGGCAGGTGGGGGAGGGCTAGTCAAGAACGAAACTGTAAGCCAGACCAGGTGTGAGGAGGGGAGGCGATAAAAAGATTATAGGGTGGAGGAGCGGAGGCTGAGGAAGCATTGGGACCTAGCTAGGCCTGGCAAGGAGGGGAGAGGTCAGATGGGTCTGTAGAAAAGGAAGATTAGAAAGACTCATCGATGCTTGGGTTTGGGACTTAGGGGACAGGCGGGAGGGAAAGAAGGAAGATTTGGGATGATTTGCACTGGGCACAGAGACAAGGAAGGGACTGATGTGTAAAAGAATGCCTGGACGTCAGGCACCTCAGACTGTTTGCCTATTTTAGGACAAGAATTATTTAGATCTTGCAGGATGGAAAAATTCAAAGTGCCATTTTCTGGCTATTTGGAACTACAGTCGAGTTTGTATTGGGGTCAAGTGGCATTGCAGAAGAAAATAAGGCATTTAGGTTTTAGGTCAGTTGTGAGTTGAAGAGATTTTAAGTTTTTGAGAACACAGGCCAAGGGAGTAGAAGGAGGAATGGAGGGTGGAAGGTTGCCTATAGTGAAGGAAGCAAGCCTAGAGAAGAGAGTAGAGAAATGGAGGGAAGGGGTTTGGGGGTTCTTCCCTTCCAGAAAAGTGGGAAAAGGGGTTAGGGCACAGAGATAAGAGGTCAGGGCATGGAAATAAGGGGTTGGGGCATGGAAATAAGGGGTCAGGGCATGGAAATAAGGGATTGGGGCACAGAGATACGAGGTTGGGGTGCGGAAATAAGGGATTGGGGGTTCTTGCCCCCTAGAAAAGCGGGACTTGCCGCTAAGGGTGAAAGAGAAGGGGTTGAGGGGTACTTGCCCCTCCCCCAGAAAAGCGGGACTTGCCACTAAGGGTGAAGGAGAAGGGGTTGAGGGGTACTTGCCCCTCACCCAGAAAAGCAGGACTTGCCACTAAGGGTGAAGGAGAAGGGGTTGAGGGGTACTTGCCCCTGCCCCAGGAAAGGAGAGAAGGGGTAGAGACAAGGAGAGAAGGGGTTGGGGTACTTGCCTCTTCCCCAGAAAAGCGGGACTTGCTGCTAAGCGTGAAGGACCAAGGCAGGCGTCCCTGCGTGGTCTGACACCTTTGAAACGTGGGTGAATAATCAGAGAGGCATCCCTGCAATGATTAAACACCAAGGGAAGCCTGCCTTCCCAGTCTGTGACTGGCGCCGGAGTTTTGGGTCCACAGATAAAACGTGTCTCCTTTGTCTCTCCCAGAAAATGAAAGGAATTGAAATTAAGAGAAGGGAGAGATTGAAGAGTGGAAAGAAGAAAGTGGTTGAGGGACAGTGAGAGAGGTTGGAGAAGAGAGTAAGAAGAGGCCACCTACCTGATTTAAAATTGGTGAGATGTTCCTTGGGCTGGTCAGTCTGAGGACCTGAGGTCGTAGGTGGATCTTTCTCATGGAGCAAAGAACAAGAGGACAGGGGATTGATCTCCCAGGGGAGTTCCCCCAATCCGAGTCACGGCGCCAAATTTCATGCACGTCTGTGTGAAGAGACCACCAAACAGGCTTTGTGTGAGCAACATGGCTATTTATTTCACCTGGGTGCAGGCAGGTGAAAATAAGAGAGTCAGCGAAAGGGAGATAAGGGTGGGGCTGTTTTATAGGATTTGGGTGGGTAAAGGAAAATTACAGTCAAAGGGGGTTTGTTCTCTCGCGGGCAGGAGTAGGGGTCGCAAGGTGCTCAGTGGGGGTGCTTTTTGAGCCAGGATGAGCCAGGAAAAGGACTTTCACAAGGTAATGTCATCACTTAAGGCAAGGACTGGCCATTTACACTTCTTTTGTGGTGGAATGTCATCAATTAAGGTGGGCCAGGGCATACTCACTTCTTTTGTGATTCTTCAGTTTCTTCAGGCCATCTGGGCGTATACGTGCAAGTCACAGGGGATGTGATGGCTTGGCTTGGGCTCAGAGGCCTGACACTGGCCTTGATTAAGATTTAGGGGAAGACATGCTGTCTGCAGTGCACTCTACTTAATCTTCCTGCAATATCTAAATTTATTAATCTCAATTTGCTAGTCTCCAAAATAGGAGTCATTAACCCTTTTTATAGATGAAAAAATGAGTTTCAGAAATCAAGATACTAAAGTTTAGGTAATATAATTCACAAATTACACAGCCTAGATTCAAAATCATGGTTTCAAATAGCATGATTTGCCCATGACCTTTCCCCTATATACTGCAGGAAAAACTATACTAGACAATACTATCCCCAAGTCTCATATGTAAGAAACAAAGCCAGCTTAAGGATGTAGAGTAAAGAGATTTGGATTTTATGGACAGAGGGATTATGAATATGTTTTGCTTTATTTTGTTTCTTATTTGTTTGTTTTTTGTTTTTCCTAGCTGGAATACGGCATGTAGTGTGGAGAGATTAAAGAAAGAGGGAAATGAGAAGGTTTAGGTTCATTTTTGGAAAATTGAAATACTTAACACTTATTTTGCTATTGTCATCTAACATGTATTGAGCATTATCTTACACAACCTTGATCTAGTATTATTTTAATCACGATTTCTAAGACTTCTGGAACCACATGGCAACTGGAACTACACAGCAAGTATTCTTCATCTGGGTCCTTAGATATGAGAAGATAAGCTTCCAGGGGTCCATAAATACAGAGATTAGAGGCAGAGTTTTACCTGTGAGTGCCTTTCTCTGGGAAGAGGTTCAATAGTTCCTTCAGATCATGAAGAGTATCCATGAGCTAAAAGTAGTTAAGGAAAACAAAATTTCTATAGCTTCATATTGCAGTTCTAAGGAATCTTGCCCTTTCTCATGACTTGTATAACCTACAACCTACACTGTCTTTAGGACTTCAGACATAAAATTTAGTCTCCTAATGAACATCAACCTTAAGAGGTCCTATAGCATTTGCAAACTCAGGATGTCTAAATGTGTGTTGTGCATGCATTGCACACACATTCTCCTCTTGATTTCATATCTCATTTGGTGACAATACCATCCTCTTCTCCATCCAGGAAAACTGGTTCTCATCCTATTATTCCCTTTCTGCTTCTTTTAATCAAACACCAAACACTGCTAATTATATACCTCATAAGAAACTGTTGAATCCATTCTCTCTTTTGTAGTTCTAGGTTGGCTTTTACAACCTCCTTCCTCTGTGATCTCTTTCAACCATCTACTCCACTTACTTTAAGTGGCTCTTCAAAGATGCTGATACTTTTCATGGCACACAAAGTCTGCAACACTTTTTCATCTTTCCCACTATTTTGCCTACACACTTAATATTCCGTTTTCATAACTACATCTTTTGTAGAACAAATTCTCCCTATATTTTTTCTTAAATGCTTGCTCTTTGTATTGCACTCATTCTGATCTTCCTCTCATCCCTCACAAATTTCTATCAAAATTAATGACTCTTTTTTGAAGCCTCCCTGACTGCCCAAGGATGAATTAAGTGCTCCTTCTCTGTGCTTCTGTCTAGGGCAGTGGTTCTCAAATTTTAATTGCAACAGAATCACCTAGAGGGCTTGTTAAAACATCAATTGCTGATTCAGGTGCTGATTCAGGTTCTGATTCAGCAGGTCTTGGGGTGGAGCCTGAACAGCTGACCAGGTCAAACAGTTATCATCTGGGACTTAGCTCCACACGCACTGAACTGGGTCAACTCCTGGGTCACTCTGGTTCATAGAAATCCCGAGCCAAGACAATGGCTCAGCATGTTACTAAGTAGCAATCTCTGCATGAGGTTTGTTCTGTATCACCAGCCAGTCTTCTCATAAGGGGTTCTAGAACTTGGACAGCATGTGGAGTTATATATGACTGCCTACCAAGCACAACTGCACCAGAGGTATTGATTCACATTACTTTTTTTTACTGAAGTACTAGCGTTTCATCTCCAGCAGCAAAATTCACTACTTATAGAAATACTTTTACTGACTTGAGCTCCATAATTTTCAATTGACTGACTTTTAGGAGAGAATTATCAAAGCTATCAGAGTTGTAACATCTCTGAACTAAAATGATCTGGATACATTTATTTTCTAGTTTTAAGAAGCAGTAACAAACTGAACAATTATTTGACTCTGCAAGTAATTATGAGAGACAGCAAAGAAAAAATAGTTTTATGGTTATTTGGAAAGCTAAGGTCATATTTGCAAGGATAAAACAGTCCTTTTAAACTGCTGAGAAATATGCCTGTATAAAAAGAAATGACTCAAGATTTTCTGCTTGTATTATTGAATAAATGTATCTAAGAACAGTCAGGCAATTTACCTATTTGAAAAACAAATCTGCTAGCAGATTTCTTAAGAAGGACCTCTACCATGGTGCTGACTTTACTAGAGTCATAATGCACTTTGCATTACATAGTTGGAAACAAACAGCAATAGAAACTCATTGTATCTTAATACCTCATTCTCTGCTTTGAAATTCTTTGAAGGTCATTTTCCTGTTTCAGTTTAAGAAGTCATGGAAAAAATTTTATGTTGCATATCTTTAAAACATAACTTTTCTGTGATCCTAGAGAAATGTAGGAACACAAAGGAAGATATGTCTTCTTCCTCCACTCCGCCCCCATTTGAAGATACTCCTTTTTGTTAGCATTTATTAAATCAAACATTCTTTCAAAAACTGTCTTCAACATGTTTCAAATTATATAGCATGTTTAAGACATTACCTACTTCATTCACATGAATAAATATGAATCTCTTACCTGATCTGTTCAGTATCTAGCGCCTAATGAATGTTAAACATCCTGGACTCTGCCTCTCCCCTTTGAGCCAAAGGGGATGCTTGTCATTTGCCCTCTCAAATGTGGATTAGAAAAAGAGCCTCAACAGCCCCTTTTCTAGCAGTCAGTTTCTGCCAGATGTCTTTTGATCTGAACCAGAGTCCTCAACTGGCAGTCTCACTGGATGCCTAAGGGTCCTTCTAACTTTATAGGGTATAGTAACTTATTTCCTGAATCCCCTCATACTTTAGGCAAACTGGAACCAGCAGGCTTTCGTAGACTTCCTGGATGTATCAATGCCTTTATAAAAATCGCCTATAATTGTGCCCTTGAAGCAGGACACTTCTGTTTAGTTTCCTTTGTGTAGTGCCACACACAGATGTTTACCCAATGCTTTTGAGTGATCCAAATCAGCCTGGTAATCTACATTTTTTCAAACTATATTGATGTCAGCATAGATGATTTTAATGCATTTTTTACCTGTTGGGGTAATGACCCAAGATTCTCAATAGAGCATCTTTTTAAATAAATTCTTCACCCCAATCTCCTAACCTCTTCTACATAGCTAGCTAGTACTCAGCACCTCATTGCAACAGTCAGGGACAGGAGAGATATCAGAAGATAAAGTCTACTATTCCCAGGGTAGGATATAGCCTTGGTTTCCACCCAGCTTTAAACTGTGATTCTCATCATCAGAAGACTTTTGCAAGACTTTTGGCATTTATGTGACAGAAAAGAAACTCGTCTTACTGCTTTACACACTGTCAAAGTATTTCTTCCCTACAAATATTTGTTATACTTCTGTAAGTTAGGGTTTAAAATGAGCTGCATTTACTCTTAAATTTACTTCATAAAGAAAATATCTTATTTTCTTTTTCATGTTAGTATCTCCTTAATCATGATTTCTTTTCAAAATCCTTTGTTTATTTTAGTTTTTTGAAGACTTCAAAATTAAAAGCAGGATTATATCTCCCAAAGCAGTAAAGAAACATATCTTATAGAAGGTTATTAAAGACATATAATTGTTTGACTTTACCATCATTGAGATAAAATATTAAATGCTTCCAATGAATTATATTCTTGACAATCTGCTGAATTAGAATCCAGGAAAGTTAACAGAACTGTAGGCTATCAGTCTCATTTTCAAACACTTATGGCCATGCAAAACAATGCTCAATATTTTTGCAATTATTATTTAATTTAGTTTCCCCAATAACACTGTTAGATAAGTATTATTATTTCTAAGTTTCTGAAAAGAAACTAGTGGTCAGAGATAGTAAGTGATTATCGAAGGTTTTACAGTGATGTTGCAAATAGGCGTATAGATTATATAGGAATCAATGTCATAATAGTAGTAACACTGTTAATGCAATATATTCTAGAAAATAAGTTAATATATTATGCCAAGGCATGTAAAACCAGAAAGTAGGTCATTTTTATAGTTAATAAATTTCTTAATTTCTTCCTATTTCTGCCTTCATTAAATTTAAGGTCATCCTCCAAGGACTCATATACTAGAGTCAAAAGTTTGACTCTTCATATCACAAAGGAGTCAGTTTTTCTAAGTATGAATTTCCCATTGATATATGTGCATAAGAAGAGAAGAACACTGTCAGCATTTAAGAGATGTTTTTGAAAAGAAGAAAAAAAATTATTCTTCACAGAGCAGAGCATAGTAGACATAGTGTTTGTGATCATTATAAATTACTTCCTAGCAAGGAAGTGCTTGTTCTTCCTGTGTTATTTTTTCCTTTTTTTTTTTTTTTCCTGTAGTAAAGAAGTAAAGTCAAGGTGTGCTGAGTCATTGCATAGTGTTCTCTTATATCCTGTTATTGGCCACCTTACAAGTAATAACTTCTCCCAGCTGCCCTTTGTTGACTATTTTCTATGTGCCTGCTATTATGTAAGGTGCTCCTGTCTTGACAAAAATCCCATAAGGTCAGTATTATTACTCACCAGTTCTCACTGCAGCAACAACTAATAAAGCAAATTAAATATAAAGGGATCCCCTGTAAGGAAGAATCCTAGGATTTGAGCCCAGGCTTCTAAGGTTCATGATTTCTGTCTGGAATGGAAAATCCAAGCAACCTTTTGTACCTGACCAAATAGAAGACTTTAATACTATTATTTTACATGCAGAGAATTCAAAAGGAAAGAAAAACCTTGTAAATTGTATCAAGGATAGATTGATTAGAAGTAATAGCTGTTAGTCAGAAATTGTCCCCTAAGAAGAAGGTAGCTGGATATAAATAATTCTGTACTGTTTATACCAACCCACATTTCATGCACCAATCCTTCTCACCCACCATGCTTTCACTCTCTTCCTATTACTAATTCCCTCATTAGCCTATATTTTCATGTATCACCTACGCATTTTCCTCTAAATATTGATTATCTTTTATCTTATTTCTCTTGTCAAAAAATAAACTTCTGTATCATACAGGTTTTTTGAAGCCCTAATATCTGAGACAGGTCTGTTAATTTTGAAAGTTTATTTTGCTAGAGTTGAGGACTTGCATGCATGACACAGCCTCAGAAGGTCCTGATGACATGTGCCCAAGGTAGTTGGGGCACAGCTTGGTTTCATACGTTATAGGGAGACATGAGACATCAATCAATATATGTAAGATGTACCTTGGTTTCATACAGAAAGTCCAGATAACTAGAAGCAGGAGGGGGCTTCCATGTCACAGGTAGGTGAGAGGCAAATGGTTGCATTCTTTTGATTTTCTTATTAGCTTTTTCAAAGGAGGCAATCAGATATGCATTTATCTCAGTGAGCAGAGGGATGACTTTGAATAGAATAAGTCAACAGTCAAAAGCTGTTGGCCCTGTTTCAGTCAAGGAAACTTTTATTTTGAGCTACTGACAGCTTTTAACAATTAAGTAAAATATATTCTTGTGAACAAAATTTGGAACATATTTGTTTCTCTCTACCTGATTTCTCCAGAATTTGGAAACTATTTGTGAGTATTCTTAACTTATGGCAATACAGTTATTTGCATAAGAGTCTCTTTTCATTTGAACAAAATTTGGTTCACAGGAGTGTACTTTACTTCATTGTTAAAGCTCTTAATAGCTCAAAAGAAAAGTTTCCTTGACCCTAAGCAGTTCCCAGCTTGACTTTTCCCTTTAGCTTTGTGATTTGGGGGCCCCAATATTTATTTTCCTTTCACATTTTCCCCGTTTTGTTTTTAAAATCTTTGGAGAAAGTATTTTAGAAGAAAATGAATTTCTGGTCTCAGCTTTTGTCTGATCTCTCATGGCTAGGATGATTTATTCCTAATCAGGTAGGTCCTGAGTTATTAGAAAAGCTCATTTTAGCAGCTTGTGAAGTCTCATATCCTATGAAGACAAAATAGGGAAAGGAAGGGAGAAAAACAACAACAAAAGAACAATCCTGGAAAATTGATATAGGCTACATTACTCTGAAGTCCATACATCAGCAGGCAGGTATGAAAGTGGCTTATGTATGTAACTAGGTTGCTGTTATTTTCTTCTAAAGTTTAAGTTGTCTAGCTTCAGTTTGCAGGGCTTTAATAAAGCACAGCTTAATTTTCAGTGATTTCAAATTAGGAAAAATGGAGGAAAAAGGAAAAGAAAGAAGAAAAAAATGAAAATATTATTTTGGAGTTATGTAGCTGGAAAAATTAGAATTCAGTCCAAACTGTAGAAAACAATAAAATTGGAAAAACATTAGGCAAGACTAGAATCTAACAACAGGTGTACTACAGTTTTTGAAACATAATTTTTCTCCCTGCAGTTTCCCATTTTTACTAAAGACAAATCATGTTAGGACCAATTTGCTTTATTATACTTGGCCAGATGATTTGTATAAAGTGCAGCAAGACTAATTACTTTTCACATAGGCTTTTTAGACTGGCTTTTATGGAACTTTGTTCCATAGAAGGAATCTCAGATAAGACTTTCTTAAAACCAAGCCCAGCCATGGATTTGTACCATCAAATACCTATGAGTTGGGTGAATTCCCCTCCTCTTGAGGTCCTAAGATAACTTGGGGCTCCTGAACCTGTCAGAAAGTGGCATTCTTTACTTACCACAGGTCAGGAACCCTGTACAGGGACTGTGTAGACAAGGTATGAGGCCAGTTTTCCCACGGGGCTTTTATTGGCCGTATAAGTCAAATTTAATTTCTTAAAGGAAAACACACTATTTCAGTCAAAGCCTTGGTAAAATAAGCACTTTCTCCAATTGTGTCTTGTTACAAATGAAAATAGACTCTTATTACATTTATGAACATAACCATATTGCCATAAATTAAGAATAATCACAAATAGTTTCTAAATTCTAGAGAAATGAGGTAGAGAGAAATAAATATGTTCCAAATTTTGTTCACAGAAGTATACTTTATTTAATTGTTAAAAGCTGTAAACAGCTCAAAAGAAAGGTTTCCTTGACTCTGAAAAATAAAACAAAGAATCAGCAACATTTTAAGCAAAAGGTCAAAAAGATTACTTTAATCTTCTATTAGTTCAGTCCACACAGTTAATTCCTGTTCTGCTTGATATTCATGAACATTTCAGCTATCTGTGAGTCTTGAAAGTTTTTCCTCTGTTCTGATGTCACAATCTCCAATCTTATCAGAAACCTACATTCAAGAGCACCTGTTAAAGTTTTATAGCTGATTATAAAACCACCTTCTAAAGAGGACCAAAACAAGACAATTATCTATGGATGACAAAAAGTTTTAGGGCAGCCACAGTCAAAGACGCTATTGACAAGGAAATTTGTTACCTCTGTGGCACACAATAATTTAATATAACAATTATAATTATTACTGATAAAATACAGTAAGTCATATCAGAATTATAGGAGTTTCTCATAATTTTGGAACACATACCAATAACATATATATACAAATACAGCCCAAAGAAAGCCAAACACCATTTCATATTTGACAATGCTTCCTGTATAATTTGTATAACAAATAAACTAAATATGTCATTTTTGGACTTTAGGGAACCTACTATTTTAAAGGATTAATTAGGTCAAAAAAGTATATGATTTATAATTTGATTTTGGAAAGTTTGTCAAATATCAAAGGTTTAAACACTTGCTATCACAAAATAGGATCACAGGTCATTGTCAAATAAGTCATTGATTTAACCAAAGTGATCACTCAAGGATTTCAAAAAAAGCAAAAGCCTTCATTCTTTGAGATAGGAGACTTAATTTTCCAAACAATAAGCCCTAATAAAAACATCATGAAGCCAATTAAATTTGTGTTTCAAAATTTTATATAAACAATCTATAAAATTTTAATCTTGACCATAAGATATAACTTCCATAAGCCTTTTATAACCTTTGTAAGCTTTATTAAGGTGTTGGTTAATACTTCTTAATATTAACCAGTGCCCGATTAGCCAGCAGCAGAGACCAACACTAAGCCCTCGATAAGGCACTATTCCTTGGGGTGATCAGCCAGCTACCTGGTGGCAGGGTCATTATATTTGACCTCTTCCAACATGGAACAGGCAGAGGTTTGTCCTCACTGGAATAGACACTTACTTTGGATATGGGTTTGCCTATCCTGCATGCAATGCTTCTTCCAAGACTATCATCTGTGGACTCATGGAATGCCTTATCCACCATCATGGTATTCCACACAGCATGTACTCTGACCAAGGCACTCACTTTACAGCTAAAGAAGTGCAGCAGTGGGCTCATGCTCATGGAATTCACTGGTCTTACCACATTCCCCGTCATCCTGAAGAGGCTGGATTGATAGAATGGTGGAATGGACTTTTAAAGTCACAATTACAATATCAGCTAGGTGACAACACTTTGCAAGCCTGGGGCAAAGTTTTCCCGAAGGCCATGTATGCTCTGAGTCAGTGTCCAACATATGGTACTGTTTCTCCCAAAGCCAGGATTCACAGGTTCAGAAATCAAGGGGTGCAAGTGGAAGTGGAACCACTCACCATCACCCCTAGTGATCCACTAGCAAAATTTTTGCTTCTTGTTCCCATGACATTAAATTCTGCTGGCCTGAAGGTCTTAAATCCAGAGGAAGGAATGCTGCCACCAGGAGACACAACAACAATTCCATCAAACTAGAAGTTAAGATCGCCACCTGGACACTTTGGGCTTCTCCTATCTTTAAGTCAACAGGCTAAGAAGGTAGTTACAGTGTTGGCTGGGGTGATTGACCCAGACTATCAAGATGAAATCAGTCTACTACTCCATCCAGAGGTAAGGAAGAGTATGCATGGAATATGAGAGATCTGTTAGGGCATCTCTTAGCATTACCATGTCCTGTGATTAAGGTTGATGGGAAACTACAACAGCCCCATCCAGGCAGGACTACAAATGGCCCAGACCCCTCACTAATGAGTTTGGGTCACTCCAACAGGAAAAAAATAAGACCTGCTGTGGTGCTTGCTGAAGGCAAAGGGAATACAGAATGGGTAATAGAAAAAAGGTACTAATCAATATCAGCTACGATCACGTGACCAGCTGCTGAAATGAGGACTATAATTGTCATGAGTATTTCCTCCTTCTTTTGTTAAAAACATGTTTGTTTATGTACACACTTGTACTAAGAAAATATCTTCATTTTATTTTCTTCTCCTTTATCATGTGACATGTGATTAATTGACTTTGTATCAGCATGTAAGTGTTGTTAACTTTATGTAATATTATTTGGGTTGGGGATTGGTGCATTTCCAGTTGTATGAAGGATAGTTGTATTATGTTAGGTGTAATTATGACCTTATTGTTGTCTTTATTTGAAGATTGTGTATGATCTCAGGAGATGTGTGTGGGTTCAGGTTGACAAGGGGTGGACTTGTGATGGTTAATACTGAGTGTCAGCTTGATTGGATTGAAGGATGCCATATTGATCCTGCGTGTATCTGTGAGGGTGTTGCCAAAGGGATTAACATTTGAATCAGTGGGCTGGGGAAGGCAGACCCACCCTTAATCAGTTGGGCACCATCTAATCAGCCATGAGCCAATATAAAGCAGGCAGAAAAATATGAAGTGATGAGACGGGCCTAGCCTCTCAGTCTACATTTTTCTCCCCTGCTGGATGCTTCCTGCCCTCAAACATCAGACTCCTGGTTCTTCAGTTTTGGGACTCAGACTGGCTCTCCTTGCAGTAAGCTGGAGACTCAGGAGAGTTGAGTTGGAACTCTCAATTTCACTTCTAGGAACACTGATTAATTAGCCAAAGCCAGAGGTCTTCACGAGTCAGACTATTCTGATTGCTGCTTTGCCACTGCTGTCCATTACAGGAGCTATGCCCACCTTGCCTTTGATTGCTGAGTGCTGTCACTTGGCCCCTGTCACCTCGGGATCCAATTATTCCATTTATATTTAAATTTTGTAGTTGAGTGACTGTGGTTCCCACCATTAGATCTGACATACAGAGAAGAGCAATTACAGGGCTCTTCAAAAATGCAGGTGCTGCCCTCACAAATCTATTTCAGAAGGCATTGGTCAAGGGTATATCTTCTGGACCCTTCCAGCTGGGATGAGTAGGTCTAAGGTGACCACAATCCACTCCACCATCCCCATCTCCCTAAGTCTTTCCTCTACATTAAACCAAGGGAGATCAGGCATTTCCAGCTCACTCACAGTGGGCCATCTTTTAATCCATATTTTAGCTAACCACGCAAATAAACTATTAGAACCTTTTTTAACTCCCTGAGCTGAGCTGCAACATTAAATGCAGAGTCCCTACTTAGTGGGCCCAGATCAATAAATTCAGCCTGATCTAACTCTATGTTCTTTCCACCACTATCCCATACCCTTAATATCCATTCCCATGCCTGTTCTCCAGATTACTGTTTATATAAATTAGGGAACTCAAACAGTTCTTTTCGAGTGTAGCACACCTCCTCATGGGTCACATTCTCAACCTCACCTCTAGGGGCCTGCCAGGACTTTAGTATGGTTATAGGTTTAGAAGCAAACAGAGGGAAAAAAAAGAAGAAGAAGAAGAAGAAGAAGAAGAAGCAAACAGAGGTGTTGAGGGTAGCTTCTGAGGAGAATCAACATTATTTTGCTTGGCAACTGCCTCAAGGGCGGCCATCACTCTTGCCTCAGGCAGTGCAGGGTTTATCTCCTCAGACAAATGTGGAAAGGCTGATGGCAGGCAGCATGGGTCTGGGAGGAGATGTTACCACTACTGGGAATGGGGAAGCTGTTAATTCTGGCAAAAAAAGGTTTATCAGAGTTTACAAACTCAGAGTCTTCAGCTTCATCAGGGTCCTCCCACATATTCGCATCCCAAGTTGCGGGGCCCCATTCTTTCCCAGTCAATGCCCTCACTTTAACAGTAGACTGATGAGGCTGTGCATGAATCTTTTGTTGCAGGTCAGCCACTCACATGATAAGAGCTTGTGTCTGTTTTTCCACAGTTTCAGCTCTTTCTCTACAGGTGATAAGACTCTCACTCAGGGCAATCTTAGCAGATTTGAGGCTCAGTATCTTCTTCTGAAGCCGGGAGACAGAATTCTTGAGTTCATCATTTTCTTTAATCAGTTTGTCCACTGAACTTAGAAACAACCAACCAGCTTTATTATGTTCCTTGGTTCTCCACATATGGTCAAAGGTATTACGTATAGAGTCACTAAACTCCTTGCCTCTCCTGAGCAATGAATCAGGAGTGTCAAATGCATTTATTTTGCATAACTCTTTAAATAGTTCATGCCAAGGACTATCAGTGTTCTCCATACTATTAGAAATAGAGTCCTTAGCACTTTTGAGTCTAATCATATTAAGTAGCAAACTCCTGAAACTCCAAAACCAATGAAAGAACTCCATCCTTAAATCTGTATGAACCAGGGTTCTTTTAAAGGGACAGAACTAATAGGATATATATATCCTATTAAGTTAATACTTAATAAACTCCCTTTCTCATATATATATATATATATACACACACACACACACACACACACACATACACACAGATACATAGGTATAGAGCCTATCTATAGTGGGACCTTATGATTGTGTAAGTTAATACTTAATAAACTCCTCTTCATTAGCTTACACAATCATAAGGTCCCACAATAGGGTGTCTGCAAGCTGAGGAGCAAGGAGAGTCAGTCCAAATCCCAAAACTGAAGAACTTGGAGTCCAATGTTCAAAGGCAGGAAGCATCCAGTGTGGGAGAAAGATGTAGGCTGAGAGGCTAGGCCTGTTTTGTCACTTTACGTTTTTACGCCTGCTTTATATTGGCTGGCAGCAGTTGGTGACCACCTGACTAAGGGTAGGTCTGCCTTCCCCAGCCCACATACTCAAATGTTAGTCTCCTTTGGCAACACCCTCACAGACACAGCAGAATCAATATTGCATCCTTCAATCCAATCAAACTGACAATCAGTATTAACCATTGCAACAGGATAAATATATATAATAATCCTTATGTGAAGTGCTTGGAAGCAGAAATGTTGGATAATTTGGCTTTTTTCAGGTTTTAGAATATTTGCATATTTATAGTGAGATATCTTGGGGATGGGACCCAAGTCCTAATATAACATTTATTTATGTTTCATAGGTACCTTATTCACAAAGCTTGGAGGTAATTTTACACAATATTTTAATAATTTCACACATAAAGTTTGTGCACACTGAACCTGTCTAGCACCAGTGTCACTATCTCAGCCACTCATAGACAATCTATGGTTCTTTGGCATCACCATCATTCCTGATGTTGAATTTATATGCTACTGATAAGCAATTATTTTCTTACACTTATTCACTCATAATTAGTTAACAGTGAAAAATACAACATACTATTAACACAGTGAAAAAATAATGTGTTCAGGGAAACTACAGAGGCATCAGCAGAATACCTGTATCAGCTGTTAAGCAGCAACAGTCAACAATGGCAGGCTTTCAGTCTCCATCCATGATGCTGTATTTTGATTAAAAGGATACTGCACACTGGGTTTTATTTTTTAGGTGAGAATAAACACCAGAAGCTGTTAAGGGACCAGGAATTTAATTATCTAGGGATACTGAGGCATTCTGATGGATGGATTTTTAAAATGTTTCCTCCAGTCATCTGCCTCATTAACAACATTCTTGTTTTAGAAGTCTCTCTTTGGCTATATAAATTGACATGATTTCTTGTTCTGTTAAGAATGCATGCTGGTTGGGAATGACTGTATGTGGGAAAAATTTTTTAAGAGACAAGAAAGAAAGGAAGAAAAAGAAGAATGCGTGCTGGGCCTGGCGTGGTGGCATGCCTGTAATACCAGCACTTTGGGAAGCCAAGACAGGAGGATCATTTGAGGCCCAAAATTTCAGACCAGCCTGGGAAATAATAAAGTGAGATCCCATCTCTACAAATGTAAATAAAATAAAATAATAAAAAAGAAGGCACACTGCTCTAGTCTTTCAATAAGCTCATCACACATTTTTACCACATCACCTACAGGCACTTTTTCTACAGTGTTAACGCCATCTTCATCATCACTATTATCACAATTGCTTTGATTCAGAACTGTTTGACTATTTCACCACCACTCAATGAATGAACAACTGAAGCCTCATTACTGATGTTAAAAACGTCAATATTCACTTCTTCCAGCTTACTGATGGACTCTGAAAATATATTTTTTCTGTATGTAAGGAGGTCAGACATTATTTCCTTCTCACCTGACATATGGAATCCTTCAAAGTCATCACCTTGTCCATCATCATCCCTAAACATGAGTTTCAGGCCAGAGGTTGTGCCAGGCATGCACAACTGTGTCTTTGGTCACTGTGAGGCAAGCATTGGCAATAGAATATAAGGCGTCCCTCATGCTAATTTTTTTTTTTTTAATTTTTCACGTTCATGCCACTGTTCACTGCCACTCACATGCTGTTCAAGAAAGTGATTTTATATTTACTCTTTATAAATCTAAGGGTACCCTAATATGGCTAAATTAATGAAGTCATAGTTGGGGAGAAGTATATGATATAAACATTATTTTTTAATGAGAGTTTCAGATGTAGGATGAGCAGAGTCAAAAAATAACAAAATCTTGCGGTCATCATCCAGTTCAGCTTCCCTGCAGTAAGCACAAGTTGCTGGAACAAAATGTTAGTAAAACTAATCATAAAAGATGTCCCTGTTGATTCATCCCTTTTTCTTAGCATAATAATGGACTAATAAGACATTCCCTCTTTGAAAACAGTGAGGCCATAAGCTTTTGCCTGTTGTAGAAAATTTATACTTATGTGTGCCTACTGCATTAGCACATCCCAGCAGTTATTCTGTCCTTGGCATCCTTAGTTTCTGTAGAACCCTAATCAGTTGTAGTCAGTGCCTTTCTGGGACAACAACACGAGAACAATGATTTTGTTCTTCATTTGTTCATTGTTATCAAGAGAAACTATTTCTTAACCAACAGATTTATGCTTTATAGTTCAGGAACACAGGTCAGCGGAAAACTTCTAGGTAATTCAACCCAAAGAATTACCCTTCTAGGAAATTCAGCATCCCCACTTTTTTTTTTTTTTTTTGAGACAGGGTCTCATTCTGTTGCCCAGGCTGGCGTGCAGTAGTGCAATCATGGCTCACTGTAGACTTGACTTCCCAGGCTCAAGCAATCCTCCCAACTTAACCTCAACAAGTTCTTGGGACCACAGGTGCACACTACTATGCATGGCTAATTTTTTAAATTTTTGGTAGAGACAGGGTCTCCCTATGTTACCCAGGCTGCTCTTTAACTTCTGGGCTGAAATGGTCCTCCTGCTTCAGCCTCCCAAAGTGTTGGGATTATAGGTGTAAGCCACTGTGCCTGGTCTATTTATACATATTTTAGTTTTTTGTAGAGACGTGGTGTCACTATGTTGCCCAGGCTTATCTCAGACTCCTGAGCTCAAGCAGTCCTCCCACTTCGGCCTCACAAAGTGTTGGGATTACAAGTGTGAGCTACCACAGCCAGCAAGAAGTTCTTTATATTCCAATATCACTTTGTAGTCTGAAAGATACCAGCCTTCCTCATCTCCTCAAAATCTTTCATGGAATAATTATTTCTGTGGAAATCTGCACTTGTCTTCTTTCTTGGTTCAGCCACAGCTGCAAGCCTAAGGGATACAACAAATGCTCCAACAATATGAAATCACAGATGCTTGGCCAGAATATCACGCATCTGAAATTTTGTCAAAGCACTGAAAGCTACACTAGTTACTGTCCTTCATAGATATGTCAACCTCAACACCAACATCCTCCCTTGCTGACAGAGAAATGGACCACAACAGTTATTTATCATAAGCATTATAAACTTACCCTGGCATCAGATTTTCACCAGTGATGACGTTGGCAAATTTGTCATTGAATTTATCCACTGCTTCATGATCAATAGATGCTTTATCACCACAAATCTTTAAAAATTCAATGTCATGTCTTTTATTAAATTTCTGCAACCAGCCTGTTGAATATTTCTAGTTCCCTTTAATTTTCAGTTCGTCACAATAAATCTTTGCTTGTTTCATGATCTGTATACCACTAAGTGGCATGTGTTCATTGCAATGCTGATGTATGCATACTTTCAATCCACAATTGAGATCATCATTTCAGCTTTATGCAGTGTTTTTCTACTTTTTCATTAACTTCTGTTCATCACTTTCACCGTAGAACTTCAACAGTTTCTCCTTCTGTTTCTTCAGGTCACATATGGTGGTCATTTCCACTCCATACTCTTCTGTAAGACATTTCACACTTATGTCACTGTCCAGTTCCTATAGATAAACATAAATGCTTTCTTCCTTGTTTCTTACCACTATTACCCATAGGGGTATCTGCAGGCCTTTTTGACATTTATAAAAATAATTTTATACTGCAGAGCAGAGAATAAGCAAAAACCAAACAAAAACCCACAGTGAGTAATGCATGTAAATCTCAGCCCCAAGCAAAGCATTGTGGAGGACCTGCCGTTGGTGCATCCAGCCTGCACATGTATCAATTTATTACCCTTTGTGTGTGTGCTTACATAGGGGAATTTGTGCATGTGCAGAAAAAACATATGGCAGCTGAAGGGGACTGGGAGGGTCTTTTTTTCCTTGAGGATGCTGAATCAACTGTGTGTTGTACAACGTGCATTTTGACCACGACCCATCGCGTGATGTCTGCTGTAAAATTTTCCACTTGTAGCATCATTAGAGATCAAAAAGTTGCAGATTTTGGGACCTTTCAAATTTCAGCTTTTCAGATTAGGGATGTTCAACATATGTATATTTATACATATATATGTTGAACGTCATATATATATATTAAGGATGTTGAAGCATCCTTAATATATATAAAGGATGTTCTATATATATATGAATATATATAAAGGATGTTCTATATATGAATATATATAGAAGGTACATATATAGATATAGATATATAGAGAGGATATATATATATATAGAGAGATATATATCTTTGAAGAAGCCTGACTTATACAATATTATATGTTTAATTACTATTTGGTGAACTGAGTTGATCTTTCAAAATGGAGAAGCTTTTAATAACACTTATCAACTTTGTCTTTGTCCTGCTGCCTTTTGAAACACAAAAGATTTTTGACATTTAATATGTCCCCAAGTAAGTCACACCAAATCCTATTGTCGAACAGACTTAAATGAGCAAAATGTCTCCCCAACTCTCTGAGAGTTCTTTAAGAGGGACAATTCTTGATGGATTTTAAACATTCACCTCAGAACAATAGGTTTAGAGTCTCAAATTGAACTTCTCTCTTTGATCCTCAAATCAGTTTCTGATGGAGAAATGCAACTCTGGTTTTGAATGGAATAAGCTAAAACATCAAAATAACTTTTTGGACATTAAACAGCTGTTTTTTGAAATTCCGTAATTTAATTATAAGTCAGTAAGACACATGTGGATTAAATTTTCTTATAATACAGAAGGTTTGAAAAAGTAAGGGAACCTGGTTTGGGTTTGATTAACTGAAAAACATTTGCAACCCAATGCCTATCTCCTTCCTCCACATCTTTTCCTGAAAGTATTCTTGCAAACTGCTTTACCCTCATGAACACAGCATATAGAAGAGTCATGCTGTGAATGTGAAAGATATTGAAATCAGCCCTAGGAGTAGTTGGTTCTGAAATTTAATGAAGCTCGAACTAGTCACTAGGCACAATTTCTAAAAGTCTCCTTTCTGATAACTTCATACCACCAAAAGTTATTAGGCTGTTTTTGAATTACTTTAAAAGGCTACAGTAACCAAAACAGCATGGTACTGGTACCAAAACAGATATAAAGACCAATGGAACAGAACAGAGGCCTCAGAAATAACGTCACACATCTACAACCATTTGATCTTTGACAAACCTGACAAAAACAAGCAATGGGGAAATGATTCCCTATTTCATAAATGGTGGTGGGAAAACTGGCTAGCCGTATGCAGAAAACTGAAACTGAACCCCTTCCTTACACCTTATACAAAAATTAACTCAAGATAGATCAAAGACTTAAATGTAAGACCTAAAACCATAAAAACCCCTAGAAGAAAATAGGCAATACCATTCAGGACATAGGCATGGGCAAAGACTTCATGACTAAAACACCAAAAGCAATGGCAACAAAAGCCAAAATTGACAAATGGGATCTAATTAAACTAAAAAGCTTCCACACAGCAAAAGAAACCATCATCAGAGTGAACAGGCAACCTACAGAATGGGAGAAACTTTTTGCAACCTATCCATCTGACAATCTAATATCCAGAATCTACAAAGAACTTAAACAAATTTACAAGAAAAAAACAAACAACCCCATCAAAAAGTGGGCAAAAAATATGAACAGACACTTCTCAAAAGAAGATACTTATGTGGCCAAAAAATATATGAAAAAAAACTCATCATCACTGGTCATTAGAGAAATGCAAATCAAAACCACAATGAGATACCATCTTATGCCAGTTAGAATGGCAATCATTAAAAAGTCAGGAAACAACAGATGCTGGAGAGGATGCAAAGAAATAGGAATGCTTTTACACTGTTGGTCAGAGTGTAAATTAGTTCAACCATTGTGGAAAACAGTGTGGCAATTCCTCAAGGATCTGGAACCAGAAATACTCTTTGACCCAGCATTCCCATTACTGGGTATATACCCAAAGGATTAGAAATCATTCTACTATAAAGACACATGCACACGTATGTTTATTGCAGCACTATTCACAATAGCAGAGACTTGGAACCAACCCAAATGCCCATCAGTGATAGACTAGATAAAGAAAATGTGGCATATATACACACCATGGAATACTATGCAGCCATAAAAAAGGATGAGTTCATGTTCTTTGCAGAGACATGGATGAAGCTGGAAACCATCATTCTCAGCAAACTAACACAAGAACAGAAAGCCAAACACCACATGTTCTCACTCATAAGTGGGAGCTGAACAATGAGAACACCTGGATACAGGGAGGGGAACATCACACACTGGGGCCTGTCGACAGGTGGGGGGCTAAGGGAGGGATAGCATTAAGAAAAACACCTAATGTAGATGACAGGTTGATGGGTGCACCCAACCACCATGGCACGTGTATATCTATGTAACAAATTTGCACGTTCTGTACATGTATCCCAGAACTTAAAGTGTAATTAAAAATAAAATAAAAAATAAAAAAATGCAAAAAAAATGCTTTTTGCAACACGATTTTATTGAAGTTTGGACCTTTATTTCTAAATGTAATATTATTCCTAGGTTTACAAACCGTTTGATCATTATTTATTTTGAGGGTAGTTATTTCACTCCATGAGAAAGAACCTCTACAGTTTCTTTCAAGCATAGTTTACTTTCTAGGAGAGAAAAAAAAGCACTGTTGTTAAATCCCAGTAAAGGCAGCAAATGTACATTCAAATGTCCTTCTCTGAGATAGTTACATTACTATGAGAATTGTGAACTCTGATTTTGGAAAAGAGACAGTTCATCAGGTCTTGACTTTGGAGACAAGATTCACACTGCAATTATTTAATGTACTCTTTCTCTCATTTTTATTTACATATTTAAATTATACATCTCTATTTATGAAACTATAATTGATAAAAATGAGGGGTTTTTGGTGGGGAGAGGGGTAAGTTGTCTATTACATTTCTTTTAAGGGCCTAGAAATTAGTCCAAGTGAAGACATAATTTCATCCATGATCAAGTCAGCAATGAATTGGTGAAAGGTCACATAGGGTAACCAGGAGATCTGGAGGGTCCCAGGGTACACATGACTGTGCAAGCTCACCACCAGACCACTGTGGTCTGCTCTCTGCAGAGACATCCTGTGGTTAGCTGAGTCAATAACTGAAGTTCTCAAAACTTCTTCCCCAACAAAAATAATGAGCTTTAATAAAATTGTACTTACTGTTATGCAAAGAATGAGACAGGAAAAGAGAATCAATTGAAGGGAATGCATTGTTAGACTTACCACTGCACTGCCATCAACAAGAAATTATTGAGTACCTATTATGTGAAGGGTCCTTTGGATATCGAGTATACAGTGTAGTTCATACCTGTACAGAACTTTCACTTTTGTCTAGGAGATGATGACATGTTTTCTCTGTTCTTCTCTCTTTCTTTGTCATTCTCTCTCTCTCTTTTCTACATATATAGAGAGACATATAGCACAAATATACATGTGTACATATAAAAAAACACACATAAAAACTTGACAAAATAAAGCAGCTTATAAGAAATACCCTAAAGTTGTACAAGCAATAACCATTCCATAAGTTTAGAGAAGGGTCTGTGCCTGTTTTTATTGTTGTTTTCAGGATAGATGTAGAAGAGAAACAAAAGACATGAGGAGAAAGAGAGAAAAAAAAGAAGAAACTCCCCAGGATCATATGTTTTTTAGATGTCTCTGTTATAGATGACTAGAGTCTAAACTAAGGTATAACTGTGAGAATAAGCACAGAAAGGCATGACTTTTTGAGGCATTTTGAAAATACAAAACTACAGTTTTCATGCTTTTATTGTTCCTTCCCTAGAGCACTTTCCCCAACCACTCATCTACAGAACTGCTTTTCAATTGGCAAAGACTAGATTTATTTTTTTTCCAATTCATCATGGACTAATAGTTTTATAAACTACAATAAAAGTAAATTAGTAGAAAAATGAAATAAAAATAAATACTTTCAAAATAAAGCCCCAATATTTTATTATTAAATTCATCAAGCATAAGGTTACATTTTTAGTAAATATAATAAGAACAAGCCTAATGTGGGTAAAAACACAAAATACAATAAAAAATGGTAAATACGGCCTGGCACGGTGGCTCACACCTGTGATGCCAGCATTTTGGGAGGCTGAGGTGGGCGGATCATGAGGTCAGGAGATCGAGACCATCCTGGCTAACATGGTGAAACCCCGTCTCTTAATAAAAATACAAAAAATTAGTTGGGCGTGGTGGCGGGCACCTGTAATCCCAGCTACTCGGGAGGCTGAGGCAGGAGAATGGCGTGAACCCGGGAGGCGAAGCTTGCAGTGAGCCGAGATCGTGCCACTGCGCTCCAGCCTAGGCGACATAGCGAGTCTCCGTCTCAAAAAAAAAAAAATGGTAAATACTGTTCATTAAAAGTGTGTATATAGGCAGTACATATGGAAAATTGCTACTCTACTCATAACTTTTTTGATTTGCTATCATGACTAAACAAAACTTAGTGAAATGGTGACTCCCAACAATAAAAGCCTTTAAACACACTTTAAACAAACATAGTGTGTATTGATACTTAAAGTTTTTAGCATGACAAATGAGTTTGTTTTTTGCCTCTTAATTCGTCTAATCTAGGTTGAATTGATGACAACTCTGCTTGCAGAAGATAATATATATTTAACTGCTTCTATGTTTTATCAGTATTACATTAATAGTAGAGACAGCATCTTAGAGGATGCTGATATGAATGAAAAAAAGGTCATTCAGTACATGCAGAAATTTTCATTTTTAACTGATCAAAATGAAACAAGGGACATTGTATTTTTAAAATTCATAATTACTTGTGCATTAGTAACCAGTTTCAGTAATTTTTCCTGTAGAGTTACGGTTAAATTTAAATTAGCTTTTAATGAAAGAAATAAATTTTGGATTATGTACACATTTGGCTTACAGTTGACAAACTAAAATATTCCAAGTTGGAACATGGTTCTATTGTGCATAGTACTTCTACATAGCTCACGCCACCAGCAACAGGAGTGTGATGGCCTCTACTCTTTTTACCTAGTTATCTAACACACACAACAATTATTACAGCCACGCCAAACTGCTATAAAAGTTTCTAACACCTAATCTCAGTGTGTGCGTTTTTCTTTTTGCAGACAGTGAATAAACAACATTTAGACTGCACCATTCCACGGATCACAATCCCACCCCACTTCCCAGCTTCTATTGGTCTCTGATTCATCTGCCTGTGTATTTCCTTCATAATCCTTTCTTGTTTTGTCTTGTAATAATCATTTATCTGTTAATCTTTACATATTAGTTTTCCCCATTAACATGTACTCTCATTAGGCTGGGCACAGTGGCTCACACCTGTAACCCCAGCACTTTGGGAGGCCTAGGTGGGAGGATTGCTTGGGTCCCGGAGATTGAGGCTGCTGTGAGCCATAATTGCACCACTGCACTCTAGGCTGGTCAATGGAGTGAGACTCTGTCTCAAATAATTTTTTTTAAAGTACCTTCATTAGAACAAGGGCAATGTCTATTTTGTCACAATTGTGTTTCTAACACCTTGCATAGGTGCCTTTCAAGCACATGAAGGACTAATTGAATACTGAATGAATTAATTAGGAATCAGTTTAAAACCACAAACTCAGTCAACAAAGGATGACAATGGTGTGGAAGAAGGGGTAAAGGGTGGAAACTAACATATGTAAGACTTTATCACATGCCAAGCCTTATGTTAGGTACTTTCCTTTATCTTGTTTCATTCTTAACCTAAACCTGTGAAACAGATGTTATTATCCCTGTTTTACAGATAAGGGAATTGAGGTTCAGAGAGGTTAAGGAACTTTCATGAGGTCACATAGTAAATGACAGAGTTGGAATCTGAAGCATTTTGGCTCCAACACTGACAGCATTTGCTGAGTGATCACATGTGTATAAGACTCTGGGAAGAGGGGTAATGAATCATACACACACACACCCACACACAAAAGTAGGAAACATGAAGGAGGAACATTCTTGGATTAGAAAAGGAAAAAATATGGGTTCAGTTTTGGCAGATTGAGTTTTTGATGGAACCATTTGCATGGAAATCTGGAATTGGAGTGAAGGTTCTGAGATGAAGATAAAGACCCAGGAATGGAGTTGCTATGATGTGTATAATTGACTTTCAAACACTTCCACACATATAGTGTGATATTTTATGTAGAATTAGATTAAGCTATAAGCTAGATGCTGCCCATCTCTAATTAAGCATGCACAGTTCAAGAGGAATAGTTGACTCTCACTCAAATACCCTGTACTCCAGAGACACTCCTATTAGTATAAGCAATTTTGTTTTCTGGATCTCCATCAAAACCAATTCTTTGATTATTCTTATAGTAACTCCAGAGGCCCTTCTATTAGTATAAGCAATTTTGTTTTCTGGATCTCCATTGAAACCAATTCTTTGATTATTCATTTTTGTTTGTTTGTTTTTTTGAGATGGAATCTCGCTCTGTCACCCAGGCTGGAGTGCAGTGGCGCAATCTCGGCTCACTGCAAGCTCTGCCTCCTGGGTTCACGCCATTCTCCTGGCTCAGCCTCCCTAGTAGCTGGGACTACAGGGGTCCGCCACCACGCCTGGCTAATTTTTTGTATATTTTTTGGTAGAGACGGGGTTTCACCGTGTGTTAGGCAGGATGGTCTCAGTCTCCTGACCTCATGATCCACCCGCCTTGGCCTCCCAAAGTGCTGGGATTACAGGTGTGAGCCACCACGCCCGGCTCTTTGATTATTCTTATAGTAATTGTTAGAAACAGGTATTTATTGGTGTAATGAGTGACTTTTAATTATTGCTATGAAATGTGCTTCCAGTGAAAGTTAAGCTACAAACAATGTGTTAGAAACACTCCCTTTCTATCCCTATGAATGCATGAACAGAGGATAAGAAAGAAGCAAGGCCAAAAGCCTATACTCTCAGGGATGATGCCACAGGTGAGTGTACACTATGAAACTGGGAGACTCTGATTGTCAGATGCTGATGATAGAGGTGACAGAACCACTACCTCTGGAATCTTGGTATTTCCTCAGGCCTGCAGAACAGGTTGCACAAATTGTTTCTTTTGTGATTATATTCTAATAAATATTTAGATAATAAATGTTTGATGCATGTAGCAGAATTTGGTCTGGGACTTGCTTTCATAATCACCAGGTAATGATAGTGGAGTGTAGCTAACTCCCACTTTCCTCAAAACTTCTGCACCTACAGTAATCTACTAAAAAGAACCTAGGAGTTGTATTTAGGTCCACTTGCAACAAGAGTTGTCCACATACGGTTGATAAATGAAATAACTCAGGAAGAGTATGAAGAATGAGAAGACCACAGGACAGATACCGGAAAACAGTCAGTATTTAGAAATCTGGGAGAAAGGAGAGTCCATAAAAAAGACTGAAAAGTAATCAAAAGAAGAGGAGGAGGGGGAGAGCCGAAAGTAAGTTGTTGCCAAACTAAAGGGCTTAAAAACTTCAAGGTATGGGTAATGAGCAGTTTCAAATTCTTCAGAAAAGTCTAGTAACACCCAGACTGAAATTTTTTTAAATCCAGATTTTTAACTATTAGTACTTGGCTGATGACCTCAGTGAGAGCTGAACCAAGGTAAAGGGCAGATGTAAGCACTGAAGCCAGGTTTCAGGACATTACATAGTGAACAGGCAGTAAGGAGATGAAAACAATGAGTGGGACTTGAGTACGTAATGGAAGAGAAAGAAGTAAGGCAAAATAGGGCATAAATACAGAAGTGGCTGCTACTTGCATTTTCTTTTAAGATCAGAGAATCTTGAATATAAGTTGAAGATGCATTTGAAAGAAAATCTAATACGTGGAGCAAGAATTGAAAGCAGAAAGTAGATGGGCCAAGAAGACAGGTGGGGGAATCAACCGAGAATATGAATAGAGATTTAAGTAAGATTGAGCTGGAGTAGAGTTTTGAGTTCATCCTGACAGTTTTCAGTTTCACTGCAAGGAGGCAGAGCAGAGGGAGGCTTACTGTGCTAAAATGTAGAGACAGGAAAGAAGCAGCACAAAATAGTAATAAGGATTTGGGATAATGGAGATGAGAAAGCATTTCTTTGAAAAGCTGGATTCCTTGATGCCCTCATTGATTCATCACACTGATTCTGCCCTTTAAAAGAATGCAGAGACCACAATTTATTTATTTATTATTATTAATTTTGAAAGACAGAGTTTCATTCTGTTTCCCAGGCTGGAGTGTAGCAGTGCAATCTTAGTTCACTGCGGCCTCAAATTCCCAGACTTAACCAGTCCTCCCCCCTTAGCCTCCCAAGTAGCTGGGACTACAGGCATATGCCACCATACCTGGCTAATTTTTTATTATTTATCATTAATAAGGATTTCATAGAGACAACTGATAGAGAACACATTTACTGCCTAAACTGTCTTGCTTTGGATTTCCTGAGCATCCAGCTCCCAACCAAAGGCAATTATTAATGTGCTGTTTAGTTTGTATCTTTCCAAAAGTGATAAAAATCTAAATCTTTATAAGATCAATGGTTATAGCAGTATAAACACTACTAAATCATAAACATTTATACCTTATCATAATAATATATCATTTATTTAATAAATAAATATATATATATCTATTTATCTAATATATATAATACATATAAATTTATTCCTATAAATTTCTTTTTTTTTAGAGATGGGGTTTTGCTAAGTTGCCCAGATTGGTCTCAAACTCCTGGCCGCAAGTGATCCTCCTGCCTCAGCCTCCTGAATAGCTGGGACTACAGGCACACAACACCATGCCTGGCTAGTTTTTTTTTTTTGGTAGAGTTAGGGTCTCCCTGTGTTGCCCAGGCTGGTCTTGAACTCCTGGCCTCAAGAAATCCTGCCACCTTGGCCTCCCAAAATGCTGGGATTGTAGGTGTGAGTCATTGCACCCAGCCTATTCCTGTAAAACTAGCATACAGAAAGAAATGTTGTATTTAAATTAGTGAAAAAGTTATTTCTATCTACAGCATAGAATTATAAATTCTCACTATCTTTGATCAGAAGGGAACTCAGAAATAAGCAGGCCAAATGTCATTTTATTTATTTTTTGTCATCATAAAATAAAGCACTTCTTGGAAAATACTAATACGTGTACTGTGCTTGAAATATTTGAAGGATATTCTAGAGTTGTATTAAAGTCTGTTGCCTACAACAGAATTTTATGTTTGGGACACATTTAGAATCTATGTATCATCTTTGGAAAAAGATCTGAATATATGTTTCTTATGTTTACTCCAGCAGAATACTGCCATAATACCTTCAGATCTTTCCTCTCTTGGAGAGGCACTGTGTCCTTAGCTGCTACTCAGCATCCTGTTTATAGCTGACATCCTTATGAACCTGGAGGTATTGTGCTTCCCACATCACAGCAGCAGACACGTGTGCATGCCCTAACATCCTGTATGAAAAGCATTTGAGTTTCTAACATCACAACACTATGTTCTGCAAATCTGTGGGAGAATTCTCTCAAAGGAGTTCAAACAAATAGCCATCACACCTTTTTGAAGTTCATAAAAACCTTTTTGATTTTCAAAGACTTTCCCAATAAAGAAACAATAGAGGCTAGAATTTTCACACAATCATTTGACTAGAGTTTGTTAGAGGTAGACTAACACAATAATTGTTTTGCCATAACTTAACATTTACACCAGTTAATTGTCTTTATTGGAGAGTTGAAAAGAATGCAAAAACAACAACAACAACAAAATGGAAGGGCAATGATCTAATTTTATTGTTTTTCATTTCCTTCAAGCGAAGTGTAGAAACCCCTATGTTCATTTAGGGGGAGGAAACAAAAAAGATGAACGTAAATATCCTGGAAATGTTTTTCAACACAAATTACAGAAATATCATCAAAAACTACTACACTATATCCACAAACTCTCACAGATTTCCTGCACTGACTCCAATACAAGGACAAGTTGTTTCTAACCCATACTTTTGACATACAAAAGAAGTAGTTAACACCTTCAGTAAATTATAACTTATTTTGGGCTCCTTAAACCAAGAAACTAAATGAGATTGTGACTCTGATAATATGCCTTTACTAAAGCATTGTTTGCAACTTCTTCCCTCTAAGTATCGGGTCCTAGAAAGAAACATGAAGCCACAGACCTGCAATGAGAGGAAATAAGTCATCGTTACTCTAAAATTAAAGTACCTATTCCTGCTTTACAGTTTATCAGATGTTTGGTCCGGATGCTGATTGTTTTAAAACTTTGTCTAAACAAAGTATATTTCCTAAAGGATATTAGCAAACCAATTGCTTGCCTCTAGTGACAACGTACTAAATTTTATTAACATAGGAAAGATAAATGAGTAAACAGACACAGTGCTAGTCAGTATGCGTTTTTCCCAAGAAAGCTAAAGTCAGGAAAGAATATAACTTATACTCTTTACTGTAACTTATTAATTATCAGTCATAACCAAGATCTACCTAGTGCTAAGTTCTTGGAAGTGAGAAACACTACCTTCCTGATAGGAAGCATAAAATTACCTTTTTTTTTCCTAGTTCCTGATAAGATTATGTATCAGTGGCCAAAATCTTATGAACTTGATCAAATGAATTTCAGAATGTTCACTAATGTTCACTCATTCTCTCAGTACCCTGTACCCTATCACTTCTTACACATACTTGTGGTTTGATTTTCTTAGCGAAGAACAACTTTTAGCGATGGAAACTTGTCTAAGCCACGATGTTTATTTTCTCAAGTTTTTTTTTTGTTGTTGTAAATTGAAAAGGAATCCACTTTTCTGGATTGAAGTTTTTGCCTTTGGGGATTACAACAGCTTTGCTCTATTTTTTTCCTTTTAATTTTTAAGTTCCCCATACTTTCAGCCTCTTCCTGAATAAAGAATAATTATCTGACTGAAATTTATTTTCAGCACACGACCAAAACAGAAATCTTTTGAAGAAGCTCAAAATAACACAGGAAATACTGATGGCTAATAGCTCAGACTCCTACAGCTATTTAGATTTGCAGAAGAAAATTAAATCAATCAGTGTGTGTAGTAAGGGCTTTTAAGATATTTTTAATGAAATAGAAATTAGCCGATCCATTAGGTAAACACGGCAATCTGGAATGTATTTAGGTAAATTGGAGATGGAGATTAGTTCATAGGTCAGGAAAACACCATTAGTATTTTGGAGTTGTCTTGAGGAAATGTGTCTTTCAAAGCACTGATTGTGCAATGGCAGCTGAGTCACTTAGGAAATTATGAGCCTGAATCCTGTGAGATGCCATCAGGTCCAATAAATATTATGCTTTTCTTCTCCCATCTCTTTCAACGCATCTGCATAATCTTGGTTTGAAGGTCATCCAGCTGTACTATGAGTAACCTTTGCTAATCTTTCCTATGAATAATTTTAGTTTTCCTCTTTTTAGTTAATAATCCATGCAGAATTTTGGTTTTTTGTTCACTCTGGTTTACTGTATCGTCTGATGAGGCAATGGTCACACAACTTACAATTTAAGAGTTTCAAATGGACCCGCAGCCCCGGAGTCAAAGCTGGTTCCCGGCCCAGTCCCTTCTGGCAGCAACCTGCCTCCTCTTTCCTTTCAAGGACTTCCTGGCAGGTAGAGTGGCCACGGCCATCTCCAAGACGGAGGTTGCTCCCATCAAGCGGATCGAGCTGCTGCTGCAGGTACAGTGTGCCAGCAAGCAGATCACCGCAGATAAGCAATACAAGGGCATTATAGACCATATAGGTCCGTATTCTCAAGGAGCAGGGAGTCCTGTCCTTCTGGCGCAGTAACCTGGCCAATGTCATCAGATACTTCCCCACCCAGGCTCTTAACTTTGCTTTCAAAGATAAATAAAAGCAGATCTTCCTGGGTGGTGTGGACAAGAGGACCCAGTTTTGGCGCTACTTTGAAGGGAATCTGGCATCAGGCAGTGTTTCTGGGGCCACATCCTTGTGTTATGTGTACCCTCTTGATTTTGCCCATCTAGCAGCCGATGTGGGTAAAGCTGGAGCTGAAAGGGAATTCCGAGGCCTCAGTGACTGCCTGGTTAAGATCTACAAATGTGATGGGATTAAGGGCCTGTACCAAGGCTTTCACGTGTCTGTGCAGGGTATTATCATCTACCGAGCTGCCTACTTCAGTATCTATGACACTGCAAAGGGAATGCTTCCAGATCCCAAGAACACTTACATCATCATCAACCGGATGATCGCAAAGACTATCACTGCCATTGCTGGGTTGACTTCCTATCCATTTGACACCATTGGCTGCCACATGATGATGCAGTCAGGGTGCAAAGGAACTGACATCATGTACACAGGCATGCTTGACTACTGATGGAAGAGTGCTAGAGAAAGATTGCTTGTGTTGAAGGAGGCAAAGCGTTTTCCAAGGGTGCATGGTCCAATGTTCTCAGAGGCGTGGGTGGTGCTTTTGTGCTTGTCTTGCATGATGAAATCAAGATGTACACATAAGTTATTTCCTAGGATTTTACCCCCTGTGAACAGGCATGTTGTATTATGTAACATATCTTGAGCATTCTTGACAGATTCCTGGCTGTCAATTTATCAGTGGCAACTATTTACTGGTTGAAAATGGGAAGCAATAATATTCATCTGACCAGTTTTCTCTTAAAGCCATTTCCATGACGATGAAGATGGGACTCAATTATATTTTTTATTTCAGTCACTCCTGATAAATAACAAATTCAGAAAAGGAAAAATACCTAAAATTAAAAAAAAAGTTTCAAAAAAAGAAAAAGAGAGAGAGAGAGAGTGTGTGTGGGTGTGTTTTCATTCATTCAATTATCCTGGCTGCTAAAATAAGCTAGGAGTAGCTATAAGTCATTGTAGTCAGGAAAATATCTTTTTCTTACAAGGGTATGAAATGGTTTACAGTATGATTTTTGAAGCATTAATAGTTGATAAGATTTATATAAATGGTATCATACACAGAAGGCAAATGTTTTTAAATATTTTTTAAGTGGGACTAATGTTGTAGTATGAGAAAAAGAGCCCGAACTGTTAGGCAAAAAAGAGAAAAATGTCTGCAGAATTGTTAACATACAGTTCTCAGGCTACTTGGAAAACGCCTCTCACTTTGAAACGTAGTTTATGACTAAATAGTCTTTTTTCCTTTTTTATTTTTTTAACTTAACTAGAATTTAGGTTGAGTTCTAGTACTGAATAAAACAACTCAGATCGGTTTTTAATATTTCTTGTTTTATTTGATACTTTAACCATAATACTGGCCTTTGATATTAGGCTTTAAGCCCTTCATCTAGACTCCGTCATAATGCTAACAGGCAAAAGGTTGATTCTTACACATGCCATCCAGTCAACTGCTAAGCAATTACTAAATACCTGTTGTGCATACTGCATTAACGCCTTGAAAATTGTGTGTAAAGGAAGTAAAAGACACTGTCCTATCTTTGAGGAATTGCTAAACTCTTTGGCATGAAATAATGAGTGGCTTTTATTGCCTCTTCTTCCTCCAACCAGCTCTTAAATACTGCTTATATTTACTTCATTTTTGCCAGCATCTTCTGTGAGCATTTGTATCATTTCCCACCAAGACCAGTGCCGTGGGCTCCAATTACCACATGTAAGCTAGCGTGTCCAAAATTTCTGTTTCTGGTCCCAAAACCTTGCTCAAACATCAGAGTTACACTTTCTTTTGTTTTCTGGATAAATCCGTACACATCTACCAAAACTTCTTCAGAAATTGCAAGTTAATTTATATTCTCTATTATCTCCTCCACTTGGTATCTTCTGCTTTTTTTTTTTTTTTTTTAGAGGGAGTCTTGCTCTGTCATCCAGGCTGGAGTGCAGTGGCACGATCTTGGCTCACTGCAACCTCCACCTCCCAGGTTCAAGCAATTCTCCTGTCTCAGCCTCCTGAGTAGCTGCAACTACAGGTGAGTGCCACCACGCCCAGCTAATTTTTGTATTTTTAGTAGAGACAGGGTTTCACCATATTGGTCAGGCTGGTCTCAAACTCCTGACCTCAAGTTATCTGCTCGCCTCGGCCTTCCAAAGTGCTGGGATTACAGGCGTTGAGTCACTGCGCCCAGCCATCTTCTGCTTTTTAAAAGTCTGTTAGTGGCTCACAAAATCAGGGAATTTGGAATTCTCCTTCTCACTCACATCATCATTAAGATCTGCCCAGTCTCCCTCCAAATATCTCTTTATTAAAGTTCCAGAGCAGTTAAGTTTATGTTAACTGCTAGGGTAGCCTTACTTAACTGGTCTCTCTTCTAGTAGCTTCCCTCTTCCATTCACCAATCTGTATTATTTTTCTAAAATTCATATGTGATTACTCCTGTAACTCTCATGGTAAAAAGGAAAAAAAAAAGAAACCTTTAATGGTTCCCATATGCCTACAGAAAATATCCCAAAATCTTTATCATATTATAAAGTATCTTTTCTGCCTAGCAACGATCTGTACTTCCAACCACTTTTCCTAGTCTCTCTTTTCCCAAAGGCTTTCCCTGCTTCCACACTACAGAGTCTCAATTTTTGGAGCACCTTAGAATTATGTGCAGTTTTATAAAAATGCAGATTCCAAGACTCTAGAACCAGAATCTCTTTAGCAGAGCATGTGAACCACTCATTTTTACTATTAACCTGCCCTAGAATTCCCTCACAGAGCTCATCCCCCACCCTACTTGTTGTTCCAGCAAATTTCCACTTATGCTTTAAGGTCTTGCTTGTTTTTTTTCTACATAACTCACACAGTAGAAATCACTCTAAGTCATTCTGCTTATGGAACTCTAAATGTTATTCAAATATATAGATTTATAAATTATTTTTGTTAAAACCACACTTCTCATTCCCCCTCCTCTTTTATGTTTCCCCATAATATTTAGTGTCATCTGACGTGTTATATATTTTACTTATTTATTTTCTTATGTTTGTCTCCTGCCACGAGAATGTACACTTCAGTAGATAGAGATTTTCAACTCCTTATTCAATGACAAATGTCAAACATACAAAAAAGTTTAAAGTTTTGTACAATGAACCATCTTATGAACCCTCATCATGCAGAGTCAATAATTGCTAACATGTTGTCACTATTTGCTTCATCTATCTATCCAGAAATAGATATAGCTGCAAACTCTCCCATTTTATAAAATAAGTACAGATAATACCTTCTAATTATGTGCAATTTTTTCACAAATACAACCACTTATTCACAAAGGAGAACTCAAAAAAGATTTAAGAGTTTGGGTTTTTGTTTCTTTGCTTTTTAAATAGAGACAGTCCAGGCTGGTCTCGAACTCTTGACCTCAAGCAATTCCCCTGCCTTGGCCTCCCCAAAGTGCTGGTATTACAGACAAGCCACCAGACCGGGACAAAAGGGTTAATTTGAATGTGTTTCTTCTGTTGAAGAAGACTATAAACTCTAGGAAACAAACATTTCTTTCCTGAATCATTTGATAGTAAATTGTATACTTCTTGAGAGTTCTTTCCTAAATACTTCATCATGTATTTCTTAGGAATAACATTTTCTATATAACCACAACAATTTTGACACCTAGAAAATCAAAATAACCCCTTCCTCCATTATCAAATTTTCCTAATTTTCAATCATTAAGATTTCTGTATGTTTTTTCTCTGCTATATTCCCAACAGCCTGAACAGTCATTGGCTCATAGTAAGTCTTAAATAAATAATTTTTAAATTGGTAGATCTGTATCTCTGATTAAACTGAGTTTCCTGAAGGCAGAAACTATGACCTTTTTGTCCCAAGTCCCTAGCATAGTGCCTGGTATATGGTAGGAGCTTCATTAAATGTTTGTATAATTTAACTGACAGGAAGGACACATTGTATTAATTATAGTTATAAGAGTTGAGGTGACATAGAATTAAGGCATAATCAGAGAGGAAATAATTCAGGAAAAGAAAAGGAAGCTGATGTTTCTGAGAAGAATTTACATCCAAGTCTTAAAGGAAATGGTGTCATCCAGCATGGCACAGAGGAAATCTCTTTTCCACAGATACAGATAATCTTTTCTGACTTCTTACAAATAAGAGAAGATCTTTGTCACAAAGGAGAACCTGTGAGACAGAAAGAAGGCTCAGTTTCTGTCACTACTGTTGAAGACAGCTACTCAAGACCATGAAATAAGTAACATTGTCATGGACAAAAGATGGCAACATTTTCAGAATATATTGTATCAAACCATATAGCATAACCTAAAATTAAAATATGCTATTGATTTTGATTGTCTTTCTTTAATCGATTTCTTTATAATATCCAATTACATGAGTTTTTTGTTTGTTTTTTTTATGTTTTGTGGATCCTACGCTGAACTAGGAGGCAGAAAAAAATCTAGGATGTAACTCTGGTCCTGCCTACGGAAAGATGGGTAGCTTTCTGTCATCACTGCTCTGGGTCTTGGTTTCTTCTTTTTTAAAATAAAGAAGCTGAATTGGAATCAATAGTTTATAAACTGTATTACTAATAAAACCCTTTTTATGCTGCAATTTTTTATGGGTCATGTTGTCAAAATTCAAAATGAAAAAAAAGACAAGTGAAAAGTATTGCTCCTACTCCTGAACCTCAACAATCTAGTCCCACATGTTGAATACACTAAAGCTCCCAATTTTTTTGTGTAGTTTCTGAGGGACATTGTAAGTATAAATAGAAAATGTATTTATAAAATATATATGCATATTTTGTTTTTTAATGAAAATGAGGGGTAGGTTATTCATACCATTCTATGCTCTGCTTTTTACATTTCACGACATATCTTGGAAATTCTGTCAGTATGTAGATTACCCATCTTCTTTTGAAGTTGCATAATATTCCATCCACAACTATTTATTTTGCCAGTTCCCTATGAGTAGACACATTGTTTCAATCTTTTGTAATTATAAATGATACTTCAATGAATAATGTGTATATAAATCATTTACAGAACTATATTTGTAGAATAGAGCCCCAGAATTGGAACTGCTGGATTAAATAATATGTGCATTTATAATTTTTATTCTTGACAAATAGAGGTTTTTTCAATTTATATTCTCAGTAGAAATGTAAAAAAAAATACAAAACCTCATGTTTCCCCATACTTGTGCCTATAAAGTATGCAATGAAACATTTTTACATGTACATTTTAAGTAAAACATAAAATATCAGTTCTATTTTAATTTTCATTTCACTAATGAGTCCCTATATACATATGCATATATAAATATATATTTCTATGTAATTTTTCTTTTTTATTTGAATCATACTAAATTTATAGACTATGCTTCAGTGACAAGTAACATATTTGATGTTGCGTTTTATTATCTAAGTATGCAATATATTTTTTATTAATTTATTTTTTGCATGTTTCGATAAAACATTTTTATTTGTATATTTTGTTAAGTAAAACATAAAATATCAGTTCTATTTTAATTTTCATTTCACTAATAATGAGCTGAGTCCCTGTATACATATATATATATATACATTTCTATTTAAAATTCTTCTTTTTTATTTCAACCATACTAGATTTATAGACTATGCCTCAGTGACAAGTAACATATTCGATGTTGAGTTTTATTATCTAAGTGTGCCATATATTTTTCTATTAATTAATGTATTTTTTGAGTCTCCCAATAGTGATTTAAAGTTTTCTTCATATTAATCTTACACATATCATGTACAGTATATTCCTAGGTATTTACTCTGTTTTGATGGCATTGAAATAGGGTCTCCTCTAAAATATATTTCTAATTGTTGTCTAAACAACACATACACACACGCAGAGTACTATTTTTCAGTTTTCTGTAAACCATGTGTTCCTATCCTTTAAAGATTTTTCTGTCAGAATGTTGTTGATTTTAAATTATTTTAAATACTCTTTATATGTTGAAAATATTAACCATTTTTTTTAGTGCCCAATATTTTTCTTCAGTTGGTTATTTTCTTTAGACTTTTTATATAATGGGGTCTGTCTAACTTCATTAAATTACTCTAACTTTTATTATTTTACTCTTTAATATCTTTTTGGTATTATATTAGAAAGATCTTCCCCATTTCAAGAATATTTTAAAAACTCCTTCATGATTTCTTCTGTAGTAAATTTCCACAGTACTTCATGTGAAAATATTATCTTCAACATAATATGATTGACAATGGGTTACCACCTTCACACAGCCTCATTTTCAAACAGAGATTCACTGAATTTCTTATTCCAAGTTAATGTCAGTTGAAGCACGAAGAAGATAATAAAGCTAGGGAAGAGAATAGCAGGCAGCTCTGTCTGTGGAAATATTCTCTGCTTCCAGTCTCCCCAGAGGGAGCTGACAAAATGGTTCAAATATGTTCCAGCATCTTGGAATTGCTGCTGCCAAACATAAACCAGGAATCCTCCCCATCGATATTTAGGTGGACATGAACAACTGCCATGAGGGAGCGACAAACTGTAACCAGCTCTGGGTATGGATAGTAAAGCTGAAATCCCAGAACTAAAATGTAGCCAACTAGTTACCCAAGCTCGCTGCTGTTTGGGTCATTTCATTAACCACACAGTAATGCACATTTTAAACAACTTAAACAATTGAATTTAAACAATCGAATTTTGATATCCCATTTATTTTATGGTGGGGATATTGTGGTATGTTGTGTTTTTTTTTTCAACTTTTCAAACTATAAAACGTCAGGAATACATTGGTATATAAAGTATGAAGTCTGCAGGAACTTGACCTTTTTCAGATGGATACCAAATGTTCCTAATATTATTTATACCTAGGAATAATGTTCCCCATTGATACAAAATGCCACTACTATCATCTGCTATACAAAGTATGTAATAAATATACACAATTTTTTTCTGGACTTCCTACTTTTTCCATTGACATGTCTAGTCACATGACTGTCACATTGTTTTAGTCCTTGTAACTTTGTAAGCATTCTAATATCTTGTGGATTATTAACAACCCCCACTACCAATTCTATTTTTCCCCTGTTACATTTTATTTTTTTGTATTTTTCAGAAAACTTGAGAAACATCTTGTCCAGTTTCAATTCCTATTTCTTATGTGAATCATACTGAATTTATGAATTATACCTTAGTGAAAAGTGATATGATTGATGTTTCATTTTATTATCTAAGTACATAATATGTTTTGTTAATATTTGTGGAGGTTCTTCAATAGAGATTTAAAGTTTTCTTCATATCCATCTTATACATAGCACATAAACTTTATTTTTAGAGATTTAATCTTTTCTAATGGTGCTAAATAGTCTTTTCTAAAATGTTTCTAATTGTTTTCTGAATGACAACCTGATTTTGTTCCAGAAAACTTACTGATTTTCTTTATTGCTTTTAAAGCTGTTTGTTTTTGTGTTTTAGCAATTCTCCTGAACATTCCAGAAAGACAATCAAATTATCTACAAATATTGGTAGCTTTATTTTCTCCTTTCTAATATTTATAACTCTAATTTCTTCCTTTTGTCTAATAGGCTAGGACATCCAGTTTGATATTAAATAATGACAGTTATAGTGGATATTCCTGACTTTAATGCAACTTGGTCTAGTGCTTCACCATTAAGCATAATCCTGGTATTGGTGCTGAAGCAGATATATTTTATTATGTCATAAAAGTATCCATCTATTTCTATCTTAAATTTTTTTATCAAAAATGAAATTTGAGTGTTATACAATATTTTGTATTATCTTTGAGGATACTAAAAATGCTTCCTCTTTTAGAATTAGTTTTAGTAAATTATATCTTCCCCCAAAATTATCACTTTAATCTAGATTTTCAAATTTATTTACATGGAATTGAGAATTGAACAAAGTAATCTCCTAAGATTGCTTGCATGTCCTTTTTGTCTGTGATTATTTTCTAGAACTTTCTTATTTAGAATATGTGTGCTTTTTTTCCCTCTTGATTGAATTATATACAAGTGTATCTACTTAATTTTTTTCCCCAAAGAACTAACAAACCAATCAGTTGTACCAAATCTTCTGATTCCTAATTACCAATCCACCGCTCACCCTCCACTTTTTTACATTAATGTCTTTCCTATGCTTTCTATTGGTTTATTTGCTGCTTTCCTAGGCCCATAATGTCCTCCTTTCCTTGTCCCTGATAATATTCTACTCACATTTCTGTAGCTCAGTTCAGAAAATAGCTTCTCTGACCCCTTCATCAGAGGCAGTCATGCCTCTTCTTTGTTTACATAGCATCTGTGCACATTTAATCTGCAGCATCTTTTATATTTTATCTTAATTTTCTCTATAACTACTTGAGGCCAAGAGCTGTATCTTAACTTCTCTAACATACTGCTTGTAATATAGTAGGTCTCAAGAAATGTTCAATAATGAATCAAAAATATAATAATCTCAATGGGTATGTATAATGCTTACCTTTCTTATTCGTTATTTTGATCTACAGCTAGAATCTTTACTTATGTAACTGAAAATTCAATGAAATGAATTAGAGCCAATGGACAGTGAAGATCATTGTTCTCAGAGAAGTTCTTCATGTTATGGATCCGTGACTCCTTAATACATTTTCCTACTTTTGAAGAAATTGAACTGAATTTATTCTATTTATATAACAGGAAAGATGCCAAACTGTGGATCTGCTTATTCAAAGTGACTGAATTTTGTCAGGCTATTTATCAACAAATAAAGTATTTGTAATTATGAACTCTCTTTGGACCAATTTTCTTTAAATATATTTTTATATTTAAGGCCATTATTTGCTGCAAGTGAATCAGACTCCACCACTGATCTGATTTAATATATTTCATAAAAACTTCTCTGTCCCTAGTCTACCTTTTTAAATTCAGCTCATTGAAGGCCCCAAATGTAGTTTGAGATAAATTCCTTTGACTAAAAATTACTTTTGTCTCTCAAAATGGAAAGCTTTTGGAAAATAACACACACTATCAAATAATTAAAAAATAAATAGATAATCTACTTTATACAAATTCTTTAATTATTAAATTTATTCAACTCTTTCCATAGAGTCTCTGGTTAGCTGGGTCTTAAGAAAGGAAAATTAAACAGCTTATTGAGCAAAAGAGATTGGAAAAGGAAAAGCTGAGGGCATGAAAGTTTTCTTACCCTACATATTTGCTCATCACTATCATTTTTAGCCCTATAGAGCAAGCATTGCATTAATGTAAAGTCCAGGACATCCAGGACATGTTGCTTAATACTCAAAAACCAGTATGTCATCTATTTACTCAAATTGACAAATATTTATTAAATGGCTACTGTGTGTCAGGCACTGTTTTAAGTGCTTGAGATACATCTATGAACCAAACATATTTTTATTCATGTCCTGTTGGAGCTCATATTTTACTGGGAAAAGTCAAATAATAAATAGTAATGATAAACAAATTATAGGCTGGGTGTGGTGGCCTACAATCCCAAGAGTGTGAGGCTGCAGCCTAGGTGGCAGAGCAAGATCCTATCTCATAAATAAATAAATAAGACAGAGAAAGGGAGAAACAGAGAGAGAGAGAGAGAGAGACTGAGCTTGGTGGCTCATGCCTGTAATCCCAACACTTTGGGAGGCCAAGGCCAGGAGTTCAAGGCTGCAGTGAGCTATGATTGCACACTGCACTCTATCTTGGGCAACAGAGTGAGATCCTGTCTCTCTAAGAAAAAAAAATATATATTTTATATATCTATATATTTATATATATAATATATAAATATCTATATTATATATAGATAAATATGTATATATTTTTATATACATATTAAAAATATATTATATGTATAAACTATATACATATTTTTTTTTGGAGGGTGGTGAGTGCTATGGAAAAATAGAGCCATTTAAGGGGAGGATCACACAATTTAAGGGGAGGATCAAGGGTGCCAGAGGTGGGGCAGGTTGCAATTTTAAATGAGATTGTCATAGTAAGCCTCACTGAGTAGGTACATTTGAGCAAAAATGTTTAAGTGTTAAGGAAGGTGACCATGTGACTATCCAAAGAATATAGTATTTTTAGTGGAACAATCCACCAGTGCAAAGGCATAAGATGGGGACATACTTGGCAGGTTCAAGAAGCACAGGGAGGCCAGTGTGGTCAGAAATGAGTAAGGGAGGTAGAGAATAGAAAAAGGAGATGACATCAGAGGAATACTTAGGGTGAGGAGCAGAGAAGATGGACTTGTAGGCATTGGCGTTTACCCTGAGTGGGATATGAAGTCATTGGAAAGCTTTAAGCAGAAGACTGATGTAATCTGACTTATGCTTGCTCTGACTCTCCATAAAGAATAAACTGTGGTAAGGCAAGGGTAGATCAGTTAACAAATCATTGCAATAATCTAGATGAAAAGGATAGCTTTTGAACTGGAATGGGACTACAGGAAGTAGTAAGTTACTAGGTATATTTTGAAGGTAGAGACAAGGGGATTAGGTGTAGGGCAGACGTGTTAGGTGTGGGATATAAGAGAAAGAGAAGATAAAAGGTTGACTCCAGACATTTGGCCCAGAATCATTATTAAATGACAGGATGAAGACCGAAAGTAGAAAACTTTAGGGGGAGAAAACTAGAAGTCCCATTTGGGATGTGTTAAGTTTGAGGTATCTATTAGCCCTCCAAATGGAGGTGTTTCAGTTAGCAATTTAGCATATAAGTCTGAAGTTTAAGAAAAAGGTCTGGGTTAGAGATAAAAAATTGAGAGTCTATGACATAGACATAGAATTTAATTTCATATGACTGGTTGAGATGGCAAGGAAGGGAATGTAGATGAGAAGAAAAAGAACTAAACTCTGAGGAACTTCAACATTGAGCATTTGGAGAGAAGAGGAGAAGCAAGTAAAAGGAGACCCAAAAAGCAGCAACCAGTGGCATGGGAGGAAAACCAGGAGAGTATAGTGTCCTTGAAGCCAAGAGAAAAAGTAAATCTAGAACAAACTTGTCCAACTCACCAGGATAGCTTTGAATGTGGCCAACACAAATTTATGGTTGGCGGTAAGATTTTATTAAAACACCATGAGATTTTTTTTGCCATTTAGCTCACCAGCGATCATTAGCGTTAGTGTATTTTATATGTAGCCCAAGACAATTCTTCTTTTTCCAATGTGGCCTAGGGAAGCCAAAAAAGTGGACACTCCTGGATCTAGAAGGAAGAAGACTTTAACTGTGTCAATGCAGCTGATATGTCAAGTAAGATGAGTCCTGAGAATGGAGCGTGGCATTCGATGGCATGTTATTGGTGACCACAGTAACAGTGGAGGCATGAAGGGGCCAAAATCCTGATGGCAGGGGGTTTAGGAGGTAGAGGAAGACACTGAGCATGGACAACTATTTCACAGAAGTAGCTACAACTACTACATCTGCTTTACAAGTCCCAGAGAGATTTTGTACCCACCCAAGTTCATATAATAGTAGCCAGGGGAGCTGAGTTTGTTTGAATCCAGAATCTGCTCTTCATGCCACTATCTCATACCACCTGCAATCTGCCCTCCTCACAGACATAATAATTCAATGAAAGAAGAATCGTGGACTAGAAGTCACCATTTATTTCTTGTTTTCTGTGTTTTCCCACCAAAAATTCGGACCAGTGTTCCTACAACCTTCCACAAAAATCAGTTCTTCTCTCACTTTCTATTTTCATCATTTCTGGGCCTTCTTGTCACTTCGATTATGTAACCATTTATCCTTCCTCATCTGACACTCTCCTCTTTAGGAAAAAAAAAAAAAAATTCCTGGCTGGATGTGGTGGCTCATTCCTGTATTCCCAGCATTTTGGGAAGCCAAGACGAGAGGATTGCTTGAGCCCAGGAGTTCGATACCAGACTGGGCAACATAGTGAGACACTATCTCTACAAAAAAATTTAAAAAATTAAAAAACAAAATCCCTTGATTACTTCTATTCCTAGTTACCATATTCACAGTTTCCACTTCATTGAATCCTTATTTTATTTCCCACTGACCTAGGAATCAATGTCCTTCTGTGTATTTCCTCCACCCAATAGACTTTGTCTGCTAAAACCTGTAACAAGTACACCACTGATTCTGGCTGGGAAGTAACACACCTCATGTAGTTGGAAAATAAAGTGAAGAATCTTTGTGTGCATGTACGTGGGTTGACGGTAAAGGTAGTGGCAGGCAAGCTGAAAACCAAGAGGGAAATAAAAATGTCAGAGAAAGTTAGGTTTACTGTGACCTCCCTAGCAAGGTTGGCAGAAAATGGGTCCAAGGCTGGGAATCGACAATATGGTCCATAGTATGACAAAGAGACACATTGGAAAATAGAGTTTCACATCAAAAGGCTTGCAGGTTTACAATGCAAGGATGGAGAGTGAGTCGGATAATCATAGACTTACGCCAATTACATGGCAAGGAAGATAGTGAGAATGAGCCCACAAGCACAGATGATTTGACACAAAGTGCCCTGCTTTTATTTCTCTCCTCATGGCATGGTTTCAAGTAGCTATGGCCCAGTTGTTTCATAGAGCACTCCCAAAATCTTCCTTTCAAACTGGAAATTCATAGTCACAGTGACAAGCACAAAATAAATTGAACTTCTATTTTACAATGTGCTCTGTTTGGCATCACTTGAAATGCTGATTTCTCCACAGGAATTATTATCCTTTATGGACATGATGGTCCCAGTCATAATACGCATCTTTGCAACTCAGAAATCTATTACTATTTGTGCATTTTCAGCCTGTTTCTGTATACACTGACCTCTTCCCTGTATATTGCCTGCCTTTGCTCCGTAAAAGCTCATGACTCATGAACTTCTGAGTCATGCTCTGAAGTTATGTGAATTAGTCTTAATTTAGTACTCTCCGGTTATCAGTATAAGCCCTGCCTGCTGAGAGCTTTGTTTCACCTTCCTTCCTAGCACTTGGAGTTCTCTTAATTGGTAGTTGATAACTTCCACAGTGAGCATTTTACATAAGGCAATAAAAGTTGGCCCGATGACAAACAAAAAGAACAAAACAAATTGGGACTGAAAAGAAATTATATTGTGTAAGACATTAATACCCAGAAAAGCCAAGATTTTGTAGATAAAAAGTTTCTTGTTTATATTGTTATAAAGTAATTAACATCACCTTCTAATAGCAGATCACAAATTAAGATGACAACTCTAGAGAACTTAATAGATATGAGGGGGGAGATGGGGGAATTTATTCTCTTATGTCAAAGTAACAAGAGAAGCTTTGTTCATTCATAGCTATATATGTCAATGAGATTAAATTATCACACCAGAGAGGAAGAATTAGATTAAATAAGTAGATAACATGCACACACCAAGTGTTCCTACCATATCTTGGGGGCCCAGAGAGAATATAATCTGATATTATAACATCATTATATGTATGGACACAGTATGGTATTTAAAAGCCTTTAGGAACTAATAGCATCTGAGAACCAGAGAAACATGCCAATGAGTGTATTATCTGGTTTAGAAAACATGTAGACAATGATCCAAGGAATTCATTTCTGTTATAACAGATAGCAACTCATTTAATTGTTAAAGAGTTTAGAAGAAGGATCTTGAAAGTGTGCCTATTATTTCCTTTTTTCTTTGTTTGTAGAGACAAGGTCTCACTTGTTGCCCAGATGGGTCTCGAACACCTGGCTTCAAGTGATCCTCCCGTCTTGGCCTCCCAAAGTGCTAGGATTACAGTATGAACCACAGTGTCCAGCATTTTCTTTTTTCTCTTCACTGCTCTAGGCGTTATTTAACTTTCACTGGTTTTCTGTGGGCATGGGCATGGTTTTTTTGTTTGTTTGTTTGTTCGTTTTGGTTTTTTTGGTTTGTTTTTTTGAGACATCCAGGCCTGAGTACAGTGGCACGATCATGGCTCACTGCAGTCTTGACCTCACAGGCTAAAGCAATACTCCCACCTCAGCCTCCTGAGTAGCTAGGACCACAGGCATGTGCCACCACCCCCAGTTAATTTTTTTAAATTTTTTGTAGAGATGGGGTCTCACTACGTGTCTGGGGTTGTCTCAAACTCTTAGCCTCAAGCAATCCTCCCACCTCGGCTTCTCAAATAGCTGGGATTACAGGTGTGAGCCACCACACCTTGACAGTGGACATTTTTTCAGAAAAGAAAATTTGATTTTTGCTAAATGTTTCACACATTTTTAAGGTTTGTAAGTAAAAAATTCTGGGAATTCTACAATCTCTTACTCATTCACAATAGTTTTTTTTTTTTTTCTTTAGAGACAGGATCTGGCTCTGTCTCCTGGGCTGGAGTGACAGTGGTGCAATCATAGCTTGCTGCAGCCTCAAACTCCTAGGCTCAAGGGATCCTTCTGCTCCAGCTTCCTGAGAAAGCATGCATCACTACACCCAGCGAATTTGTTTTGTTTTGGTAGAGGCAAGATCTCGCTATGTTACCCCGTCTAGTCTCAAACTCCTGGCCTCAAGTGATTCTTCCACCTCAGCCTTCCAAAGTGCTGACATTACAGCATGAGCCACCAAACACAGCCCATTCATAATAGTTTTACACACAGTTGATACTTTATTATTCATTCCCAGTGGATAATCCAGAATTAATTTTTATTTGATCTTATAATGTATTATGCTTCTCCTCCAGAAAATTCATTTACTTTTGGTCTACATTAAGATGTTAATAAAAGAAGAAGGCCATATATTTCTTAGCATCCAGGATTAAGTGCATATGTGGTTCTGTCTTTATATATTACAGATGTGACTATAAAGCAAAAGTAGATTGCTGTCCAATAGATATGCATTACATTACATTACAGTTTAACAAAATACATCTATTTCTCTTTCCTTTGTTCTTCCTTCCTTTTACTTTTTTCTTTAAAAATATTCATGAAGTCTCCATGATTGTCTATGCACAGTGTGAGATGTCATAAATAAAGCACTAAACAAGAAAGACAAACATATCCCTTGACCCCGTGAACCTTAGCATCCAGAGAGATAGCTGATTATTGTTTGTTTGTTTTTTCCTGAGACAGGTCTTGCTTTGTTGCCTAGGCTGGAGTTCAGTCACACAATCATGGCTCACTGCAGACTCGAACTCTTGGGAGATATAGCTGAGTATTGAAGAAATCTCTATATAATCCCAATTGTCACTGTCATGATAGAAAAGTATAAGGAGACATGTATATTAATTTATGAGTCAGGCTTCCCTGAGAGAACAGCATAGCTGGACCTGAAGTATAAGGATACATACGCACTTAAGGAGGATATTTGGGGGTGGATACATTCCTAGCTAAAGTTAATACAGTGGGCAGAATTGTGAATAAGCATGGGAGGCTCTGTCCTTCCCTTGAGCCCAAACCTGGAGATGCCACAAAGTTAAAAACGTCTTTGATGGATCCTGGAACTCAAATCAAAGACTGTGAAAAGCCGATGGAGAACCAGAAGGTAAGTCAAACCCCACAGAACCCAGAGGAAATCTTTGTAGTTTTGGGCTTCTCTTGCTTCACATTTACTAGCCAACTCACTGCTTACTCTGCCATACTTGATTCGGGGGGTAGGCAGGAAACATAAGCTCCAGACCGGCACCAGCCAGGGAAGTCAGTTCATGTAGGCACCATGGGACTCTAAGTGAGTAGGAAGTATAGAATAATCACCCAATGCAGGACTAAATGGCTTCCTAGCAACATCACTGAGTCCCTACTGAGTAGTTACAAGAGGAAGAAGCAGCGCACAGAAAAGAGCAGTGCTCCGCACAGGTTGAGGGGAAAGAAAGGCGGGTTACAGAATGCAAAATCAGAGGCTCTTTTCCCTATGGTAGCCACCCTCGAACACACATGTACACTTTCATCAAGAGGAGGGTCAGCTAGGATCCAAGCCATCATCCCTCTCTTCAGGTACATACCACCAGCCAAGGAAGATGGCGATTCCAAAATATGAACACGCAGGAAAATACAGACATCTGAGGAGTGCAAATGCAAGCTCTATGAAAAAAAGATCCAACTATCCATGAGGAAGCAAAACTAATAAATCAAATTGAATAAGACTAAATAAGACTCAATGCTTCTTAAGATGCTTAAGATTAAAATACTCATAATAATATCTTTATCAAGGATAGAGAGAAGATTGAAAACATCAAGCAATTAAGAAGATCTAAGTAGAGATATTAAGCATGAAAAATCTAATGTTGAAATAAAGGATTTAGCTGGGCGTGGTGGCTCATGCCTCTAATCCCAGCATTTTGGGAGGCTGAGGTGGATGAATTACTTGAGGCCAGGCTGGACAACATAGTGAGACTCCATCCCTACTTAAAAAAAAAAAAAAAAGCTGGGAGTGGTACGTTCCTGTAGTCCCAGCTACTTGGGAGGCTGAGGAGGGAGGATCGCTTGAGCCCGAAAGGTCAAGGCTGCACTGAGCCGTGATTGCAGCACTGCACTCCAACCTGGGTGACGGTGAGACCCTGTTTCAAAAAGGAAAAAATAAAAATAAAATAAACAAATAAATAAAGGACTTAATATCTTAGGGAGGTTGAGAAAAGAAAGTATCAGAAATGATTTCAGCCAAAGTTTGCAAGTGACTCATTTGGTTAGTATTGAGAGTCCTATACAAACAGATTTTTCCTATTCAGTCATTTAATAGGGTTTAGATAACATATTTAAGAAATGTTCCTCAAACCTTTTTCTATGACTCATTTTTTAGTTAAAAAAAAGTTAATTCTATACAAAAGATATTTTTTGTAAGTAACAGAAATAGTACATAAATACATGCTCACTGTATAAACTTCAACACAGAAGTATGTAGAAGAAAAATAAAACTTTCTTCTCAACATCATTCTCAACACACAGTTTGCTTTTCCTTTTCTTTAACATAAATAGGACAACACCATGGTATTATTTTGCTTTTTCCATATAAAATATGTATTATTAATATATCTCTTATACATACATATTTCTGTGTATTTATAGCTCATCTTGTTTTAAATTAGTTTTTTCTTGTGTCTTTACAATTTTGAAAGTATTCATAATTATATGCTTATTATTAAAAAATCAAACAACACAAAAGTGTGTGTAGAGCAAAGTCAAAATCCCCTTTCATCTGTCTCTTTATCATTTTATTCATTTACACACACACACACATGAATATATGTATATGTGCATGCATGTATGTATATATTTTCACTGCTGTGAATTCGGGGACTGGAAAGATAGAAAAGTAAGCTTCCACAGCAGATAGGTGCAGTGGAAACATGTTGGTTTCCATTTCATGTTATTATATAAATTTAATCTCTTTTAGTTCGAATATAAACAGAATCAGACAATATCTATGACCCTGTAATTTACTTTTTGACTGAGTAATATTTCTTAGCAACATCTCAGGTAGGCATATGGAACTAACTTATATTACTGATGAATGAAAATTCTCAGGTTTACCACGCCAACAAAGATAGCATCTAGGTATTTTACCAGAGCTATGTGGGACTATATTAGCTTGATCCTTATTCTAAAGATAACCACTTGTTTGCTGGAAAATTTTTTTCTGAATAAACAGTAATAATACTGTGTCTGGAACAAATACTAGCAAACTGTATACAGTACCAGAGTATTCCTTTCCTTGGAGTTTATGGAATTTATTAATATTACATTCCATCCTCAGGCAACTGTTGACCTTTCTAAATATTGTAGTTCAAAAACTAGAAGGAAATGTGCTGGAATTTCAAGTAATTATTTGTTTAGAGAATTTTCTACCAAGGAAAATTAAAGAATATACTTATGGGAGTCTTACAAACACACACAAAAACACATAGTTATGACAACCATTTGATTTTAATAATCACTAAAATTCAGAAACGGTCTTCCCCTTTATTCCCATTATTTTTATTGAAATGATCTGGCTTTTCTGTTGTGTATGTCTCTGGTTTAGTTTAATAATTTAGTTAATTAATAATGACCTACTGGTTTGTTTTTCCAGAATTTTTACTATTATGGTCAGGAAGTTTTATAGAATCACTGGAAAAATCTGAAGATACAATGATATTTCAGTTTGGTTCTTCAAATATAGGTCTTTATTCTTCTTTTTAGTACTGAGCATTAAATAAGCCATAGTTTTTTACACTTAACAAATCTCATCCTATTAAAAAAATTCAAAAATTTTACAGAAAACTTTTTCAATTCCTATTTTTCAATTACTTAATATTTAAAGATATAACAACAAAGGGAAAAAAGAAGAAACAAAACTATAAAATGGAGCTGGGCACAGTGGCTCATGCCTGTAATCCCAGCACTTTGAGAGGCAGGGGCAGCCTGGGCAACGTGATGAGACCTCATCTCTACTAAAATTTAAAAAAAGGCACACACCTGTAGTCCTAGCTATCTGAGGGCCTGAGGTGAGAGTATGACTTGAGCCCAGGAAGTCAAGGCTGCAGTGAGCCCTAATCATGTCACTGCACTCCAGCCTAGGTGACAGAGGAAGGCCCTGTCACAAAAACAAACAAACAAACAAAAAACTATAAAATGTAAAGATAGGGAAATTAAGGGTTTCATGTGCAGTTCAGTGTGAATAATATCTAGTAAAGGACAGAAAATACTGCTACTAACACAAAAAATTAAGCAAAAGTTAAATTAATCCTATGTTTATGTTGCCTTTATTCAAAACAAAATAATTTTTCCTCCTCACTTTGCTCCAGTTGAATATTCCACTATAGTTACTTGTGTGTTGTCATTGCTGCAAAATCTGGGTCCTTATGGAGAGAGTCAATCTCTTATTCCTCTTTATCTCATCACAATGGGACACGCAGAGCACCTAGTACTCAACACATTATTAGTTGAGGTAATGAAGTAGAAAATTCATTTTTTTTCTTAGCATCATCTTCAGGCTGAGACAAGAAAATGAATATGATTTTATTTTGCAACATATTTCTCCTGGGTAGTAAAAGGATTTGTGGTTCTTCTAATCTTTTGTGCATATAATGCTCCAGTTGACATAAATTCATTTCCGTCCTGCCACTGGGGACACCAAATGTCTCTATTTTGGGATCTTAGGAAAAATAATACTGTTTACCTTTGACTCATTTATGTCAAGCATGTCCTTGTAATATTGTGTAGTTACAGGAATAAACTACAAAGACATCATCTTACATTTATATGAGGCTGTATGGTTTATAAAGCATTTTTACACATATTATTTTATTTCATGTTCATAACAGCCTCGTGATGTAGATAAAGCAGGGATTACTATTATCCTCTCTTTGATTTGGTTTCTTGTCTCTGAATGTCCTTACCTACATTTTCACTTTGTGTTATGTAAAGAACTAATGCCTTTAAACATCAAGTTAAATGGTCCAGATTGGGCAAATGATTTGTTTAAAATCTCACAGATGGACTTTACACAGCAGATTCCGAACCCCAAAGTACACACCTTTGACTCATAGTCCATTATTTAGTTCCCTATATCCTCAACCAATTTTCCCGCCTTCCTTCCCCTTGCTCCCTTCACATAGCCTAAATATGTGCATATTCTAGAGTAATTAATTAAAAAATTTCTTGTAATTTTCCTATATAGTTTTCTTCCAGCCTGTTAAACTATCTATAATTTTCCCTAGAAATCAAATTGTTTCTTTAAGTGATAGAAGCAATTCCATGTTAACACAGCAATAAACACTAATACAGCGTCTGTAATGCACTGAGCACTGTTCTGTGTACTTTAACCAATTTACTAATTTAATTCTCACCACAACCTAATAAGGCAGACACTGTTATTAGCCCCATTTTACAGGTGGGAACACTGCACAATCAGAAAGATGGAGTAATTTGCCCAAATTTATCCAATTATTGACAGAGCCAAGATTTAAACCCTGACAATGGGGTTCATAAGTGTGTGCTATTAGCCATTATACTATAATGCCTTTCTATGGTTATAGAAACTTGATTACATAAATTCCACATATTTACCCTATGCTAATGCAATGCTTAGGAGAAAAGCAATAGTGCACTTCCGTATACCTTTTATCAGGGCCTCTATCAACAGTGACTATGTTCCCCAGCACCGTGAACAGCATTATTGCTGTTCAGAAAAAAAATATGAAAAACTTCGAAATAATGTAAAAGGATGATTACATGACCTTTCAATGTCACACTGGAGCATTGTTTAATAGGGTCACCCAACAATTATTAAAATCTAGTACAATGACCCTTTCCTTGATATACCCTTTATTACTAATTAGAGCCCAAACTCTATGATATTATATGGTACCTTGTAAATATTATCTGGTAGAGAGGCAGATAATTTCTACCTGGTTGAAATTATAACCCCAAAGGATATGGTTTTATTGCCCTTTAGTTTATTAACGATGTTTGTCTCTAACCTATCAGTCTTTTTGTTCAATGCATATCATTACTTAGTTCCTCAAATGTTCTTTAAGCCAGCTTACCACCCTGTTCCCCTAATTCATGAGTTAAATACAACTTTGATATTTACTTATTCTTTATTTTCATGATATTCATGTTTTTTAATGTTTTTAAAAATTATTCCTGGAAGTCACCATGGTTTTTTTTCACTCAGCTTTTATGAGTTGATTATGAAGAAACATAGAAAAGCCTTTGATATACAAAATAAAATAGAAGCATATAATGTTATGAAATCAGTATGTCCTAGTTATTAATTACTGAAGGACAACTACTCACAAGTCAGAGTTCTGCAAAACCTAAATATGAAACTATTCAGCATTTTGCTGAGTATGAACAAAAGCATAAATAGTATCAGACTCTAATAAGAGGAAAGTGTGGGTGCTGGGAGACAAAAACAGTAGCAACCACACGGAGCCATCATTTCACCTTTCCTCCACAAGTTTAAAATGAAACATATATAACACATGGACACTTCAAGACAAAGAAGTGACTGCCCATTTATGAAATAGAGACGTAATCAATGTCTTTAAATGGTCACCAAATGAAGAGCAAAACCCAACTCTGGTGAGAACAAGATCATTTCTTATAGTACTTTTATTCTGTTTTTGGCTGTTGTCTTTCGTACTAACCAGAGAACATTTTTTGTAAGCAAGTTTCATGGCCCTTTACCCTGGTTTTAGAATGATTCAGACTCATATAGAAAAAATAAAACAAGATGCCAGGCACAGTGGCTCATGCCTGTACTTGCAACATTTTGAGAGGCCAAGGAGGGAGGATCGCTTGAGCCCAGAGTTCAAAACCAGCCTGGGCAGCATAGTGAGAACTCGTACAAAATCTAAAATTTTAGCAGAGCGTGGTGGTGCATGCCCATAGTCCCAGCTACTCAGGAGACTGAAGTAGGGGGACTGCTTGAGCCTGGGAGGTTGAGGCTGTAGTAAGCCTTGATCATGCCACTGCTCTCCCACCTGGGCAACAGAGCAAGACCCTGTCTCAAACTTAAAAAAAAAGAAAAAGAAAACTTCTTTAGTAATTAACATCAAACTTCCATTTCCCCCGAGATAGGAGGATTCCATGTTTATATTAACTAGTAAAGCCAGACTAGTAAAGCCAGGAGTGAGCCAAGCTTAAGATAACAGAAGAATGTTTCCTGTTAACTTAAAAGCTGATGCTAAAGAAAGCCAAAGAATAAATGAGTTAAAATTTAAGGCTCTTATATTGCCCAGAATGTAGAAAAAGATTAGATTACTTTTGACTTCTATAAATCAAGAAAATCATGAAAAGAGTAGTGAAGTGGTTAATGTTATATCAGAGGGAGAGACTAGGAATTGCTGAGAATGCAAACATAAGATTAATAAGTGTCCATACTTTGTTGCTATCCCTTTACCTGTTCATTAATTTTTAGCTATTATTTAGCATATAGAATATTATAAAGAAAATGTTCTGATATTTGGTAGCCCTATTTAGCAACAGTCACCTATCACCATCAAAACTACTGGTGACTAAAAAATTAGTATCTAATGCTGATAAAGTGAAACTCTAAAGTCAATGAATATTTTAAGTCCTTCTTGATAACAGGGTTCTATGACAAAACATTTGACTTTACAATAAGTCACCACATCTGGCTAATTTTTTTATTTTTGTAGAGACAGAGTTTCACCATGTTGCCCAGGCAGGTCTCAAACGCCTGGGCTCAAGCCATCCTCCTGCCTCGGCCTCCCAAATTGCTGGGATTACAGGTGTGAGCCACTGCACCTGGCCTCACTCTTTTTTACTTAAGCTGGTTTGTGCTGGAATTTCTGTCTCATGTAACAAAAAAATCCTAACTGGCATAGATCACATAGAGAGGATAAAAAAATTATTCTCTTTTCCCTCATCTAAAGCTCCGTATACATGTCCTACAGGTCATGTTGCCCAGAGGAAGGGCTCAGTTAAGAAAGAGGCAGAATACAGCCACGTTTTAGCTCATTTTTGAAAGTTTAACTGCCCCATTCAGCTCTCTCCCTTCACAAGCCTTACCTTTGATAGTTTCCTCTTCAACAAATAAACAACAAAGCCCTGCCTCTATTTTATAGATTGTGTGGCAAATGCTTGAAATTGCAGTGTAGTGTTGCTTTTCATTTTTTGGAACAATTTTCTGATTTTTTGTTAGCTTTTCTCTGTAGTTAATGCTTCCCCTTAAAGTTAGAGTGAACATTGATATTTTACCAGTTACTTTCATGTCTCATCTGTCTTCCTGCTCTTCTGACTAAATCCCACTTTATGTCTGACCAAGCCCATTGCTGTGATGGAGGGGAAAGGACTACTCTTCTCCATGTGAATGAGACCCATAGTGAAATGCACAAATGACAGAGTGGAACTTCCGTTTCTGGGAGGACCAATGAGTGTAAAAAAAGGAGGTATTCCTTGATACTTTTTTTCTTTTAAATGAAGATGGGTATGTTTAACTTGTGGAAGAGAACATGGATAGGTTTCAAAACAAGAGATTTGTTAGATTTACTATAGATTCACTGCAAAAGGTGACAAACTACCAACTGTAAAATCAGGCTTAAATCTTTGGTGATCAGAACATCATCTCAGGAAAAGTATGCTCTGAATGTGTGCTATTAAGCCCTCTCACAACACTGTGAAGATGAGAACTTGAAGGAATATAAGACAAATTGTAGTATATTGCTTCTAAATTTACTACACTCTTTCCTTCAAAGTTCCTTGAATCAACTTTAGAACTGTTTTTGATTTAGTGCCTGTGCCAAGAGGTAACATGGACCAATGTATTTTCCTTTTAATTAGGGAACACACATAATTTAGAGAAATAAAGGTGAATCTTAGAAACTCTGTTTAATGTTTTTTAGTTACAAACTTCCTTTTTATTAAAATTAGCTTGTAATAGAAAGAGAAGCTACTTGATAGTATAAATTAGTTGCCTTAAATTGATCTCCTTTTATTTTTTCATCAAGTTATAGAAGGAACTCAGTAAAAAAGCAGGAACTTTCTTAAATTTCCAAGGGTAGATACATTTGGAGGTATTATTGCAAAGGATCATGGGGAAAAGAGAAGGCGTATGGTAGTGCAGAGAGGAACTGTGATATGGGAAAACATAAAAGACAAAGAACAAGTGGAAAAGTCCCACTGTTTTTAGCCAGTTCCAACAAGAACTGATGAAATTTTCTCTGAAATACCCTATTCTGTTCCCCTGTACACAGACACACAATCCAGTGGTTTCCATTGAAACTGGAAGTTTCAGAACCATAGCTAATCTGCAATGTAAGCACATGGAATCAGAAAGGCTAATGGATTCCATAGTCATCAACCACCTTCCTGCTTTGGATCACAGACCAGGGAGGCATGGTTTGAACATGTGAAATAAATGTAGAGATTACATAATGCAGCTTTAAATTGTAGTTCATTTTAAACAGACCACGGTTAGTAAAATTTGTGTGTGTGTGTGTGTGTGTTTCTAAGGAGAATGTGGTTTGAAGAAGTATGATTTACGTGATCTGGGAAAATCCTTACAAATGAATTCCATCCCACCCTTTCAAGGAAATACTGTGATTGTGGCAGCTACCTGATTAAGCTGTATTCTATTACTAGTCTATGATCAGTATCACTTTGCTGCTTGTCTTATATACCGGCATAGTAAATAATAACAAGAAGCCATTAAAATAAGTATAGTTAAGTCTCGATCGGTCACACAAGAGGGTTTTTGGTTCTGTTGAATGGAAAGTATTGTTTCCCTAACACACTTTCAATAGCATTAATAAGACCCGCTTAACTAAATGACATATCTTATGTTCTGTGAGGAAATATCTTACCTCAAAGAACAGTCTAGAGTGTCAAGAAGGGATGCTAGAAGAACCTGGTTCTCATTTCTTAAATTTTCTCTTATGATACTTATCAGTGCTATGGGTATTCAGAGGAATGTCTTAGTAAAAAGGGTTGACAGCACTCCCAAGAAATCAGTGTAATAATGAGACAAAAGCATGAGTCAAATAGAGTTAGAGGCCACTGATGAATAAGTTTCAGAATACAGAGGGCTTCAAGTAGTAGAAAAAGTTTCTCTTTATCTTTTTAAAGCTACTGTATATACAAATTAAAACTAAGTCCTCTCTTCCTTGGTTTCAATGACCATAAAGCAAAAGAGCATATACCAGATTTGCCTTGGTTGCTACAACCAATTCACTGTTTCCAAAGATTTAGAATCTTCTGAAATACAATATTCCTAATTTTTCCAAAGATTTTCATATTATGTATTATTCTCCAGGAAATTTATCATATTGTATCAATTTCATAAAATACACCTCTTTCATAAGCACTAATTTCCACAGTGATGTAGGGAAAGATATAAGAAAATATGCTATTTTCTGGGCAGGCCCTGTGGCTCATGCTTGTAATTCCAGCACTTTGGAAGGTCGAGGCAGGTGGATCACCTGAGGTCAGGAGTTCAAGACCAGCCTGGCCAACATGGTGAAACCCTGTTTCTACTAAAAATACAAAAATTAGCCAGGCGTGGTGGCTAATGCACCTGTAGTCCCAGCTACTCAGGAGGCTGAGGCAGGAGAATCACTTGAACTCAGGAGGTGGAGTTTGCTAGTGAGCCAAGATTGTGCCACTGCACTGTAGCCTGGGCAACAGAGAGAGACTCTGTCCGCAAAAAAAAAAAAAAAAAGAAAAAAGAAAATATGCTATTTTTTAATATAAAAACATTGATCAATTTTCTGTATATGCATATATAAACCTATAGATGTATATAAATATTCAGTTCATAGTCTTTAGTTCAAGAACATACAGTCTGCTGTCCATATCTGTGGGTTCTGCACCCATGCATTCAAACAACTGTAGGCTGAAAATGTTTGGGAAAAAAATGGATGGTCACATAGACTTTCATGTCATTATTTTCTAAACAATACAGTATGACAACTATTTATATAGCATTTATATTGTGTTAGGTATCATAAGTAATCTAGAGATGATTTAAAGTATATAGAAGGATTGTATAGGTTATATGCATAAAGTACAACATTTTATATCAGGGACTTGAGCATCCATGGATTTTGATATTGGCAGGGATGTCCTGGAACCAATTCCCCGAAGATATGAAAGGATGACTATACTATATTTTAGAAAGTTCCTTGCAGTTCTTTCATTTTGAATTCAATATTTATTTTTAATAGATAAAATTTTATAGCCCATTTGACTCTCAATATTATTTAGTACAGAAAATCTTTTTAATCCAAGTGCCCATGAAAAGGAATATTTGTAATGCTTTTTTTATGGTGAAAAGTATATATATATGTATATATATATACACATATATATATACACATATATATGTGTATATATATGTATATATGTATACACATATATATATACACATATATATGTGTATATATATGTGTGTATACATATATACATATATATGTGTGTGTATATATATATATATATACACTTAGAACTAGCAAGCTAGACTCATTTTAAATTATCCCAATTTTGTTGGCAACTTCCAAAGCATTGATATCAGGAGCCAGTTGAACATATGCCTTCTTCAAATCAGGGTGTTGACCTTGGCCACATCAATGTCATAGAGCTTCTTCATAGCCTGTTTGATCCGGTGCTTGTTGGCTTTAACATCCACAATGAACACAAGTGTGTTGTTGTCTTCTGTCTTCTTCATGGCAGACTCAGCGGTCAGCAGAAACTTGATGATAGCATAGTGGTCAAGCTTGTTTCACCTGGGGGCGCTCTTCCAAGGATATTTGGGCTGCCTCCGGAGTCACAGTATCTTGGGCTGCCGGAAGGTGGGTGACATGAGGATCTTCTTTTTTTTTCTTTTTTTTTTTTCTTTTTTGTGGCTATGGACACCTTTCAACACTGCCTTCTTGGCCTTTAAAGCCTTCACTTTGGCTTCGGCTTTAGGAAGAACTAAAGCCGAAGGAAATTCCTTCTTCGCTTTCAGCGCCATCTTGTGATAAGGGTCCAATGCTTTTTTTTTTTTTTTTTAAATCTACGACTGCTTTTAAAAAAATGCATTCCTAGTTTCAACTCAAGATATAGGAACGTGTCTTTTTTTATTCTCTTACTCCTGGTCTTATCAACAGTTCAAGGGGTTGGGTGGGGTGGGAGTGGGACCAACATTGAAGATGAAGAAATTCCCACCTGTGTCTGTTTGCCATCTCTATTTGTATAACAAAAAGTAAATTGCTAGATAAGTGACTACTTAGGTACTCTAATTTGGAATGGTCTGGCATTTGGAACTGTATCACAGTATAGAAAGTTTTAAATTGGTAGCTCTCAGTCTTATTCATCTTTCTGTCTAGTTAATTCATTTTTTAAAACCTATATTGTTTGTGCTTAGATCGTGAGTCTTTCAAAGACATGCTAATTGCTTAATGTCTGAAGAAACTTCATCCCTCCGAGTAATTTCAATCTTCTTTTGACTATTAAGTTTCTGGTAGCAGGAAGGCTTAATTTGGCAAACCCTTGCATTTTAAAAGTTTAAAATGAGAGAACTAGAAGGCCACCAAATAACCATACTGAAATAGAAATAAGTTCTAATTCAAAAATTATTCTTTCCAGCCCCCAGGATGAAGGCAAATTGCAATTAGGCCTTGTAATGGAATAACTGCAAACATATTTTCTCCAAATCTCTAAGACAATAAATGATTTTTTTCCAACAAAATATTTTATCAATAAGCTTTCTAATACATATGTGATGTGTACCTTTATCAAATCATTGCTTAATAGAGTTTTACAGATCAGCTGAAAGTTTTTTAATCAATTTATTTTTTGATTTTCAAAGTATTTTTTTTCTTTAATTTTGCCTGGGAAATTGTTTAAATGAAGCAGTATCCCACAAACCGTAGTGGAACAAAACAAGTTGACATTTTAAATAAGGCAACTGGCTTTCATACTCCTGAAACTTCTTATGCTATGGTTTAATTTTGCTTTCTTGAAATTCTAGCTATCTTGGTTTTCACAATACAACATTTTTCTTGGTTCTCCTGCTTCCTCTCTGGTCTTCATCTTTTTTTGTTTGTTTGATCTCTTTTGTCCTCATCCTCTTCCTAATTTCTAAATGTAAGTCTCCCTTTCAGGGTTGGGTCTTTGTTTTCAGTCTTTCCCACTTTACTGCAACGTGCCCAGGCTCAGTCTCTCTTCTAAGAAAACATGGCCCTTTGTATTTCTTCCTAATGTGTTGAAAATCAAACTCATCACATCTTCAAAAACATCCTCCTTTTTTTCCATGAGTTTCCAGACTCTGTTAGTAACAGAACCATTTCCTCAGTCATACTGTCTCTTTAAGCATCTCAAGGGTCTCTTATTTTCTTCTAGTTCCTAGGTCAATTACCCCATCAATGCATCCATCTTTTCTCTTCTATTTCTTCTTCCTTACCCTTGTTTCAGGCAGTCCTTGCATAATATAATGAAATGTAATTGATGTTCCTACCTCTTGTCTCTCCCACGATGAATTCCATGGTAACACCTATGAATCAATCTTCCCGAAGTACAGTATTAGCTATGTCAATTCTCTACCAAAAATCCTTACGAGTTTGCCATTTTCTGCTGTATAAAGTACAATATTCTCATCCTGGCACACAAGTCCATCCAAATACGGGCCTACCATGCTCTGACCCTCTCGCAGTAATGTGAATCTCAGCCACACTGGTGTGGTTGGTATTCCTAGGACTAACTTTGTGATTTCCTAACTTTTTGCCTTCATCAATGCTTTTCCTTTTATGAGGACTTTCCTTCCCTATCATCTGCCTCAACTTGTTAACACAGAGCTTAATTTTCGAATGCTACCTTACACATAAAGCCTTCCTTCAACTTCTAGCCAGGCAGAATTCCTCTGTTTCTTTTATCTTTATCTTCCCATAGCATTGTGCTTGTATGTTTCTAGTGGTACCAACCTTGTTCCACTTTGCACTTTAGCTATTTGAGGATGTGTTTATTTCAATTCAACACATTTTTTTAGTCACTCATATGTAAAATAAAATGAAATGCATCTATTACAGTGTAAGGTCTCTGAGGGAGGGACTGGCTTATTCATATTTGTCTTTGATGTAGCACACCGCAGGGGCCTACGCAGTAATAGATGCTTTAATTACTATTGGTTTTACTGAATTGTGAAGACAGCAATAATTTAGACATAAGTTTGCTCAGCAGTTATTTGAGGCATCTTAGAAAACAATCCAAGATTTAAGTCCTAAAGGATATCGTTTTTCAGATTTTAGAAGTCAAGATCGTTCTTTGGAGTTTTCAATTTTTCTTTTAATGAAGTGAAAATAAAGCTGATTTAGCGGAGCTGGCGCCGGCGCCGCCATGTTAGGTCTGAGGCGGCTGCCACAGGCGCGACGGATACTGTGGATCGCCTGACAGCCGCCTGGGGTCCGCCGCTCTGCGAGCGCCGGGAGCTGCGGTGGCACCATGAGCGGGGTCACCCCTTTCCTCCACAGCAAGATCAGCCACATCTCCAAGGCACAGATCTGCTACGAGGGCATCCTCTGCACCATCGACACGTAGAACCCCACCGTAGCCCTCGCTAAAATTCAATTTTCTGGTACAGAAGATAGATCGTCCAATACCACCTCAAGATGAACTATTGTAATACATTGTATTCCATAGGAGTGACATTAAAGACCTCACTGTGAGCCACCAAAACCACAGTGTTCTTTGCCTGAAGACCCAGCTATCCTTCAGTCCTCACTAGGCTCATCAACTTCTTCATTCTGGTGCGTGGGGTTCTCATGGGCCTTTGGGCAGGATGCTCATATACAGTCGGTTCAGTCCAAGCTCCTTAGTTGGGCAGGAGTTTGGTGCCGTTGCTGTTGCTGGAAGCTCTTTGATATCGTTTGGAACAGAAACATCAAACAGTGGTGTCTTACCCCAAAGTAGTATGGTTGACTCTGCCTTAACACAGGATACAAGATCTCTAAAAACACAGTTATCTCAAGGTCACTCAAGCCCTCAGTTAGACCCTTTGAGAAAAAGCCCAACCACTGAACAAGCAGTGAAGACTGTCTCGGCCCATTTACCTGCTCCAGCACCTGTTGGGAGAAGGAGCCCTGTATCAACTAGGCAATAGAGATCAAGAGCACTGGTGAGCTGAAGTACACAATGTTTCAAGACCAGAAAATGAGCAACTCAGAAATGATAGCAAGAGACAAGTAGCTCCAGGTACTCCTTCAGCTCCAAGGAGAGGGCGTGGGGTTCAGCCGGGTAGCAGGGGAAGATTTCGTATTCTGCGAGATGGGCCAATGAAATTTGAGAAAGACTTTGACTTTGAAAGTGCAAATGCACAATTCAACAAGGGAGAGATCGACAGAGAGTTTCATAATAAACTTAAAAGAAGATAAACTGAGAAACAGGAGGAGCCTGTAAATGGTGAAGATAAAGGTGACCCAGGAGTTGATACCCCAAAAGTAAAGGAAGTGCTGATGAAGAAGATCCACTTGGACCTAACTGCTAGTAGGAAAAAACTAAATCCTTCTTTGATAATATTTCTTGTGATGACAATAGGGAACGGATATCAACCTGGGCTGAAGAAAGAAGATTAAATGCTGAAACATTTGGAATCCCACTTTGTCCAAATCGTGGCTGTGGGAGACGCAGAGGCAGAGGGATCTTCGGTTTCTGTGGTGGCAGAGGGCATGGTGGTAGCAGATGTGGTACTTTAACCATCCCTGGAGGATTTCGCAGTGGATTCAGAGGAGGTCCTGGGGGCAGGGAGTTTTCGGATTTCTAATGTAGGAAAGACAACAAAGTTGCTGTATAGTCTACAAACAAGTCTCTAAAAATAGGTGAATTTTTAGCTCTTCATGGTCCTGAAAATTGATTTCAGTCTTTGTGAAGAATCAAGTGAATTCACTGTACATTTGTCAACAGCACTGGGTTTTTGTTTTTTGTTTGTTTTTCTGCTTAATTTCAAAGATAAAATGCAGTTACTTTTTGGGGTTGCAGGGGAGAAAGCCTAATCTTAAAAAATGAACATAAAATATATTTGGAATAGCAGAAGGTTAAGTAATTTCTTATGTACAGTTAAGCAGTACTTCAGTGGGACTTATATTTTTTCATCACTGAAAGTGTATTTTTTAAATTACTAAATCATATTTGTCAATTGCAAGTGGCCTGCAGATAGGGCTGTGATACTGTGTTTTGGGCCACAGAAGGGTGTGTGTGTGCATGTCTGTATCTTTCTCCTTTTTTGGGGAATCCTATAATATGAGGTAGCTTATTTCATCAATTATTTAGGGTGCTGGATGGTAGAGAATTTTCAGTAGAGAATTTTCAGTTAACTAGGTACACACAGTAAATACTGTTTCTTAGGCAAAGGTAACTTTTTTATATAGTTGTAAAATTCCACTATATTCCATTGCCAAAGAAACATTAAGAACTTTGTATAGCCACATAAAAAGCAACCAAATTTTTAAAGAATAATCATTTTAAAGTCAGAAAAAAAAGCTGTTTTTATTATTTATGTTCAGGGCAATATCTGTCTTGGTACTCATAAAGTTGTGAAAATACAAAAGGATTTTTTGTGTCTTCCTTCCTATTTTTCTTGCATCAGATCACTTTGCCTCATCTTTTCATCTATAAATTGGGGAATAATATCTACTTCATATGGTAGTTGTGAGATTTCCTTGAATTAATATATGTGAAGCCATGAGCACAATGCCTAGCATAAGATCATTAACATCATCAGCAAGGAAGAAACCCCAGAGCGATTGGAATGAACGTGTCTGCAGCCACGCGCAGGTTTTCCTTGAACGCTTATCTTCATCTAAGTTCTTGTGTGTCTAGAATTGGTGGGTTCTTGGTCTCACTGACTTCAAGAATGAAGCCATGGACCCTCGCGGTGAGTGTTACAGCTCTTAAAGGCGGCGTGTCCGGAGTTTGTTCCTTCTGATGTTCGGATGTGTTCGGAGTTTCTTCCTTCTGGTGGGTTCGTCCTCTCGCTGGCTCAGGAGTGAAGCTGCGGACCTTCACGGTGAGTGTTACAACTCTTTTTTTTTTTTTTTTTGAGACGGAGTCTCGCTCTGTCGCCCAGGCTGGAGTGCAGTGGCGCGATCTCGGCTCACTGCAAGCTCCGCCTCCCGGGTTCACGCCATTCTCCTGCCTCAGCCTCCCGAGTAGCTGGGACTACAGGCGCCCGCTACCACGCCCGGCTAATTTTTTGTATTTTTAGTAGAGACGGGGTTTCACCGTGTTAGCCAGGATGGTCTCGATCTCCTGACCTCGTGATCCGCCCGCCTCGGCCTCCCAAAGTGCTGGGATTACAGGCGTGAGCCGAGTGTTACAACTCTTAAGGCGGTGCGTCTAGAGTTGTTCGTTCCTCCCGGTGGGTCTGTGGGCTTGCTGGCTTCAGGAGTGAAGCTGCAGACCTTCGCGATGAGTGTTACAGCTCATAAAGGCAGTGTGGACCCAAAGAGTGAGAAGCAGCCAGATTTATTGCAAAGAGTGAAAGAACAAAGCTTCCACAGCGTGGTAGGGGACCCAAGCGGGTTGCCACTGCTGGCTCCCGCAGCCTGCTTTTATTGTCTTATTTGGCCCTACCCACATCCTGCTGATTGGTAGAGCTGAGTGGTCTGTTTTGATAGGGCACTGATTGGTGCGTTTATAATCCCTGAGCTAGACACAAAGGTTCTCCACCTCCCCACCAGATTAGCTAGATACAGAGTGTCCACACAAAGGTTCTCCAAGTCTCCACCAGAGTAGCTAGATACACAGTGTGGATTGGTGCATTCACAAACCCTGAGCTAGACACAGGGTGCTGATTGGTGTGTTTACAAACCTTGAGCTAGATACAGAGTGCCCATTGGTGTATTTATAATCCCTTAGCTAGACATAAAGGTTCTCCAAGTCCTCACCAGACTCAGGAGCCCAGCTGGCTTCATCCAGTGGATCCCGCACTGGGGCTGCAGGTGGAGCTGCCTGCCAGTCCCGTGCCCTGCGCCCGCACTCCTCAGCCCTTGGGTGGTCGATGGGACTGGGCGCTGTGGAGCAGGGGGCGGTGCTCGTCGGGGAGGATCAGGCTGCACAGGAGCCCACGGAGTTGGGGGAGGCTCAGGCATGGCGGGCTGCAAGTCCTGAGCCCTGCTCCGAGGGAAGGCAGCTAAGGCCTGGCGAGAAATTGAGCACAGCAGCTGCTGGCCGGGGTGCTAAGCCCCTCACTGACCAGGGTGGGCGGGGCCGGCCGCCGGCCGCTCTGAGTGCAGGCCCGCCGAGACCACGCCCACCCGGAACTTGCGCTGGCGCGCAAGCACCGCACGCAGCCCCGGTTCCCGCCTGGGCCTCTCCCTCCACAACCCCCGCAAGCTGAGGGAGCCGGCCCCGGCCTTGGCCTGCCCAGAAAGGGGCTCCCACAGTGCAGCGGCAAGCTGAAGGGCTCGTCAAGTGCCGCCAAAGTGGGAGCCCAGGCAGAGGAGGTGCCGAGAGCGAGTGAGGGGTGTGAGGACTGCCAGCACGCTGTCACCTCTCACTTGGATCCTGCATATGTGAGCGATAGTAGCCAAAGTGAACTGCGATTATCTCCTTCTTTCAGCTAACTTCAATCACTGCTTCTGAGTGAACATTGCAGGTTGTGTTTAGTGAGGGATTCAAGGCTTTATGCTTCATGGTGGGGTCAATCAGATTCTACATCAGTTGCTTAAGATTATGAAAAAATATATACATTTCACTTGAAAAAAGGACTAAGTCTGATTTGTTCATCCCTGTACCTCAGCCCATGGCACACTGCCTGGTGTATTGCAGGCACTCAAAAAATTTTTGTTGAATGAAGAAGTCAGTTAATGGAGTTAAACCACTAAGACATGATTTGTTTTTCTTACCTTTAGAAGATATCCTAGAGATGAACTCCCTTTTTTGAGAGCAATTAGCATATAGTTGATTTTATTCTGAAGATAAATGACCCCTTATTTTATATTAATTGATTTCTTTGCAACAGAATCAGTGTAAGTAATTGGGAATAAATTCTTGTTAATATATGACATTGTTAGAAACATTCCATCTCGCTTGCATGAAAATCATCTAATAAGGATTAAGTGACATTTTGCAGGTGCTTACTGTGTGCCAGACACAGTTCTAAATGTTTCAAAAAATAAAATGTGCATTTCATAAGTGCAGTGTGGAATCCTGGATTGAATCCTGAAATGGAAAAAGAGTATTAGTGGAAAAACAGGAAAAATCTGTATAAAATCTGGAGTTTGGTTAATTGCAATGTATCACTGTTGGTTTCTTAGTTTTGTCAAATGTGCCATGGTAATGTAAGAGGGTAACGTTCAGGGAAACAGGATGACAGGTATACGAGAACTTTCTGTATTATCTTTGCAACTTTTCTGTATACCTAAAATTATTACAAAATACAAAGCTTATTTAAAATTATGTATTCATTTGTTTAATCCTTAAAACAAGCCTGTGATGCAAGTATCATTGTTGGCTCCTTTTACAAGTAAGAATTCAAAGTATAGAGAGGTTAAATTACTCCTCGGGTCGCAGCTGCTATCAGTGTCAAGATACCGGCATTTTATTCTAGGTTGCAGTGGTCCCCAACATTTTTGTCACCAGGGACTGGTTTCATGGAAGATAATTTTTCCATGGATGGGGGTAAAGGGGTGCAAGGATGGTTTTAGGATGAAACTGTTCCATCTCAGATCATCAGACATTAGTTAGATTCTGATAAGGAATGTGTAACCTAGATCCCTCCCATGTGCAGTTCACAATAGGTTTTGTGCTCTTAAGAGAATCTAATGCCACTGATCTGACAGGAGGCGGAGCTTAGGTGGTAATGCTCACTCACCTGACACTCACCTACTGCTGAGTGGCCCAGTTCCTAACAGGCCACAGACAGGTGTTGATCTGTGGCCTGGGAGTTGGGGGTCCCTGCTAGGTTGTATACTTTTTAAACAATATGCATTCCTTTATCTCCTGACTCAAGTAATCAAGAAGTCATTCATGAAGCAGATACAATCACCGCTCAGTAAATACTTCTATCTTCTGAGACTCTAGTCATATGGCCAATGATTGACCATTATTGTTGTAATGCTGTTCCCTATGAAACTTCGGCTAGATGCTGTTGATTCTTGATTTCAGAATGTCACACAATCAACCACTACCATGACCACAAATTCTAAGTTGAGTGCATTTTAATTGATTATCATGATCATATCTTAAATTCCTTAACCCAAGACTGAAATGTTGAATTCTGTAGTCATTTGGGGGTTATTGTGAAAGCCACTCTCCTATCTCCCTGTACTGGTACCCACACTACCCTCTGTGTGGGTCATATCTGTGCAAATGTCATGCTTTCATGCTTTCCCTGTCAAGCTGTTTATAAAAAATACATAGTTTCTGAAGAAAAATTGAAGAAAGATGCAGAGAAGAAAAACACTAAGCAAAAACTCTCCAGAAAAAGGTAAATCAAAAAATCCATCATAAACTTTAAAGACTAAAACCAGAACTTTAAGCTTAGAGGTAGCTAACATGTTCCAAATAATCTTCTTGTACATAGCAGTCAAAAACCTCTTTATTCTTTAATGGGTATTTCTAGCTGCTTTCTTACACCCTTAAAAACTTTATGTCTTGCCTGCACAGCTGCAACTATGACCACAGGCCACTTCTTTTTCTCATTATATTGCCCACCTATTTGTAACAATATCCTTTATTGTTTCCTTAACCACAAACAGCACTGTGGGAGAAACTATTGCTCTCTTATTTATTTCAATATGACAGATGAAAATGCGTGGGGGAGGAGCACGAACAGGAAGAGAAAGGTTTTTTTTCCTTCACTCTTTGATGCTACTATTTCAAAGCACATTTACACTTTGTTTCTTGGTTTTGTTTGGTTTTAATTTGCCCAATGAACATTTATAAGATTTGCAATATATAGGGAAAAATGAAATTATTTATGTTTTAAAAAAATCTATGTGCAAATTCAAATTTTAATTTATCTAAGAAGATTGTATTACTTATCCATAGATTTAGATTATTGATTAAAATATTTAATGCATTTCTGCTGGACTCATTTTTCTTCTGAAAACACTTCTTACTTTCACCTAAAATATGGTGAAAATAAATGCTTATTGCAAGTTTTAGGAAATTTCATTTATCCCTAAGAAATATATTTCTTGTTATGCCCTTGATTTGTTATTTTTTTGAACAAATTGCTTAATAACTTTTAAACTTGGATATTTATAGCTATATTTTCCTTTGATTAAATGTACCTAAGAAGATTTAATTTAAAAAACTGGAATAAAATTATACAGGGGCTCATTGAAAATCAACCAAAACTGAGTGTAAAATGTAAAAAAAAAAAAAAAACTTCAGGCTGTAGGAGAAACAACCTATCTTGATCTTGGTGTGAAATTTTCTGGTGCTGCTGCCAATCCTGTTACCATGGCCCCAGGGTCCTTTAGTTCTGTTCTCTCCTTACCTCTCCCATTACTTTCCCTTCCCCATCTCCCTTTTTCCACTTCTAAACACACACACTGGCTGAAGTGGAGTCCAGCGAAAGGATGGTGCATTTCTGTTTGCTTTCTCTCTGCATTTTCTATTTTCTGACCACAAAATGGCTAGAGATGCCTCATATAAACCAAAATAGTTTTAAAGTTTTGTTTGTTTTGTTTTTGTCCAGGATAATGCTATTGGTTTGCCCAATTTTTTTATGCTGTTGGCTATAAGCTCACACAAATTATAAATGTCCTGCATAAATACATTGTGTACTTTTTTCTCTTGGTACTTAGTAAAATATTTTGCTGCAGTCTGTCATTAATATACCATTTAACTTACACATATACATTTCCAGCCATTATCATTGTTACCCGTGCTTGACTGAAAAATATACTGAAAATATTAGTCTACTTTTCCACAGGCTCATTTAACTTACATTGTTATATTTAAGGTATATGCCTGTAACACCCCATCTCCCACTTGACACTTCTAAGCCCAACCCACTTTTTACTGTCAGCCATGAGTTCTGCATCTTCCATGAAATGTCACTGGTCCATTCCAGCTCTTGCTGCCTCTTCCTTCTCTCCTTCCTTTTATTTCCTGATTCTTGAGACCTATACTTTAATGTCAATCTTTTGGCTCAAGTTATTAACCTTCAATGGCAGAGTGGCAAATGTAACTCTCTTATGCCACATAACATAGTATCTGCTTGTCTGCTGCTTGCATATTCTAATCTAAATTTGAGTTGGTATACAATCTTATTGTCAATATATGACTAATTTGTGTAATATAGATACTAAAATCTATATATGCTTTACTTACCTTATAAAAATCTGTATATGCTCAAACTAGATCTTGAGTTTCATCAAGGTGGTAACCATGTTTTATATTTGTTGGTGTTCTCTGTTCCCCAACAGTGAAAAGGGTCAGTATATAATGGTTGATAACTAAACCCTCTGTGGACAGGAACAAATTAAGAAAAGATATTCTACTTGTTTACCTATATGGTAACTTAGAGTTGTTTAAATGTCTTGAACAGAAACATAAACAATCTTGACTCAAAATTTAAAATTATTTTCTAATGATTGATGGAAACCACAAACTATAGATAGAAAATAGCGCTGGACCTCTCAGTGACTGACCGACAGGAAAACAGGTACCAGAAAGAATGAAGACTTTTACATCAGGTGTTTTTAGAAGGGATTCGTGGTTATCTGAGTAGAGTTATGATACCAGAGTGGTGTGTTCATCCAAGGCTGATAAGGAACCTTAACTTGACAAGATAAACAAGAGTGAATCAGCTAAATGACATTTGTGATTCTGGCATATCCTCTGAAGATGAAAAATAATCACTGTCTCAGGGTCAAAGTAATGACTCATCTCTTAGAAATTGAGGTGGAAATGTCCAGATTTGGGAAGAATAATATTTCACATTCCATAGGCTATCCTCATTTAAGTGTAGATAGCTAGAGTAAATGATTGTGGGCATCTGAGCTGTGACTAGGAAGTAAAGAAAGGGTACACACAGCTTCAGAGACATTATCATCATCACAAAGGGCCTTTGGACTTGGAGTTTATGCCTTTCTGTATACTAGGAGCTGTTCAAATATAGTCCAGGAAGATGATTTCAAATTTAGATTAGAATATACAAGAAGCAAACAAGCAGATATTATCTTATGTAGCATAAGAGAGAGTTACATTTGCCTCTGCCATTGAAGGTTAATAACTCGAGCATGGATGACCCCACAGAGAAAAGTGAATACATTTTCCAAGTATTTCATTCTGATTGTTGCAATGATCTATCAAAGGCAAAGTAAATAGTTCTGTCACTACACTTGCCTTACAATGCCCACACATGTAATATAGTGTTATCCTTTATGCCAGATAATGTTCAAAACTTGATTATGTATCTAGAGAACTTCAAAAATCACTTGGACTGTACATTTTCGGAATTACTTTAGTATTTCACTGCCTTTGTGAAAAGGAAAAAAGGGAAAAAGAGGAAAGCCGCTCCATGTACACACATAAACTCATTGCCATTATCACAAAGGCAAGAGAATGAAAATACAACAAATCATACATCTGCATTCCTTGCTGTTTATTCTGTTATCAAATTAGCTGAAATGAGATACCTATGTAGCTCATGGACATTTCCTAGGCAACCATCATTCTTTATTCGAAATCTTACCAAGGTCTTAGAATTCTTAAGATAAGCTGCAAAGAGTCAAATGCAAGCATAGGAGGAAAAAAAAGAGAGAAAACAACTTTTGGTATTTTTAAGACCTAAACTCTGAGATTGCATAATGTTTTGAGGCAAAGAACTCCAAATATCCATTCCACACATAGTTGGAAATGATCCCAGTTGGCAATGATTGTGTGTGTGTGTGTGTGTGTGTGTGTGTGTGTGTGCGTGTTGGTGGAGGAGATGGGTAGGTAAGAGGGTTAGAACAAATTGCTTCCTTTAGTTACACGTTTCCTCAATTAAAGAACAATTGTTATGTTTCATGTCTATAACTGTTTGCACCAGTTTTTCAAAATCACAAATAATACTAAATTCTATTCTTTCTAATTTTGTTTGACATAGACTTTCTATTGAGCTTTATGGTAGGGGTCATGTAACTGGGACAATCCTTTGCATAAAGAAAGTGCAAGACATATTTTATTTCTGTACATCTTGACATCCTGCATCCCCTTCCAATTGCTTTTTCGTGGCAGGAATTTTTCTTCCTTATCTTTATATCCTTATATCCTACCAATGTATATCTATAAATTATTATAATACCCATTGTGCAAGAATGATAATTACACTTTTGTTTGCTATGCCTGCAAGTATCTTCTCTCAGGTAGAATATTCCAAAACTATAAATGTAGTTTCCATAAAAATAATATATATCATTTTGTTATCTCATAAGCTTATGATAACCAATGTTTTAGTTAAAAATTCAGCCCCATTACCACAATTATTTCTTTTGTCTCTCTAGGTACTTGGTTCAGCAGTCACACCTAAAGATCTTGTATAGTCTGAAATTATTAACGGTCAACTGGGTTTGAAGGTACGTGACAAAGTATCATAATACCATCATTCAGAAAATTAGTAAGAAGAGGCCAGGAGCTGTGGCTCACATCTGTAATCCTAGCACTTTGGGAGGCTGAGGCAGGCAGATTACTTGAGCCTAGAAGTTCAAGTTCAGCCTGCGCAACATGGCAAAATTGCATTTCTAAAAAAAAAAATACAGAAATTAGCTGTGCATAGTCATATGCCTGTAGTCCCAACTACTGGGGAGGCTGAGGTGGGAGGATCACTGGGGAGGATCGCTTAAGTCCCAGAGGTGGAGATTGCAGTGAGCTGAGAACATACCACTGTAGGTCAGCCTAGGCTATAGGGTGAGACTCTGTCTCTAGAAAGAAAAGAAAGGAAGATTAGTAAGAAGAAATTAATTCTTTTGTGTCATTTTATGTAATTCTCCTTATGCAAGGCTCTATCTAGTGTGAGGCTGAAAAAATTTCTGCAGATGAATTCATAATTTTACTAAACTTACTAATTAAAATGTGTTGGTTAATGGGAAAGGGATGAAGAATTGCTAAATATTAAAACTTGGAAGAAGACTTTACAAATTTACAATCTATTTTGAGTTTTTCACCAAAGAGAAAACCAAGAAAGCAAACACCAGAAATTGAAGACCATGAAGTATAAGTTTTTTCTGAGTTGAGGACAATGATTAGAGGTTAGGTGTGAAGCACAGAGGTTGGAGATCATGCTGGTAGGAAGGTCTAGGTGTCCTAAGAAAACAGTAAGTGCAACAAACATTGTGCCGGGCACAGTGGCTCACGCCTGTAATCCCAGCACTTTGGGAGGCCAAGGCAGGCGGATCACCTGAGGTTGGGAGTTCGAGATCAGCCTGGCCAACGTGGAGAAACCCCCGCTCTACTAAAAATACAGAATTAGCTGGGTGTGGTGGAGAATGCCTGTAATCCCAGCTACTGGGGAGGCTGAGGCAGGAGAATTGCTTGAACCTAGGAGGTGGAGATTGCCATGAGCCGAGATGGTGCCATTGCACTCCAGCCTGGGCGACAAGAACAAAACTCTCCCTCAAAAAAAAAAAAAAAAAAAAAAAAAAAAAGAAAAGAAAGAAAAGAAAGAAAGAAAGAAAACAGTGCAACAAACATTGTGATGGAAACAAGATAATTTCCTTGAAAATCTACAATATATGTCAGGTGAGAATGCCCATGGAAGAGTATAACATAACCTCTGACTCTAGGCTAGGATACTCTTGGTCATTCTTACTTCTAGATGAGTTAATCAGAATTGGTGTGTGACTGTTTTAAGGGCTAGAACCTGAAGAGAAACAGAGAAGACACTGTGCTGAAACTGACATTTAGGGAGAAAGTCTAGGACTGTTCACACAATCTTTGCACATGCCTGTTTTGTCTTATTCGATTGTTAATTGCAGTTGGATAAAAGATCTAAACTTAGCAAACAAGGGGCTGCAGAAAGGAGAGAGACCCCCTCCTCTGCTTAGTTGATCAGCATGTGTTTAATAGATATACTCTAAGTAGCTAACGTTTCAGTCATCTGCGGAGACCTTGGGGAAGGGTTGTGACTGAGAGAGAACTTTTGACCGTTAGCTATGACTCACAAAAAAATACAAGGCTCTCAGTTTTGTTCTACCCATATGTAAGTTAGTTCATACCACAGATAATATACCTTACTTCAAAGAAGGTGGTCTTGGCTTCAGGCATATATAAAAGTTTTTTTTTTTTTTTTTTTCTGGCTGCAAAGGCTTTGCACCTGTGTTTCCTTAAAGCACATGAGAAAAATGCAAATTCCAAAGGGAATTATTCTCTGTTTTGCCATCCTAGTCAATCCTACCTTACCAACCAAGAAAACTACAAATTATCATGATTCTGAAATTGGCAGTTTCCCAGAATGTTTGACATTCCATGTTAGTAAGCAGAAAAAAAGAGGAAGAAAAGAAGTCTTTCCTGCTGGGAATGTGGTAGAAATGTTAGAATTCTTTCCAGAAGAAGAAATCCAAATCTACAAGAGCACATTGTTTTCATGTTTTTCTAGGCTGTATTTTCAGCCTTGAAAACTCATGCAGAGCCTCCCGCCAGAATATGACCTACACCAGCAAGGCTGAAACTAGCACCTATAAGAAGCAAATCCATGACCGTTAAAATATTCAGTCCCTGGGTGGGACAAAGCACACCCTTGTTTCATTGAGATTGTGCCAGGAAAAGACCACAGTTTAGCTGGCATTGCAGCCATGGCCAGAAGCCAGCTTACCCGGCAACTTATTTAATAGAATTCACAGCATCTCTTGGACTCTTAAACACAGTTACATTGAACTAAAGTAAAAGATGTGGCAGGTTTGAGATTGGTAAACCTCTTTTATATAGTATGCTGCTGATCTATATTACTGCACACATTGTCCTAATATTACAATCTTCTCTTGGCTTGTCTGTTTACCCTCTAGACCAGTAACATAAGTGAGTGAAAGGAGGCCAGCTTTAAGAAGAGTCAGTCAATATTACCATTCTCGATTTCTGGTAGTGCCGTAGATACATTGCATGTGGGAGGCAACTGACACAGCCTCACTGCTCAGAGCATCCTCAGGAATGTCAGGGACTGAGAAAAACGGGAGAGAGCCTGTCCATCAGAAGGTGGGGCAGTTACTCAGCAATATCTGAGTATTAACATACAGAATCTGAGTCCTGGTGATGAAGGATCCTCCACATTCTCAAAATGAGCTACATAATCTGAAATCTCTTAATTTTTAAGTGTTATATTTTGCCAGTGCAGCCTGTAAGTACTCAAGTGTAGAAACTGTAGGTTTCAACTTTTAATCCAAAGTAGTACCTTTGTTTAGTAGATCAATAGGTCCCCCTCTTCTATAATAATTTAGTAAATTAAAGTGAACTAGGGCCTATGTATTTTACAGACATGTATGTGATGTATACAGATGTGGCCATATGGTACTATTTTGCTTATATCTTCACTGTCAATGAAAAAGGCTCTTGGATTAAAGGTAGACATTGAAAAAGGGAAATTAAAACACAATATGAGTGAGAAATTTATTTATAGAAATGATTGGCCTTGAAGTGTTTCAAGTTCTCTTACCTAGATATATCATAACCCAGAGAATGGAGAAAACATAAAACGTCTTAGCAAACTGCTTAATCCACATTTGAATGGATGAATAAATATATATCTAGAATATTGGATATAATTAGACAAATTACAACAGTGGCTACTAAATAGTTCCAAGGACATGTGCCAGCCCTTGAAGTTTTCACTGCTCTGGGAAGAAATGAAAAAAATATAGATAATTATAGTGTATGGAGTATATAAACTTATTTGTGCTTGGACAAATCCCACTACCTGTGGGATTTTTAGCCAGCCTCATCCCTCCTCTGTATCCTTATTTGTAAAATGAGAGTTTAGAATTCTGTGACCTTATTTTTGTTTTCTATTGCTGTTATAACACATTACCACAAGCTTAGTGGCTAAAACAACATAAATTTATTATCTTACAGTTGTGAAGGTCAGAAGTCCAACATGAGTCTCATGGGCTAAAATTGAGGTGTCAGCAGGGCCACATTCTTTCTGGAGGCTCTGACCAGGAATTGCTTTTCTTGTCTTTTCCAGCTTCTAAAACCTACTTCATTCCTTGGATTATGGCTTCCCTCTATCTTCAAAGTGAGTAATAGTCAAGTCTTTTCCTTTTTTTAAAAAAGTGTATTTTGTTTTTAAATTGACAAGTAAAAATTGTATATATTTATAGTATACAACATGATGTTCTGAAATATGTATATATTGTGGAATGTCTAATCACATGTATTACCTCACATATCATTTCTTTTGTGGTGGGAACACTTAAAATCTACTCTCTTAGCAATTTTCAAGTATACAATTTTGTTATTAAGTATAATCATCATGATGTACAGTAGATATCTTGAACTCCTCCTGTTTAACTGAAATTTTGTATCCTTTGTCAAGTCTATTTTATGTCATATCACTTTGAAACTCTTCTGCCTCCTTTTTCTCCTTTTAAGGACCATTTTGATTACATTGGGGACATCTGGATAATCCAGATAATCTCATTGTTTTAAGGCCAGGTGATTAGCACATTAAATCCACGTGCAGATTTAATTTCTCCTCGCTATATAACATAACATATTTATAGTTTCTGGGGAGTGGGACGCGGACATTTTTGAGGGGCCATTTGTCTGTCTACCACATCATTTCAACTAATTTTTAGTTTTTCTGTCCTGTGAATCTATGAGATAATGTCTTGTTAAGCCTGACTTGTTATGAAGGAATGAGACAGGTTTCAGGGAGGTAAGTGGGTCTGAAGTTTGCCATAATTTATGGCATCCTCTTAGCATCCCATAAAAATTCTACCTGCCTCTGAACCACTGAATGTATATGACACTGATTGTTCTTTGCAACCAGGCTGTAGCTAGAGATCATCACTTCAATAGTTTGGTTCCTGACCAGGTATGATGGCTCATGCCTGTGATCCCAGCATTTAGGAGGCCAAGGCAGGAGGATTGCTTGCATCCAGCAGTTCCAGACTAACCTAGTCAACATGTTAAGATCCTGTCTCTACAAAAAATAAAAAACTAGCTAGGTGTTTTGGTATGCTCCTGCAGTCCCAGCTACTCAACGACACTGAAGTGCAGATCGCTTGAGCCTAGGAGATTGAGGCTGTAGTGAGCTGTGATCACGCCACTGCACTCAACTTGGGTGATAAAATGAGGCCCCCGCACCGTCTCTCTCTTTCAAAAAACAAACAAAAAAAGCTTGATTCCTGGTATTATTGAAATAGCAGGAAATTTTCAAGATCATCAGATGCTGTAAGGTTACCAGTTATTGGAATGAAATTTCAGAGCATGGGCAGAACTCATTCAGGATACTTAAGCAGTTTCACACATGTTGGTACCTGTCATTTGATAGTCTGTGTTTAGCCTTATCAAGTCTACGTGAGACCGTTCCTTAAGGACAAAATGGACATTACATTGCTCCCTTGCCTTTAATATCACTGTGCTGAACATAGGAGAATGTTAGAAAGAGTGAAGTCTGCCCAGTCCCCCTTGTGTCTGACTTTCAGTGACCAAAAGCACACTGTAAAGGCATTGTACGTGTTGTTCTAAAACAAAGCATAACTCTACTCATCAGCCAGAGAAAACTCTGGTTTATGACTCGTAATAAATCATTTTTTTTCCAAACAGACTTACCAATGTTCTTTTAAAACATTTTTACTAGAATATTTATGTTCTCAACTTTCAACATCAAAAGTATTTTATAAGCCCAGTCCGAAATGGAGGAGTGAGTGGCAAAGCATACTCTCTCCCCAACAAACAATAATCGAACTTGGGAAAATTACAGAAACAATCACATAAAGTATTTGGATATTGTCCTATGGGCATATAGAAAATGGAGAAATATTCATTCAAAAAATCTACTAAATCTTGATAAGGATTGTAGAGTTTGTGACATTTGAACGACAGCATACTCCATTCCTCTTTTTTTTCACCCTCTCCATCTTATGAAAACTGCCCCCAGGGAACCCTAATTCTGGGACCTGTGGGGAGAGGGAGCCCCATCATCTTTTGGCTTGTGAAGAGTAGGCTGTTTGCTTTTTTCATCTTCCTCAGCCTTGTAATGCAGAAGCTTTATTGTAGGCAAGTGTGGCTGACAGGACCAGGTCTCTATTCCCCTACACAAGCTTCATTCATAGTATAGAAGCTGTACTCAATCATGCCATGCCAGTCACACAAGAATGCTCCAATAGCTCCTGCCCCAGCTCACTTATAAGGTGAAGAATTCACTCTGGGAGAGGCAAGTCAAGAAGACAAGGGACCATTATATCATGTCCCCAGTGAGTGCATCACACTCACTCATGCACCAGAAATATCACTCTGTAGAGGCAGGCCACTGTCTGCCTCCAGCTTTTATGCAGTGGCACAGAGATTCTATTCAGAAGGAGAGATATGTCTTAAGGACAAAGAGCTCTGTAGCTCTACCTGAGGAGAATGACTTTAAGTGGAAAAAAGTATGGAACATTTCATGTTTTAAAAGGTGTTGTCTAAATTAATGGAGATTTTGCTGTAAAGTAATTAAAAGGGCTCTCTTAGCTCCATAATGCAAGTAGAAAATGCAAAATAACAGAGAGATCAGAAGTTTGACAGAGAAAACCAGAAAAAGAGACATTCAGGAAGAGCTCTCCTGGGATTACAGTGAATCCTGTGGGTAAGAAGTGCTATGTGAATACTCTAGACATCACCCATTTATAAGCAACAGAGCAGGGGGTGAAACAGACTTGGACATGTTTCTCAAGCAGCATACAGATCAATCAACAAAGAGCAGAGCTTCATTGGCAGTAGAGGCTTAAGGACCAACCTGATCAACCACTGATTGAATTATAAGCTACACTTACCTGGGAGCAACTCCTAGGAAGACAGTTTTAACAATAAAATAGCACTCATTCTTTGCAGTGTGGACTATTTGCATGCCCCAAACTGTGTCTTCTCAGGAATTATCAGAGGGGTAAAATCAAAGCTATTAATCCCTGGTTGAACATGGGGCAGAGGCTTAAACTTGAACTATGATAGTGGCCTCCAAGCCACACACACATGCAATGGTAAAGTGTAAAAATCTAACTGGCGAAAGGAACCTAAGTACGACTTTTAATAATAAGTGGCTTATACTGTCCCAGAGGCAACCTCTAGGCAGCCAGGCTAGAAGATAGAAAGAATATCTGATAGGGACATCAGAGGCTTGGAGGGAATATAGATGTTCACAGGACCAGTTCAGCCAACTCATTGAACAAGTAAATAAAGCACTAAGCAAACAGCAGAAAAATCAACCCATAGTGGCAGTAGTGTGTGAGTGTGTGTGTGGTGGGAATCAGGATTCAGAAGCTGTTACCATATATCACTTAAAATTTTCAGCCAAAAATCATGACACATGCAAAATACATACATACATATATATATATATATATATATATATATATTATATATATATATATATATATTATATATATATCGGTAACCCATACACCAGAAAAAAAGCAGGCAGCTAATACTGCTTTTGAAGGGGTCCAGAGGTGGGACTTAACAGGCAAAGACCTGAAAATAGCCATTATAAACATATGCAAAAAACAAGAGAAGACCATGCATAAGTTATCAAAGAAAGATGTGATGACAATGTTACAAAATAGAATATAAGTAAAAAGATAAAAATTGTATATTTTAAAAAGCCAAATGGAAATTCTGGAGTTAAAAAGTGAAGCAACCAAATAAAACATTCACGGTGACTCATGCCTGTAATCCCAGCACTTGGGAGGCCAAGGCAGGCAGATTGCCTGTCATCAGTAATTTGATACCAGTCTGGCCAACATGGTGAAACCCTGTCTCTACTAAAAATACAAAAAAATGAGCCAGGCATGGTGGTGTGCACCTGTAACCCCAGCTACTCGAGAGACTGAGGCAGGGGAATTCCTTGAACCAGGGAGGTGGAGCTTGCAGTGACCCAAGATCGCGCCACTGCACTCCAGCCTCGGTGACAGAGCGAGACTCTGTCTCAAAAAAAAAAAAAAAAATATGTACAAGGGGTGCTCAACAATACATTTGAGCTGGCAGAAGAAAGAATTACAAGAACGAATTAATGTCTACTTCTAGTATTAGAGATTATGCAATTTGAAAAACAAAGAGTAAAAGGAATGTAGGAAAATGAACAGATCGTCAAAGAAATATTTGATACCATTAAGCACACTGACGAAGGCAAAATAGGAGTACCAGATGAAGAAAAGAGAGAGAAAGGGACAGAAAAATTTTAAAGAAATAATGGCTGCAGACTTAAATTTGATGAAAAACATTAATCTACACATTCAAGAACTTCACACAGAATAAATGCAAAGATATGCATATCCATACAAAGTCGTACATAATATGTTGAAAACCAAGGACAAAGAGAAAAATACAAAGGGAAACAATACAAACAAACAAATAAACAAAAAACCTCATTAAGTACAAGAAAACCACAATAGGTAACAGTTGATTTCTCTTCAGAAATAATGCAGAACAAAAAGGCAATGGATAACATTTGGAAATGCTGTAAGTGAAATACTGCCAATAAAGAACCATATATATATATATATATATGAAAACTAGTTTTCAAAAATAAAAGTGAAACAAAGACATTCCCAGAAAACAAAAAGCTGTGAGAATTTGTTGCTAACAGACCTGACTTACTAAAGGGAGCTCTTCTGCCGGAAAGCAAGTTACAACAGACATTAATTTTAATCCACACACACAAAAGAGTGCCAGTGAAGGCAATTATGTAGGTAATTATAAAACAGCATATAATTGCATATTTCTTCTCTTATCTTAAAGAGAAACTACAAAATTTGATGAAACAATATATAATTATACATTTGGACTCATAGAAATGTAATTTTCTATTGTGAAATAACCTTTGACAATAAGAGCTCACAGGATGCAAGTGGAAGCAAAGTTCTGTTGGAGTAGAGAAATGGCACCAAATGGTAATTCAAATTCACAGAAAGAAATGAAGAGAATCAAAATTAGTAATTAAACAAGTTAATTTAACAAACATTTTATGTTAATAATTATATACTTGTTCTCCTTTATTCTCTCAGCTTCTTTAAGACACAAGATTACTTAAAGAAATATTTTAACAATGTATTGTTGCGTTTATAACATATATAGATATAACAGGTATAACAATAATAACACAGTTAAAGGGGTCATAAATGGAGCTATGTAAGAGTAAACTTTCTTTATTTCACTATAATTAACTTATATACATCTGAAGTAGGTTATAAGTTATCATGTATGTTGAAAGCCCTAGATACAACAAAAAGAAAATAATTTATTAATATGTTATTAAAAATTCTCAGAGAAATACAAATATTATGGAGAAAATATCCATTTAATGTAAAAAAGGCAGTAAAAAAGAACAGAACAAGAAAGACATGAGACTTATAGAAAACAAAAAGCAAAATGGCAGGTGTAAATCAAAACATGTCAATAATAATAATAGCTGTAAATGGATTAAACAACCCATTCAAAAGACAGAGATTAGAGGTTGGGTGAAAAAAAAATCCAAATTTGTGCTATCTACAGGTTACATACTTTAGATTCAAAGATACAAATAAGCTGAAAGTAAAAGAGTGGAAAAAGATACATCATGAAAACAGCAACCATAAGAGAACTGGAGTGGCTATACTAATATCAGACAAAATAACTTTACAACAAAAATGTTACTAGAAACAAAAGGGTTATTTCAAAATTAAAAATTAAATCCATGAGGAAGATGTAAAAATTATAAACACATATGCCTCTAAAAACAGAGCCCCCCAAATGCATGAGGCAAAACTGATAAAATTGAAGGAAGAAATAAATAATTTTAAAATGATAGTTGGAGACTTCCATAATTCAGTTGCAATAACAGGTAGACAGGAGATCAATAAGAACATAAAATATTTGAACAAAACTATGAACCAACCAGATATAACAGATATTTATAGAAGATTCTACCCAACAATAGCAAAACACACATTTTTTTCAAGTGCATATTGAACACACTACACGATAGACCATATGCTAGGCTATAAAACAAGCCTCAGTAAATATAGAAAGAATAAAATTATACAAACTATGTTTTCCAAATGCATTGTATTAAATTAGAAGGCAATAATAAAATTAAATTTTAAAAATCACAAAAATGTAAAAATTAAACAACATATTACTAAACAATTGGTCAATAAATAAATCATAAGGGAAATTAGAAAGTTTCTTCTGATGAATAAAAATACAACACAATGTGCCACAACTTATGGGATACAGCTACAGCTAAAGCAGTACACAGAGGAAAATTTACAACATGCCTATGTTAAAAAAGAAAAAAAAAAAACCTCAAGTCAATAACCTACCCTTCCACCTTAAAAAGACATGAAGCTGAGATTCCATTCCAAGATGGCCAAATAGGAACATCTCCAGTCTGCAGCTCCCAGTGTGATCGGCGCAGAAGATGGGTGATTTCTGCATTTCCAACTGAGGAACCTGGTTCATCTCACTGGGACTGGTTGGACAGTAGGTGCAGCCCATGAAGGGTGAGCTGAAGCAGGGCAGGGCATCACCTCACCCAGGAAGCGCAAGAGGCCAGGGGATTTCCCTTCCCTAGCCAAGGAAAGCCGTGACAGACGGTACCTGGAAAAACAAGACACTCCCGCCCAAATACTGTGCTTTTCCAACGGTCTTAGCAAATGGCACACCAGGAGATTATATGCCATGCCTGGCTGGGCAGATGCCACACCCACAGAGCCTTGCTCACTGCTAGCACAGCAGTCTGAGATCGACCTGCGCAGCAGCCTGGCAGGGGGAGGGGCGTCTGCCATTGCTGAGGCTTGAGTAGGTAAACAAAGCAGTCAGGGAAGCTCAAACTGGCAGGGTCCACCGCAGCTCAGCAAGGCCAGCTGCCTCTGTAGTCTCCACCTCTGGGGGCAGGGCATAGCTGAACAAAAGGCAGCAGAAACTTCTGCAGACTTAAATGCCCCTGTCTGACAGCTCTGAGGAGAGCAGTGGTTCTCCCAGCACAGTGTTTGAACTTGGAGAACAGACAGATTGCCTCCTCAAGTAGGTCCCTGACCCCTGGGTAGCCTAACTGGGAGACACCTCCCAGTACAGGCTGACTGACACCTCATACAGGCAGGTGCCCCTCTGGGACAAAGCTTCCAGAGGAAGGATCAGGCAGCAATATTTGCTGTTCTGCAGCCTCCACTAGTGATACCCAGGCAAATGGGGTCTGGAGTGGACCTCCAGCAAACTTCAACAGACCTGCAGCGGAGGGACCTGGCTGTTAGAGGGAAAACTAACAAACAGAAAGAAATAGCATCAACATCAACAAAAAGGACATCCACAACAAAATCGCATCTGTAGGTCACCAACATCAAAGACCAAAGGTAGATAAAACCACAAAGGTGGGGAGAAGCCTGAGGAGAAAATGTGAAAATTCTAAAAACCAGAGCACCTTTTCTCCTCCAAAAGATCACAGCTCCTTGCCAGCAACAGAACAAACCTGGATGGAGAATGACTTTGAAGAGCTGACAGAAGTAGGCTTCAGAAGGTCAGTAATAACAAACTTCTCTGAGCTAAAGGAGGATGCTTGAACCCAGCACGAGGAAGCAAAAAACCATGAAAAAAATTTAGATGAGTGGCTAACTAGAATAAACAGTGTAGGGAAGACACTAAATGACCAGATGGAGCTGAAAACCATGGCATGAGAACTACGTGACACATGCACAAGCTTCAGTAGCCGATTTGATTAAGTGGAAGAAAAGGTATCAGTGATTGAAGATCAAATTAATGAAATAAAGCAAGAAGAGAAGTTTAGAGAAAAAAAAGAGTAAAAAGAAATGAACAAAGCCTCCAAGAAATATGGGACTATGTGAAAAGAACAAATCTACGTTTGATTGGTGTACCTGAAAGTGACGGGGAGAATGGGAACCAAGTTGGAAAACACACTTCAGGATATTATCCAGGAGAACTTCCCCAACCTAGCAAGGCAGGTAAACATTCAAATTCAGGAAATACAGAGAACACCACAAAGATACTCCTCAAGAAGAGCAACCCCAAGACACATAATTTCCAGATTCACCAAGGTTGAAATAAAGGGAAAAATGTTAAGGGCAGACAGAGAGAAAGGTCAGGTTATCCCCAAAGGGAAGCCCATGAGACTAACAGCGGATCTCTCAGCAGAAACTCTACAAGCCATGAGAGTGGGGGCCAATATTCAACATTCTTAAAGAAAAAAATTTTCAACTCAGAATTTCATATCCAGCCAAACTAAGCTTCATAAGTGAAGGAGAAATAAAATCCTTTACAGACAAGCAAATGCTGAGAGATTTTGTCACCTGCCTTACAAGAGCTCCTGAAGGAAGCACTAAACATGGAAAGGAACAACTGGTACCAGCCACTGCAAAAACGTGCCAAATTGTAAAGACCATCAATGCTAGGAAGAAACTGCATTAACTAACAGGCAAAATAACCAGCTAACATCATAATGACAGGATCAAATTCACACATAACAATATTAACCTTCAATGTAAATGGGCTAAATGCCCCAATTAAAAGACACACACTGGCAAATTGGATAAAGAGTCAAGACACATGAGTGTGCTGTATTCAGGAGACCCATCTCACATGCAGAGACACACATAGGTTCAAAATAAAGGGATGGAGGAAGATCTACCAAGCAAATGGAAAGCAAAAAAAAAAAAAAAAAAAAAAAAAAGAGTTTGCAATCCTGGTCTTTGATAAAACAGACTTTAAACCAACAAAGATCAAAAGAGACAAAGAACGTCATTACATAATGGTAAAGAGATCAATTAAATAAGAAGAACTAACTATCCTAAATATATATGCACCCAATACAGGAGCACCCAGATTCATAAAGCAAGTCATTAGAGACCTACAAAGAGACTTAGACTCCCACACAATAATAATGGGAGACTTTAACACCCCACTGTCAATATTAGACAGATCAAGGAGACAGAAGGTTAACAAGGATGTCCAGGACTTGAACTCAGCTCTGCACCAAGCAGACCTACTAGACACCTACAGAACTCTCCACCCCAAATCAACAGAATATACATTCTTCTCAGCACCACATCCCACTTATTCCAAAATTGACCACATAGTTGGAAGTAAAGCACTGCTCAGCAAATATAAAAGAACAGAAATCACAACAAACTGTCTCTCAGACCACAGTGCAATCACATTAGAACTCAGGATTAAGAAACTCACTCAAAACCACACAACTACATGGAAACTGAGCAACCTGCTTTTGAATGACTACTAGGTAAATAACAAAATGAAGGCAGAAATAAAAATGTTCTTTGAAACCAATGAGAACAAAGACACAACATACCAGAATCTCTGGGACACATTTAAAGCAGTGTGTAGAGGGAAATTTATAGCACTAAATGCCCACAAGAGAAAGCAGGAAAGATCTAAAATTGACACCCTAACATCACAATTAAAAGAACTAGAGAAGCAAGAGCAAACACATTCAAAAGCTAGCAGAAGGCAAGAAATAACTAAGATCAGAGCAGAACTGAAGGAGATAGAAACACAAATAACCCTTCAAAAAAACCAATGAATCCAGGAGCTGGTTTTTTGAAAAGATCAACAAAATTGATAGACTGCTAGCAAGACTAATAAAGAAGAAAAGAGAGAAGAATCAAATACATGCAATAAAAAATGATAAAGGGGATATCACCACCGATCCTACAGAAATACAAACTATTATCAGAGAATACTATAAAAACCTCTATGCAAATAAACTAGAAAATCTAAGAGAAGTGGATAAATTCCTTGACACATACACCCTCCCAAGACTAAACCAGGAAGAAGTGGAATCTCTGAATAGACCAATAACAGGCTCTGAAATTGAGGCAATAATTAATAGCCTACCAATAAAAAAAGTCCAGGACCAGATGGATTCACAGCTGAATTCTACGAAAGGTACAAAGAGGAGCTGGTACCATTCCTTCTGAAACTATTCCAATCAATAGAAAAAGAGGGAATCCTCACTAACTCAGTTTATGAGGCCAGCATCATTCTGAGAGCAAAGCCTGGCAGAGACAGAACAAAAAAAGAGAATTTTAGACCAATATCACTGATGAACATTGATGCGAAAATCCTCAATAAAATACTCGCAAACTGAATCTAGTAGCATAACAAAAAGCTTATCCACCACAATCAAGGTGGCTTCAGCCCTGGGTTGCAAGGCTGGTTCAACATATGCAAATCAATAAACATAATCCATCACATAAACAGAAACAGCAACAAAAAGCACATGATTATCTCAATAGATGCAGAAAAGGCCTTTGATAAAATTCAATGGTGCTTCATGCTAAAAACTCTCAATAAACTAGGTATTGATGGAATGTATCTCAAAATAATAAGAGCTACTTATGACAAACCCACAGCCAATATCATACTGAACGAGCAAATACTGAAAGCATTCCCTTTAAAAACTGGCACAAGACAGGGATGCCCTCTCTCACCACTCCTATTCAACAGAGTGTTGGAAGTTCTGGCAAGGGCAATCAGGCAAGAGAAAGAAATAAAGGGTATTCAATTAGGAAAAGAGGAAGTCAAATTGTCCCTGTTTGCAGATGACATGATTGTATATTTAGAAAACCCCACCATCTCAGCCCAAAATCTCCTTAAGCTGATAAGCAACTTCAGCAAAGTCTCAGGATACAAAATCAATGTGCAAAAATCACAAGCATTCCTATACACCAATAACAGACAAACAGAGAGCCAAATCCTGAGTGAACTCCCATTCACAACTGCTATAAAGAGAATAAAATACCTAGGAATCCAAGTTACAAGGGATGTGAAGGACCTCTTCAAGGAGAACTACAAACCACTGCTCAACGAAATAAAAGACAACACAAACAAATGGAAAAACATTCTATGCTCATGGATAGGAAGAATCAATATTGTGAAAAAGGCCATACTGCCAAGGTAATTTATAGATTCAATGCCATCCCCATCAAGCTACCAATGACTTTCTTCACAGAATTAGATAAAACTACTGTAAAGTTTATATGGAACCAAAAAAGAGCCCACATTGCCAAGACAATCCTTAGCAAAAATAACAAAGCTGGGGGCATCATGCTACCAGACTTCAAACTATACTACAAGGCTACAGTAACCAAAACAGCATGGTATTGGTACTAAAACAGATATATAGACCAATGGAACAGAACTGAGGCCTCAGAAATAAAACCACACATGTACTACCATCTGATCTTTGACAAACCTGACAAAAACAAGAAATGGGGACAGGATTTCCTATTTAATAAATGGTGCTGCAAAAACTGGCTAGCCATATGTAGAAAGCTGAAACTGGATCCCTTCCTTACATCTTATAGAAAAATTAATTCAAGATGGATTAAAGACTTAAATGTTAGACCTAAAACCATAAAAACCCTAGAAGAAAACCTAGGCAATACCATTCAGGACATAGGCATGGGCAAGGACCTCGTGACACTAAAACACCAAAAGCAATGGTAACAGAAGCCAAAATAGAAAATAGGACCTAATTAAACTAAAGAGCTTCTGCATGGCAAAAGAATCCTACCATCAGAGTGAACAGGCAACCTACAGAAAGGGAGAAACTTTTTACAATCTACCCATCTGACAAAGGGCTAACATCCAGAATCTACAAAGAACTTAAATTTTCAAGAAAAAAACAACCCCATCAAAAAGTAGGCAAAGGATATGAACAGACACTTCTCAAAAGAAGACATTTATGCAGCCAACAGACACATGAAAAAATGCTTATCATCACTGGTCATCAGAGGAATACAAATCAAAACCATAATGAGATAGCATCTCACACCAGTTAGAATGCTGATCATTAAAAAGTCAGGAAACAACAGATGCCGGAGAGGATGTGGAGAAATAGGAATGCTTTTACACTGTTGGTGGGAGTGTAAATTAGTTCAACCATTGTGGAAGACAGTGTGGCAATTCCTCAAGGATCTAGAACTAGAATTACCGTTTGACCCAGCAATCCCATTATGGGGTATATACCCAAAGGATTATAAATCATGCTAATATAAAGACACATGCACACGTATGTTTATTGCAGTGCTATTCACAATAGCAAAGACTTGGAACCAACCCAAATGCCCATCAGTGATAGACTGGATTAAGAAAATGTGTTACATGTACACCATGGAATAGTATGTAGCCATAAAAAGGATGAGTTCATGTCCTTTGCAGGGACATGGATGCAGCTGGAAACCATCATTCTGAGCAAACTATCACAAGGACAGAAAACCAAACACTGCATGTTCTCACTCATAGGTGGGAATTGAACAATGAGAACACATGGACACAGGGTGGTGAACATCACACACCCGGGCCTGTCATGGGGTGGGGGGCAGGGGGAGGGATAGCATTAGGAGAAATACCTAATGTAAATGATGAGTTAATGGGTGCAGCAAACCAACATGGCTCATGTATACCTATGTAACAAACCTGCATGTTGTGCACGTGTAACCTAGAACTTAAAAGTATAAAAATTAAAAAAAAAAAGAAAAAGAAAAAAAGAAGTGAAGCCAGGTGCAGTGACTCACACCTGTAATTCACACACTTTGGGATACCAAGATGGGAGAATTGTTTGAGCTCAGGAGTTCAAGACTAGCCTAGGCAAGATGACAAACCCCGTCTTTATAAAATAAATAAAGAAATAAATAAAAATAAATTTAAAAAATAAAGTAAGAAAAGAAAGCTAAATCTGAAACAAAAAAATTTAAGATAATGCGTATTAGATGAGAAATTAATGAAAATAAGGCCAGACACAGTGGCTCACATTTGTAATCCCAGCAATTTGGGAGGCTGAGGTGGGTGAGTCCAGGAGTTTGAGACCAGACTGGGCAACAGGGTGAAACCCTGTCTCTACCAAAATTGTAAAAAGTAGCTGGGTGTGGTGGCATGTGCCTGTAGTCCCAGCTACTTGGAGGGCTGAGGTGGGGGATCGCTTGAGCACTAGAGGTTGAGGCTGAAGTGAGTCGTGATCATGTCATTGACTCCAGCCTGGGCAACAGAGCAAGACCCTTTCTAAAAAAAAAAAAAAAGAAAAGCAAAGAACAAAAATGAATGAAAATAGAGTTGAAAAAAAAAGTTGGTTCTTTGAAAAGATTAACAAAATGGACAATACGCTAAGGAAAAAAGACAGAAGGCTCAAATAAGACAAAGAATAAAAGGGGGGATGTTATTAAGGACTTTTTATAAATAATGAGGATTATAAGAAAATATATGAACAACGGTGTGCCAATGAGTTAGACACTTAGATGAAACAAATTCCTAGAAAAACACAAACTACGAAAACTGACTCAAGAAGAATTAGAAAATCTGAAGACACATAACAAAATGTTACATTAATACTGTAAAAGCTTCCCAAAAAGAAAAACCCTAGCCCAAATGGCTTCACTAGTGAAAACTGCCAAACATATAAAGAATTAATGCCAATCCTTTACAAACTCTTTGAAACAAAAAAAGAAAAGGGAACACTTCCAGACTCATTTAAGGAAGCCAGGATTACTCTGACACTAGAAGCAAGCGAAGACATCAAAATAAAATTATATATGGTTTATGAATACAGATGCAAAAGCCATTAACAAAATTCTAGGAAATTTAATCTAGCAGGAGAAAAAAGGGATTGTACAACATGGCCAAATAGGATTTATCCCAGGAATACAAGGTTGAATTAACATATGGAAATCAATCAATCTGATTTGTTATATTAATAGAATAAAGGGCAAAACCGCATGATAATCTCAATAGATGCAGAAAATAATTTTGACAAATTAAACCCACTTTCATGATAAAACAAACTTGACAAACTAAAATTTGAAGCAAACTTTCTCAACCTGTTAAAGAACGTCTACAAAATAAAAACAAAAAGAAAACAAACAAAAAAAACCCACAGCTAACATCATACTTAAGGAAAAAAAGATCAAATGCTTTCCCTTTAAGTTAAGAAACAAAGCAAAAATATCTTCTCTCATCATTTTCAGTCAGCATTGTGCCAATCAAGACAATAGGCAAATATAAGAAATAAAATGTTTCCAAATTGGAAAGGAAAAAGTAAAACTATCTGTATTCATAGATGACATGACCTTTTCTACAGAAAATCTTAAGGAATTCACTTAAAAACTATTAGAGCTAATAAGTGAGTTCATCAAGGTTGCAGAATACAAGATCAATATACAAAAATCAATTGTATTTCTATCCACTAGCAATGACAATCTGCAAATGAAATTAAGAATACAATTCCACTCACATTAGCATCAAAAACTATACAATTCCTCAGAATAAATTTAACAAATTAAGTTCAAGATGTGTGCACTGAAAACTGCACAATATTGTTGAAGAAATAACGCAACGCAATTTCTATCAAAAGCCCTACTGACTTTTTGCAGAAATTGACAAGATAAAGTTAATATGGAAATGCAAAGGACCCAGAATAGCCAAAAAAAAAAAAAAAAAAATGCTTGAAAAAGAACAAGGTTGGAGAACTTACACTTCCTGATTTTAAAACTTATTTCTGTACACAGCTGCAGTAATCAAGGCAACATATACTAGCATAAAGATAGACTTATAGGTCAATGGAGTATAATTAGAGTCCAGAAACTAACTCTTACATTTATAATTAATTCATTTTTGACAAGAATGTCAAGACAATTCATCAGGGGAAGAACAGCCTTACTAACAAATGATGCTGGAAACAACTGAATATCTGCAAGTCAAGGAATGAAGTTGAACTCTTTCCTTAAACAACCCACAAAAAAATTAAGTAAAAATCAATCACAGACCAAAATATAAAGATAAAACTACACAACTCAAGGAGAAAATTTAGAAGTACATTTTCATTTACTTGGGTTAGGCAATGGTTTCTTAGATATGAAATGAAGGTACAAGTGACAAAATAACTAATAGATAAATTGGATTACATCAAGATTAAGAACTTTCATGCTGCAAATGATACCATCAAGAAATTAACAGTGGTGTTGATGCTCAGTGCTACAGAGGACAATGGCTGGAAATCCTCTTTGTTTTCCCTGGCTCCTGGAGTCCAGGGACAGCCCATAGAGCTCCTGTGCCTGGCCAGAAGCCATCATGGAAATCGTTAGTTTCACATTTTCCTGGAAGAAGGAACTGCGGGCAGAAGTGGACCGCAATGCATTTTAAACCTTGTGGAAAGAGCTAAGCTATTGAATTGCTTCTTTTGAAGGAAGGAGTGGAATTATGTAAGATATTGACACAGGAAACTTTTTTACCCTAAATTATTGTAATGCTTCTTTCAGTACTTAATGCAAGATTTAGTGTTTATCTATCTCTTTTACTTCATGCTTTAGCTGTAGATTGGAGTGAAATGAGCTATTCTGCCGTGCAGAACTGGCTTTCAAGGGTCAGAATAGTAGATCCAATAATTAAAATTTATGCTTTAACATTTTAGATCTGGTTATTGATATGCTTTCTCAGTAAATCTAAGAGTGTCTTTAAAAATGTAAACCCAGAGCAATTTGAAGTTTCTATTTAAACTTTATTTGCAACTCCTCTAATGAGAAGATTGAATTTATTTACAGTTAATTGTACTATTCAGATTTTTGAATGTATGAGGCAACCAAAAAAATTCTATCTACAGTGTGCTCTTAAAAACTATAAGAAGAAGATGAAAAGACAACACACAGAATGGGAAACAATTATTGGTAAACCATATATCTGATAAGAGACTGGTATCCAGAATATACAAATAACTCATACAATAATAAAAAGACAAATAACCCAATTAACAATTCACAAAGAATTTGAATTGACATTTCCTCCCCAAATCCTATACGGATAAAAAGAAGTTCATCATAATTACTCATTAGGAAAACACAGATCTTTTCATCAGGGCATACAAACTAGAAAAATCTTGAGAGATCTTGTGATAGAATATTGATTTTTACGAATATTCTTTTAGTTGGGAAGCCTAGGTGGATAGGTCACTTGAGGTCAGGAGTTCAAGACCAGCCTGGCCAACATGGTGAAACCCCATCTTTACTAAAAATAAAATATTTGGCCAGGCGCAGTGGCATATACCTGTAAACCCAGCTACTCGGGAGGCTGAGGCATGAGTATTGCTTGAGCCTGGGAGGCAAAGGTTGCAGTGAGCCTGGATCGCACCACTGCATTCCAGCCTGAGCAAGAGAGCAAAAACAAGACTCTGTCTCTGGAGAGGGGATTGGGGGGTGTGGCGCAGAATATTCTTTTAGGAATATTCTTTTGAGAATGGTGAGTTTTTAAGTAAGTGTGTCCTTACTTTAAACTTACTGTTCATTTCATGTTAGCATTTAGTTATATTGGAAAAGCTCATTATACCTTTTGATTATGAAGATAAAATCTCTCTTTTTCTCTCTTCTATATATACACATACATATATGTGTACCTACCTATATATCGATATAAATATGATAAGATATAAGTATATAAAATTTCTACTATAATCCAAATTTTATTCCCTAATTTTCATCAAATCTTCAGACTAAAGAGGATTTGCTAGACATAACTGGAATAAAATTTTATTTTGAAAGAACCAAAAATTTGATGATGGGAACTAGGAAAATATAGAGTATAAATGAGATTCCATATGATCTCATTATTTATAAAGTGTGGGAAAAATAAGGACATACTTGAATATGATGCTAAATTTTTATTAATTAATTTTACTTCAATAGGTTTTTGGGGAACAGTTGGTGTTTGGTTACATGAATAAGTGTAGTGGTGATTTCTGAGATTGTGGTGCACTCATCACCTGAGCGGTGTACACTGTACCCAATGTGTAGTCTTTTACCCCTCACCACACCCCAACCTTTCCCCCGAGTCCTCAAAGTCCAATGTATCATTTTGCGTCCTCATAGCTTAGCTCCCACATATAAGTGAGAGCATATGATGTTTGGTTTTCCATTCCTGAGTTACTTCACTTAGAATTATGGTCTCCAATTCCATTCAGGTTACTGCAAATGCCATTATTTTGTTCCTTTTTATGGCTGAGTAGTATTCCATGGTATAAATATATCACATTTTCTTTATCCACTTGTTGATTGATGGGCATTTGGTTTGGTTTCATATTTTTGCACCTGAAAATTGTGCTGCTGTAAACATGTGTATGCAAGTAGAATATGATTCTAAAACTAATTTAAAAGTGAAGCATGCCCTGGAAGGATATGGCATAGGCAGAATTAAAAGCAAAGGCCACTATGGTTGATAAGTATCTGTTATAAAAGAAAAAAAAAATACTGTTTTTAAAACATGGAGATCTTGCCAATTATATACAAGCCTTTCTTTTTTTATTATAATAGAAAAAAGGTTTTTTTCAAGGTCTTTTCGGCAAAGTCCTCATCAAAATATAGCCAAGCCTCTCTTGCCTCCCGCTAGTATCAAATTAAATATTATCTAAGTTGGAAACAATAAGTGCTAAAATTATTGACTTTATTTAAGGTTTTAAAAAATCACCTTGGAATATTAGTGCTGTTCTATTTTTATCATTAAATATTACTCATTTGAATTATATATATATATAGTTAAATTTTCTACATAGAAAGCTATTTCTGTTACTGTATCATCATCAAGGGATAGAAACAGGTATTAGAATTAGGACTAATTTTTTCAACCACTGAAGACATAAAACAACTCTATATGCCTCCAGGAAATCTAGAACCCGTGATTTATAAGAATCAATATTTATGAGACTGAGTTTTCAAAATGAGTATTCTGCTTAGGTTAATATAATGGTAGAGAGATTAGTTGTCCTCCCCAATTTCCCTACAACATTATTTAAAATTAAAAACAATATTTAAAGATTAATTTTACTTTGGAATGGTGTTACCATCACTTATCGAATATCTTTTCTTCCTCATGAATCTTTGCTGAATTCATAAGTGGCTGAGAAAGTTTTGGTTAGAAATATAAGCTCTTCTATTTCCTAAAATTTTCAGCATACTTCTTACTTTAGAGGTAGTAAATTTCTTGCAGTAGTGCTGCATGCAGATTAAAAGTCAGAAAAGGACTCATGTTTTTTCTTTCATCTGAGTTCCACATAGGCCAGCCTCTCAGCAATACAGATCTTAAAATCAGATGGGCAGCCAAGTCATAGCAAGTATTCAGTAATGCTTTCTGTTTCTGTATTGATTATAAAGGGTTGATTAGGCCAGGTGAAAACCTAGGCCAGTCACCCTTTCCAGATAATGACTTTTTCCAGACAACTAATTTAATAACCAATGCTATATATATGGACATCATATATATATATATATGATATATATACACACACATATACACATATATATGTGTATATATACACATATATATATACATATACGTATATGTATATGTATATGTATATACATATATTCTAGGGACATCTAGCTCAGATATAAAGATTAAATTCAATCTGAAAGGTATACTGACATACTAAATACTGTATCCTGATGGGGATGTACTGAAAAGCATACAGAATCAGAAAAAAATGTATCTGGCTTGGGAGATAAACCTACTAGAGCATTATTTTGGCTGGTAGGAACTTTCTCTTTAGGTGAATGCCAGGAAAACAGTACTCTGTCTTCCAAACTCTCTTCTTCTGATTCACTATTAATATTTGAGTGATAGATTAAGTGAGCCTGAAATTTGCTCTGATCTCTACTTTGTATAATATGATTAAGCAACTAATTGTCTCTGGTCAGTGATAAACTCTTATGTTGACCATCCCTCAACTAAATAATCTAAGAGAGATTGTAGCGAACATCTGGTGTTTTTGTCACGTAGTATTATTTCTTGCCCTCTCTTTCATTTTTTTTTTTGTTTGTTTGTTTGTTTGAAAGAAAGGGAAGTAAATAACACTACAGTGGTTCTCTGGGGAATCACTCTTTTCTATTTTTGTGATAAGTGATGGTGGTGAAATTGATTTCTACTCCATTCTCTATTCCAGTGATCCTGGTTAAGTCATTGTCATATCCCAACCTTTGATAAATAATTCCATCAGAGTTGATGAGATGTGAGGGCGTTTTGTGAGGCCAGTCAGTAGAAAATGGCTCCATTTCTTCTCCTGAGAGTCATGTATGAGGAGGTGGAGTCAGGACCTTCAGAAGAAAGGCTACCTACCCTATAAAGGGAACCTAAAACTGCTAGTGAGACCAATATTGAAGCCTAAGGATAAAAATCATTACCACAAAAGGCAGAGGACAGAGATGGACAAGAATGGGGTCTACTATTTGAGCCACTGGTTAAAAGCTCACCTGGAATTAAATATATGTACCTGGACTTTTAAATTACTAATGAATAGATTTGATTTATATTTAAGTCATTGTGATTTAGGTTTTCTATCACGTACTTATGACACAAAGAAATATGACTCAGCTGGCAGGGAAATGAATGCTCATTCACCAAAAATAATAATTTTCTTTCTTTATTCACATAATCTATTTGACCACCAAGGAAACTTTTTACTTACAAAAGTGTGTGTCTGTGTGTGTGCATGTGTGTGTGTATGTTTTCAATCAGTGGTGTGATTTTGTGTGACTGAGAAGCATAAACAGGTGAAGAGTCACATGCAGGTAGGTTGTGACACTTGTAACAAGCAGATGCTTGGTTCCAATCTTTAGGCCATGGAGGGAATACCACTTTGGTGCTTTTTTTTGATGCTTCACTTAACTGTTTGTTTTACACTGTGAATTTCTTGGATACTTAGCAAGTCTATTTTAGAGACTTAAGCCATAGTGCACACAGCCTCCCTCTGATGTCTTTAAAAGGACAAGAAACATTGGCAAGCTGCTTCTCTTAGTTTACATTTGGGTACTCCTTTATAGAGGGTCAGCAGTGTCAGTGAAAGACCACAAATGGCAGCTGCCTGCAATTTCCCCAATTTTTTATAATTTCCCCTGGCCTTTGCAATTCAAATGAGCAAAGATGAATTCTTTACAAATGCTTTTTGTTTTTTTTTTAAATAAATGCTATACTTATATTCTATAATAAACACTAAGTTATAGTCTTTATCTTTTCCCCCAATAACTCCTACCATACTTATGTTGGACTTCCTGCGACATTCACCCCTAGCAGGCAAGTTTCCTTCCACTTTTATTTCTACTTTGGAAAACTGGCTTACTCTTTGTTTCCTTTCTGTGGAACAGCATTAAAAAGGGCAATTTTCAGAACTCTTTTGGTTTCTTTTTTCTTTTGTTCCTATGTTGAAAGACCACAAGTTTGTGTCTAATGTTTCACAGAATAAGCATTTTTATTATTTCAAATCTAATTCTCTGAGTCAGGCTTGAACTCTTTGGCTACATGTACACGACTTAAAGGAAAGAAGTCTTGGAAATTATTTATTTGATTTTAGCAAAGTGTAACTTGTGCCCAATCTTTCAGCCTTCCAAAAATGTCTAATTAGTGAATCAAATTACCTGGATTGGCTCTCTTTATATAAAGTCCTTTTTTTCTTCTCTCTGTACATCCTTTTATAAGTAAAATTGGCTCTCATGCTGAACTGAAAATATCCCCTCAAAGATTACCAATCCTAAAGGTAGAATCCAGTTTCTAGCCTTATTTTTATGGCACTTCTATTGCACTTTATAACAATTAATACAATCTTTTACTTTAGCCATTAGAATGTAGAATCCTGTGCTTTGAATTTTTTAAAAAAACCATTCTTCTCTTTTCCTTCATGGCCTCTACTTTTTCTTCTCACATCCCAAATGCAAGCATTTCAAATAGTTTCCTCTTTCATCTTTATTTCCTTTTATTTTCTTCATTATTTTCTTCCAAGACTTCAAAAGGTCAATTCCATGTATAACTTCCAAATCCATGTTAATCAGCTCCAATTATGCTGAGAGGCAAATCCCAAATGTTCAATGTCTGCTTGATCCCTCAAAAAAATGTATTTCTTAGGCCTCTCATATCCAGTCTTTTCTCCTTCATGCATACCAACAGATGAGTTCTTTTAAAGCATAGTTCTATTCTTTTTAGATTCTCATTCAGACTCTATCATTGTACACTAATACAATAGAAATTTCTTATCACAGCCTTTAAAAACCCCTACTACCTCTTCAACTTTACTGCTTGCTACTCCTCCACCTGAAAAATGAAGATGCTCCACCATTTATTGTCTCTATAATCCATGTACATCTTTTTGCCAGGAATAATTTCCCTCCATCTTCATCCACGAAATGTCAGCTGTAATGCTGTTGAAATAGCCAAGCCTTTAGAATCCTTTCTTTCCCTACTTGTTTCTTTTTTTTCTGACCTCTCATTGGAAATTTCCTTTCTCTTTTTGACTTTTAGTAAACATTGCCTTGCAGTGGTATTATTTGTGTGTACATGTTCTTGCCAAGAAAGCCATAGTTCCTCCAGAACGAGTAATTAATATTATTCGTTTTCCTTTCTCTATAGTGCCTTGCGAAGGCACTGAATAGACACTCTAGTAAATCTTTGATGTTATTACTGATTATGTGCAAACTTAGTGGTGGTAAGGAACAGCCTTCAACACTTGAAAACGTTTAATTTTCATCATAGGCAAACTTCTCCAAATGGGAGGAAGAATTTTCTTCTCACTGAACTATGTAGCGGAAAAGCACTATACAGTTATAAGCCATGTAATAACTCTATGTATTATAATATCAGACTGAATTAGTAAAGGAAGTAAAATTAGTAAAGGAGATATAAAATAGATATTTTCTCAATATGCCTTGAATCTAAGGACAGGACTTCACCTGTCACTGAATAGCTGTGTGGCATTGGTCAGAATATATAATCTCTATAAGTATTTTTTTTATTTGTAGAGGGAGAATAATACTCCATACTGATATTGTTAAGAAAAAACAGGACAGTACATGTAATGAGGTAAATATAGAGGACATGCTCAATACACAACAGCTACTATTGATATTATCATCAATGATGGATTACTTTTTCTTAGCTAAAACTTACATTCCCTTCTACCAAGCAAGACCCCTGAAACTTTAGATGACTCTCTGGGCATAATTGTCCCTCTCAGATTTATCACATGCTGCATTTTCTGCTTTTATCAAATTGCTCATATTCTACCTTCCTTATGTGTGTGTGTGTGTATATATATATATATACACACACACATATTTGTGATTCATAACTGTTCCATTTCTATAGCACAGACCCATACAAATGGAGGCTCTATTTATATTAACTTCTAATGATATAGATGTTTTGATCTGTTCCTCTATATTATTACCATGTACATGATAGAACACTGTCTAAATTAGTAACAAGCTTGAGTGCACATTTGAAGAAGGAATCCTCATAAACTTTCATAATGGAGGCAAATGCAGCAAGGATAACTTTATGTATGCCATCTTGTTCCATCAGCCATGCCTTATAGCTGTTTAGTGCTTTTCAGTTTACAAAACCCTATCCCCACATTATCAACTTTAAATTTTGCAAAAACACAATTAGGATGGGAGGGCAGGTAGCATTATTTCAATACTATAAATGAGGAAAATGAAACTCTCAAAGATTAGCTTGTAAAAAATCACTTGGCTTGTAATGGAGAATCAGGTTCAGAACTGTCTTCTGACTTCTAATTAAAGATATTTTCACTCAATCTCTCTAATTCTTAGTGTCCGTGAATCCTACGGTAAAATTAATCATGCTTGCCAAACAATGGAATTTTAAGACAAACTAGGTAACCTGCTAAAAAATTAATCTTGGTCTTACTAAATAACACAGTGATAAACTATTTTCATGGTGCTGTCTATATTTTATGATTAAGTGAGTTTACAGCATTCTTATCTTAATATATCACCCACTCAACTTTCAGTAACTTTGTGCCTTCTCCTTTCTTCTTTCATTCCTCTGGCATATGAACTGGTTGCAGCTAAGTGAGTCAATCACTATAAAAACAGTTAAAAATATATATTTGATGCAAATGTACTTTGCACAAAAACAAAAATAGGTGCTGGTAAATGGTACCATTGTATAACCTCACTCAAAAAGTTCTGGTAAAATCTATGAAAGATAGTAAGTACATTGGTAGGAATTTGCTGCAGCAGTTATGTAGATAAGAAGACATTTAGGTATGAATATCACTGATCAATATTGTAATAGTCTATTAAAACAAAAACAGTTATTTGAGAGACAAAAATAGGTGATAGCATTTCTATTTTGGGTATTAGAATCAAAGTCTAGGGGAGACACTGCTTTCTGTTTTTGCTAACAGTTGGTTCTTAGGACTCATAATAAGCTAAGGTTATTTTTTGTCCAACACAAATATCATCTCATATTGCCTTAGTTTCCCTATTAGTAAAATAGGAGTAATAAAACTTACTTCATAGAATTTTTGAAGCATAATCACATATACCTGGTATATAATAAATATTCAGTGCATGCTGGCTAGTAGTATCAGCACCAGTATTGTCTTGCCCCTTTCTCCCAAACATTAAACACATGCTGTAGTTGATGTTAAAAATGGTCACAATTCTCTACCCTTTCTTATATCCATGTCTTTTGAAATGTAACTTTACAGCTTCTCCCCAGCTGGCCCTGTGACTTGCTTTGACTAATAGAATGTAGCAGAAATGTCACTCTCCTCTTGTCTCCTGGAATCTCTGCCTCTTCCCTATAAACAAGCCCAGGCTAACCTAATGGAGAATGAGAGAGCAGGTGGATCAGAGCCAGTCACCTCAGTTGTCCTAAGCAAAGCCATAAACACATCAGATACAGAACCACATTGGATAGAGCATCCAAGATCAGCAAAGCTGGCTCATAGTCAATATTCAGCTGATGACAGACACATGAGGGAGCCCAGCCAAGACCTCAAGAACCACTCAGCTTTCCTATGATTTATGAACTATAATAAAGGGTTGCTGTTCTAAGCCACTAAGTTTTGAGATGATTTGTTATGCAGCAATGGCTAACTAATACACAGAATTTGCTGGCCAAGAATTGTAAACACTATGGATTGGGTTTGTTTTTGTCTTTTCCATCTTGTAGATGGAAACTCTGGGGCAGAATGAAGGGTTGTCTATGATAATGTTGAGAATAAATGTTTTAAATCAGGTCTAGAAGACTAAGTATTTTATTTGCTATGCTCAGCCAATAGATGATTTTACCTTAGAATTCTGTGACTTGAGAGCCTGTACTCTTTTTCTTACACAACCATGTAGTGCAGTGTATCAGTATTTGCCTTGAAGTAGGCATAGAGTTTCAGGGGAGGGAAAAAGAGAAGTTAGAGACTAAACATTTTATATTATTTGGCTGTGTCCCACCCAAATCTCATCTTGAATTGTAGCTCCCACAATTCCCACATGTTGTGGGAGGGACCCAGTGGAGGGTAATTGAATCATGGGGGCAGGTCTTTCTTGTGCTGGTCTTGTGACAGTGAATAAGTCTCATGAGATCTGATGGTTTTATAAAGGGGAGTTTCCCTGCACAAGTTCTCTTCTTTTGTCTGCTGCCATGTGAAACATGCCTTTCACCTTCGTGAGGCCTCCCCATCCACATGGAACTGTGAGCCCATTAAACAAACCTCTTTCTTTTGTAAATTACCCAGTCTTGGGTATATCTTGTTAGCAGCTTGAAAACAAACTAATACAACATTCAGGGCCCTTTTATTATGAAGAAAAAAATTCTACCCTTTAGAAACATTTCTTTTTGCTTGGAATTGCTCTGTTTTTAAAACTTGCCAATTCAAAAAAACTAAACTAAGGATCAACATTCAATTTATTTTAACCCAGATTTTGCTCAGATGACAACATCTTTTTAAAGAGCCTCCTTTGTCCTAGGCAGAAGAATAATCAAGCAAGAGAAATGATAAGTAGAACTTAAAAAATAACCAATACTTTATTCTGAACTACAGAGGATGAACAAATAGCACTTAATTTTCTTCTTTCCTTTCTCCTTCTGGTGAGAAATAGGTTAAGGTTTTTAATGCCTCTCTCTGAATAGAACCTTAAAAATTGAAACTACCATTTTTCTTCCTAAATTTTCTTAAGATAGAGAAAATATACAAAACATTAGGTGCTACTATTGCTTAATGTTTCTAAGGGACTAAAATAAGTGACCTGAATAATTAGCTAATTCTCTTTGAGTCTCTTTTAACTTTTAGCCAAACTGTTATGCTATTTACTGATCTCACCATAAATATTTCTTCAGAATAGGAAAAGCAAGATATCAAGTTCCAATTCTTCTTTCTAATAATAGATTTAACTGAAATATTTGTGGGTGGTTTAAAAATGTTAGCCCCACCTTAGATATACTAAACTATAACTTCATATTTCTATAATTAAACAGTTTACCTTTGAGAAAGGTTACTCTAAGTATCTAAGATACTCCTAGAGCAAAATGTCATCCTCTGGGGGTTCTCCTTGTCTGTTCCTGGTCTTCTCCTGGGGTTATCTAATATCTACGGTCATGTATATATAATGCTGGCATTGAGAGAGGACTCTGGTCTTTGTGCCATCTATTGGTCTAGGTTAGCCTCTGTCCAAGGAGTGGCTATTGCACCTGAGCTTGGCTGTTGGGCACCAGTGTATGTGTCTCTGCCATGATCTCCTCATTCAGTGTCATCTATGTACAGCCTGTGCTTCTTCCAGGCCTCTGCTCTTTGCAACACTGGTTGACATGTACACTACATTTTCTTTGACTCTCTCTAGTCCCTCACTCAGTCCAGGAAGAGCTTTTATTTTCTTCTTGAATGTTGAAAAACTACTTTTAAGCAGCTCAAGGTCAAGATTATTAAAATCAGTTTTGGAGATGTAGAATAACCTGGTCTTTTTCTCCTTATAAAATGAAGTGATTAGAATGTCAGATGTTACAATTTTTTTCCTAAGAGATAGTCTAAACCAGTGTTTTTCCTGATGCCAATTTGAGGACCAGGACAGGTTTTTACCACTCCGGTTTGAAATCAGACTGCATCGGACAATCCAATTGATTTTCTTAAAGCTACATTTATTAGTTTACAGTCTGTCTATCATTCTGAGGTTTTAGTCTTTTACATTTTAAAATAGAATTGTGATAGTAGATTACAATTTTTAAAATGGCTTAACTTTGCCAGTAAAAAATTGGCAATATTAAGTCAGTTTCTAAAATATTTTTTGATTACATGCTTGAATTATTTCCACAGATCTTTAAAACCTAAATTTTCAGAAGCCATTGATTCAACCAATCATATTGGGAAAGCTTATATTAACTTGACAATAACAGTAACAAAAAAACAAAGCTTAATCTGCAAAAAAAGAAAACAAAAAACCTAACAAAAAGAATTCTGCATGGCATGAAAAAGCTCCTTATTTCTTTGTAATAGCTATTTATTTGTAATAGCTTTGTAATAGCTATAGTCATAGCTATTTAAGATTTCCAAAACTATAAAATAGAGGTGATAATTCCATCACATAAATTTTTAAGGTAGATCAAATAAAATTGTATTAATAAACTCCCTAGCCCATCATAAGAACTTTCCAATAGTTCATATCACCTCCTCTTTTTCACTTTATAAATAAAAGTTGGATATCAAATAAAAGCAGGTGCTTCCTCCTCAGATATGTATCTTGTATTTCTCACGGGCTTATTTATATCTAGGTTCCTGAAAATTCAAATAAAACTTGACTTTTAAGACAAGTAAGCCACAATTGTATTGATTACATTATAATTATCAGAGATGTTTTATCTTTTTTTGAAGTTCTTTAATAGAACAGTGAATTTTAATTCTTCAGCTTAAAATCTTCTGCTTTGCCTCATTCCCATATAGTAAAGAAGTTTAAATTAGTCAAACTATTGAGGAAAACAAATGAATCACTGCAAAAGGTAAGATTTGTTTTGTAAATACACAATTGACTCCATCCCTTTATTTATCCATCCACTCATCCATGCATCCCCATATCCTAATATTCTAACATTTAAAATGTAGATTTTAGTATTTTAAGCCTTTTTCTTTTAAAAAAATTATTTAAAAATTTTGAACCAAATAGCCACTAAAAGCTTTTGTCAATTAAAGTTATAGTAACTTTTAAAGGTGGGCCACGTGTTTAAACTGACTATATAATTGAAATGCACTCTAGTTAGACATACTTAAATGAATACATTGGGTCACATGAGAAATGTTATCTGGCTCAAATATGACCTACAATATCTAGCCCTTGGTAAGCTGAAGAGACATGCGATGTTTCTCAATGCCTAAATAAATTGATTGTGGTGTGACAGATTCAGTCAGGCTAGGGAAGTTGTTACCTTCCTTTGGATATGAACCAAATCCCAGCAGATTAGGTAGCTGTTTTCCTGACATTCAGTGAAATGACCGTGTGAATTAGCTTAGCTGGCTTGCATTTATTTTGAGTATGCAGAGTATACTGATATAAAGTAACTAATGAAAACTGAGTATGGTTTTATATTACATAAAAATTTGAGGTAACAAGCAATATAAAAAATAAGGAGAGGTCATTTTAAACAGCACTAGACACTCTTAAAGCTAAATGTTATCTCCTCAAAGTTTTACTTATATAGATAAATTCTGAACTATTTATTTTAATCACCTTTAATGCAGGAACCTTAATTTAATCTGACATAAAATCATTTACTTTTTCTCAGAGGTAAGTAAGAATTTTAATTTCTTGTATTAACATTAGACACATACACCTGACCAGTGTTCTTTCTGTCACAATAAAGAAATTAAAGAACTATATGATATGCTTCAACTCTTAATAAATTATAAAATGACAGCCCTCCTTTAAAAAGATCCTCCTGTTTTTTATGATTTGATAAGACCAGAATAAAATTTACTTTGGTGCTCCCTTGAAAAATAGTCTGGTGGAAAAATACATTTAACTACCACCTCTGTAATATAAAAAGGATGTGGGCATTAAAAAAAAGTCTTATTCCTTAGAATGAAACAAAATTAATGAACATGATTAGAATAGAAGGATGAAAGCTTTATGAAAAACCAATTTAACTCTGACAAACACCTGGCAAACCTGAGCATTTTGTCTATTAACTCTCCAGACAGAAGGAATTATTTTTTCTTTCCATGTTCAAATAGATGGCATTTCCTACCCTAACCAAACATCTTAATTTAGCATAAACTTCCTCATACTTGTACCTTTAAATATTATTTGTCATGGTCAATGATACTGCTTTATCTACCTTGTTTCCCACCAAAAATCTATCTGTGACATCCGGACACGTTTAGGGAATACATTTTAACTGAAGTTCCCATGGTCTGCATCATCTATTGTTTGAAACACAATAAACTGGCAGGGAGTAAATCTATAATAAAATAAGCAACAGTTGCTTGGCATCTGGAAACACATGGTGAAATACAATTACTAGGTATTTTGTAGGGCAAGTGGCTACCTCATACAAACCTTATGTCCATTAGTGACTAGCACAGGTATACAATATTTCTTATTTAATATCCTTCACTGATAACAGCTAGACACAGTTTACCTCTCACTGAAAACCAAACATTTCTGTGTCATCCTTCAAGGAACTAAGAAACCATCTTCTGCTTTCATATACAATGGAAAGATATTTTGAGGACTTGGTGACCCTATGCATGTTTCCCTTTTTCACAAATGTGACCAAAAAGAATACAGTTTCTTCTAAGAGGGTTCATAGGAAAAAAAATTAAGCCTTCATAAGGAAACTAGAGTATTATTATCAGACTCTAACATCAACTCATGGGCAGGAAAACATCTTTTAAAAGCTCTTTCAAATTCTGAGCCAGATGGATGGTAAGAAAAAAAAAAAGTATGTTTTCAAGTTTTTTGTGACTAGGGTTTCCATCTTTATAATTGCTTGCCTGCTTCCAAACAAACCCCACAAAAAACAAAAGCCCTTCAAAATGTTAGAATTAATAGCTGATATCTGTAGGATTTGTAGACATGGATCATAAAACTAAATAAATATCGATAAAATAAAATCTTGATTTCTGAGAAGAAAAGCATTTATCCGTGTTATATGTAAAATAACCCAAATGATTAATAAATTATAATTAAGGATATGGAGTTCTATATTTTATACCTTCTAGCTTCCTACCAATAACTAAAATTCAATCTTCCATAATTAAAAATTCTTGTAGATTATTAAGGAGGCAGGCTCCCATTCACACACATACAAAGAAAGAAGAAATCTGACTTCTGAAAAAGAAGAAAGCCTTGATAATCATTTAAAACTGGAACTTTTACATATTTCAAAAGTTAAGAAGTAAAAAACACTACACAGAAAAATCATGTGCCTCTATGTAACCTGTTTGAAAGCAGGGCAGGAATTTGAAAAACAAAATGCATTACGAAAATCTTAGTTGGGAACTTTTCCATCGCACATCAAGTCTGTTTGCTCAAGATTTAATGCTAAAAAGGTCTGCATAAACACTAAATCATGGTTGCTTCTTCAATTATTACCTAACAGTGAGTCTTGACTACTGACTGACTACAGAGAATGGAATATTATGCAAATTAGATGAAGGGAAATACAAATAGCAGAACATGTTGAATCATTTTCTCTTAGTAAATTTCTTTTAATTTCTATTGCCTCCAAATGCTGTTTGATGCACTATTTCTTTAAGTCGTAATTATTTAATGAGCCACTAAAACATTTTCATTGATTTTATTTCAGAATAAAGTTAGTTTGTATTTTATTCATCAAAACTGTCTAAATAATAAACCAACTAGTGAAAATTTCCCAGATTATATTCAACTAAATTCAAATGGAAATTGCATCTAATACTTGACCTACTATGTGATTTAAAAATTAATTTTTAAAAACCTGCATAAAATATAGACATATAATTAGAGGGAAGGAGTTCATTAAATTAAGCAAAATAACAAGAACAACAAAAACTTAATAAGAAGAGTGGCATCACAATTGAATCAAAATAGGAAAGAGAAATAGAAATTATAGTTGAAGAGCTTAGAGTTCACTATTAAGTTCTCTTTTACTGTTGGACAGCCAATAATTTTTAATTTTCAATAGAATGGCTTTAACTCACAAAATAAGTTTTGATTTATAAATACAAGTATTTTACATAGAAAATATAGAATTTAAGTAGAGAAAACTTCATAGTAATATCAAAGAATTATCATTTCAGAACTGTGATTTGTTTCCAAGTCAATTTCCCATCCACATCATGAGTCATTGTTTCTCCAAATGACATTCTTTCCCCTTTAACCAATAACCTTTCTAGAATTAATTTGATTGACCTTCTCACTTTATGTTTTTCTTTCTTCCCTTTTTTTCTAACTTGAATTATGTAAAATATTTATTTTTAGTCTCTGGGTCATCCTGAATATGACTGTAGACCATGTGGGAAATAGCTTTCCCCTTTGTGTAATGGGACAAGCATAACCGGTTAGCAGTTAACATATTACATATCTATTATGGTGCAGGAACATAAAAGTAGGAGGTGGTTAAGGAAATTAATTCTGAAATCAGAATTCTTTAGTCCAAATCTCATCTCTAACACTTACTGGTTTTGTAGTCTTGGGAAAGTGGAATGAAATTTTCAGCTTTTATTTTCTTATCTGGTAAAAGAGAACAATACAAATACTTGGCCTAAATTAAATTTATTGGTGATAGAATTAAAGCCTTTATGGAATTAAGCATCAGAAAGTAAACCTAAGATAGAACAATACATTATTGTGGCAGAGAGCTATTAATTACATTTTAAAACAAACTAGTAGAGTTTTTCACAATTTAATATATATGTATTACAAGTCTAAGAAATAAAACCTATATTTGGTCCATTTTATACACACACACACACACACACACATACACGCACACAAATACACATTCAGTTTCTTAATATATTGATTGACAAGTCAGAAAAAATTATTAAAATAATATAGTGCAAATGAACAGATGGTGGAGCTACATTTTGTATTATGCTTATTAAGCATGAGCATTTGTGTTCTCTTCTTCAAGAATATATTTGTAGCAGAAATTAAGATAGAAATATTTTGCCTTAAACCTCATGGACAATGCAAATATGTAGATGCAAATTGATTTTTTATATCTTTCTTATCTCTAGCATTTCTAAAATAATTTGTCTCATCCGTATACAAAAAAGTGATTATTTGTTAACAAAAATTACACAGGTAATTTTTATCAGGATAACAAAAATAAAGATAAACAAAACTGAGAAAAGTGTTACCAAAATTCCTAGGACCCTGAGATAATTATTTCTAGCAATTTGGTGTATCTCCTATTTGTGTATGATTGTATGTTTCATAAAAATTAGATCTAAATATACATATTGAGCCAGGCATGGAGGCTCACTCCTGTAATCCCAGCACTTTGGGAGGCCAAAGTGAGTGAATTGCTTCAATCCAGGAGTTCGAGACCAGCCTGGGCAATATTGGTGAAACCTCATCTCTACCAAAATACAAAAAAAAAAAAAAAAAAAAATTAGCTGGGCATGGTGGCGCACAGTAGTCCAAGTTACTCAGGAGGCTGAGGTGGGAGGATTGTTTGAGTGAGCTAAGCTCCAGCCTGCACTCCACTGCACTCCAGCCTGAGTGACAGTGTGAGACTCCATCTCAAAAGAAAAATAATAAATAAATAAATAAACCTACACAGTATAGTCTTCACTGGTGATTCCTCTGCCTAGCACAGTGTTTGACATATAGTAGAGCCTCAATATTAATGATTAAATGAATAAATAAATGATTTCTAATAACGAATAGAGGAAGGTCCATTTAGAAATATTTGATCATGTTTATAAAAAAGAAAATTAGCATTTTGGCCAGGCACGGTGACTCAAACCTGTAATCCCAGCACTTTGGGAGGCTGAGGCGGGCAAATCACAAGATCAGGAGTTCGAGACCAGCCTGACTAACATGGTAAAACTGTGTTTCTCCTAAAAATACAAAAATTAGTTGGGCGTGGTGGCACATGCCTGTAATCCCAGCTACTCAAGAGGTTGAGGCAGGAGAATCGCTTGAACCATGGAGGCGGAGGTTGCAGTGAGCCGAGATCACGCCATTGCACTCCAGCCTGGGCAACAGAATGAAACTCCACCTCAAAAAAAAAAAAAAAAAATTAGCATTTTTATTGGGATTATTTTTATATTTAGATCAATTCAGTGGTGAAATGAATATATTAATATGTAAATTAATGCTACATATAAATATATTAAATATATAATATATGTTTATATATTACTATGTTATGCAAACATGTTAAACTGCATTAAGCTTTTCTTTCAACAGAAAATATTTTTTCATTTATGTATGTCTTTTATATCTCACAGAAGAGATATTCAGTTTTCCTCAAATATATTTCAGATATTTTGATTTTTTTGATTGAAGTTATGAAGGAATATAATGGTTACCATTAATAGTAATAGTGGTTATCTTGCTTTGTCTTTAATGTCGAGACATTTTAATATTTAATGTTGTGTTGTTACAGTGTTTCGCTGTTACAGTGTGATGCTGGTAGTTGGTTTCAAAATGTTACAAATGCAAAATGCTTGTTCCTCGGTGCCATAAAGAAATAGCACTCAAACATAAATTTTTTTTTTTAAATTTTTTTAGTATTTATTGATCATTCTTGGGTGTTTCTCGGAGAGGGGGATTTGGCAGGGTCGTAGGACAATAGTGGAGGGAAGGTCAGCAGATAAACATGTGAACAAAGGTCTCTGGTTTTCCTAGGCAGAGGGCCCTGCCGCCTTCCCCAGTGTTTGTGTCCCTGGGTACTTGAGATTAGGGAGTGGTGATGACTCTTAACGAGCATGCTGCCTTCAAGCATCTGTTTAACAAAGCACATCTTGCACCGCCCTTAATCCATTTAACCCTTAGTGGACACAGCACATGTTTCAGAGAGCACGGGGTTGGGGGTAAGGTTATAGATTAACCGCATCCCAAGGCAGAAGAATTTTTCTTAGTACAGAACAAAATGGAGTCTCCTATGTCTACCTCTTTCTACATAGACACATCAACAATCTGATCTCTCCTTCCCTTCCCCACATGTCCCCCCTTTCCACTCAACAAAACCGCCATCATCATCATGGCCCGTTCTCAATGAGCTGTTGGGTACACCTCCCAGACGGGTTGGCGGCTGGGCAGAGGGGCTCCCCACTTCCCAGACAGGGCTGCCAGGCAGAGGCGCCCCCCACCTCCCGGATGGGGTGGCTGGCCGGGCAGGGGCTGCCCCCCACCTCCCGGACAGGGAGGCTGCTGGGTGGAGATGCTCCTCACTTCCCAGACGGGGCAGCTGCCGGGCGGAGGGGCTCCTCACTTCTCAGATGGGGCAGCCGGTCAGAGACGCTCGTCACCTCCCAGACGGGGTGGCAGCGGGGCAGAGACACTCCTCAGTTCCCAGACGGGGTCGCGGCCAGGCAGAGGGTCTCCTCACATCCCAGATGGAGCGGTGGGGCAGAGGCGCTCCCCACATCCCAGACGATGGGCGGCCGGGCAGAGACACTCCTCACTTTCCAGACGGGATGACAGCCGGGCAGAGGCTGCAATCTCGGCACTTTGGGAGGCCAAGGCAGGCAGCTGGGAGGTGGAGGTTGCAGCGAGCGGAGATCACCCACTGCACTCCAGCGTGGGCAACGTTGAGCACTGAGTGAGCGAGACTCCGTCTGCAATCCCGGCACCTCGGGAGGCCGAGGCTGGCAGATCACTCGTGGTCAGGAGCTGGAGACCAGCCCAGCCAACACGGCGAAACCCCGTCTCCACCATAAAATACAAAAACCAGTCAGGCGTGGCGGCGCGCGCCTGCAATCCCAGGCACTCAGCAGGCTGAGGCAGGAGAATCAGGCAGGGAGGTTGCAGTGAGCCGAGATGGTGGCAGTACAGTCCAGCCTCGGCTGGGCATCAGAGGGAGACAGTGCAAAGAGGGAGAGGGCAGTACAGTACATCCTCGGCTCGGCATCAGAGGGAGACCATGTAAAGAGGGAGAGGGAGAGGGAGAGGGAGAAGGAGAGCTCAAACATAAATTTAATTGTCTCAGCAAGGCAATTTTTACCTTTCTGCAGAAGGGGTGCCCCTTGCAGATGAAACAATGGCAAGAGCACACCTGGACAGGGGAGGGGCAGGAGTTCTTATTCCTGATGCAGGTAGCCCCTATTGCTATGTCGTTCCCCTATTAGCTAGGGTTGGACTGCACAGTCTAAGTTAATTCTGATTGGCTATTTTAAAGAGGGCAGGGGTACGAGCCAGAGTGGCAGGGTGAGTGGTTTGGCGGGAAGGATGGTTAGGGACAGGTAACTAAAGGTGACTTAGGTCAGAGCAGGTGACCAAGGGTGACTCAGGTTTTGCAAAGCAGGTGACTGGGATGAGTCAGGAAGGAGCAGGTGACCAGGGGAACAGATGTGAACTACTGATTAGGACTGGTGGGAAAGTTGTTTACTGAAACTAGAAGCGAGGAGCCAAAGAGAACCAGGGAGTTAAACTTTAAAATGGAGAATCGAAGAATATGATAGCTGAACATACTGACATGCTGATTCTTTGAAGAGAAACTTGGGGTTCACTATATTTAACAAAAAGATTTAACCAAGAATATGCTGGGCTCAGTGGTTCACACCTGTAATCCCAGCACTGTAGGAGGTAGAGGCCAGCAGAGGCAGACCACTTGAGCCCAGGAGTTTGAGGTAACATAGTAAGACTACTTACAAGAATTCTTATGGGAAGGTGAAAAGTGGTATTCATTAAACACGGAATTTATAGGCATGCAATATTCCCGAGACTATTGGAAACCTTTATTGATAATCTGCAAGTAGTTATTCTACAAAGAGAAATCCATGCTAATTGATTAGGGAATGATGGAGATAAATATGACCAAAGCTGTGATAAAACAAATTTCTCATCTCAACTTTATATGATCAAAATATCAGAAATGAAAAAAGTATATAAAGAGAAAACTTGGTAACAAATTAACTATACCTCAATAACTCAAGGACGTATAAAGAATAGAGAGACTCCCAGCCTGGGCAACATGGTGAAATCTTGTCTCTACAAAAAATAGAAAAATTAGCCAGGCATGATGGTGCATGCCTGTGGTCTCAGCTACTTGGGAGACTGAGGTGGGAGGATCACTTGAGCTTGGGAGGTCCAGGCTGTAGTGAGCCTTGATTGTGTTACTGCACTCTAGCTAGGGCAAGTTTCAGAGAATAGAGGAGAAAAGGGAAAGCTTTCTAATTTTTTCACTAACACTGTTTTAGATTTGATATCAAAACTTGTAAAAGGGAATCCAGGAAATTAAAATTGTAGACCCACTCAGTTATGAATATAGATGTAAAATCCTAAAGAAATAATTTTTGAATTATTTCAGTTATATATTAAACAACAATAACAATAATATTTCATGAGGAAATATGTTTTCAAAAATTAAAAAAAAACTACCAATGCAATGTATTGGAACACCGATTAAATTAAAAAAGAATATTATCCGGACAGATGTAGACACATTTAATGAAATTCAGAAATCAGTCATTAAAAAAATAAGCCAGCAACCTAAGAACATAAAGTAAAATCCTAAACCTGATTAAGGGTCTTTATCAATAATGGAACAATAAGCAGTACGTATGATATTGCAACATTTCCATTAAAGTTAGGAAGACAAATCTTGTTGACTGTTCAACATTATACTGTACTGGAGAGATACAGCAATATAATAATTATAAAAATGGGAAGAATAAAAATTAGAAAAGAAAGAATAAACTATTGAAATATGATAGTTTACATGAATAAACCTAAGATTTTAATCATGAAACTTTTAAAATTTAAATAAATTTCAATGCTGTGATTGGATACAATACCCATATATGAAAATCATTTGGTTTCTTATGTATTAGCAGTAGTAAATTAGAAAAAAAGAAAGTAATCTAAGATATATTTATAAATACAATGAAAGCTTTTTGAGCTTTGGAAGCAGAATTTTAAAACAACTTATAGACATAAATGAAGAGAAATGCAAAGACAGAAACAAGAATGACAAAGAACCTCCTGTGTTAAGCATGCTTCCAAATCCAAGATGCAAGATACATGAAGACAAGTAGTATGAGAAAGAGAATCCACAAAAGTAACAAAGAAAAATTAGATTTATCCCAGTCTAAATGCAACCTGGGAGAAAAAAAGATTTTAGAATATTTAAGATTAATTTTTTTAACTCATTTACTCATTCAATAATAATTACCATTATTGTGCATATGCCTGTCAGGTGCTGTTCTGATTACATATAGTATAGTGAGGAGAGCTGCAGGGATAGCATGACTACAAATGTAATCAGTGCTGAATTTGTGGGGATCTCAAAGGAAACAGAATTTTATCGTAATCCTGGTTAATACAGGAATTGGTGAGTCAGGCCTTGGGTTTAATTTCTTCTGCCAAATGAAAGGATACATATAACTCTACAGAAAAAAATCTGAGTTCCTTGTACTTGGGGATCCTTCTCTGTAGACAGCTTATTGATACTCCCATTCTGTTTGTTCCAGAAAAAAATATTAATATAAAATAACAGATATTGAAAGTTTTCCCTTAAGAATCTCTAATATTTGGAAAAGTTAAAATAAATGTACTTGTATTAGTCCCTATACTGATATCAACCTATTTTATTAACCAGGCTCATGTCCATCCCTTTTACTATACAATTGTGGTCTAGGTCAGGATCATTCATTGGTCATATAAAGGAAAAGCAAATGTGGATATTTAGAATGCAAACCTTAGCATTTCCTCTTCTGGTAAGCTCAGTGAGTGAGACCATTAGGGCTGAGCCAAAATGCAGGAACTTGTTTCTAAATAGCTTGACCTAAAATAAAGATAATAGAGGAGCTATTTTCTTTGGTTTCCTTTCACAAATGCTTTGGGTTTTTTGTTTGTTTGGATAAAAACACCAAGGATCATTCCACCATTTGGTCAAAATGTATTTCTTGCAGAATCTCTTCTTTCCCAGATGTAGGAAACAGTCCTGTTTATGTTAGTGTAATAAATCTAAGAAATAAAGGAGCTGTTGTCACCTCTTTGTCCAGTTTATAGTAAGGATCAGTGTGAAGCTTACATTCCAGAGGTGTATTCATTCAATTCTACAAGCACCAATTTCATCTGGACTTCTTGATATTTCAACTAAGTGAAGTTACTCTTGGCTCTTTGTGAGTGGTCAGAAATACGGCTTTTTTTCTATTAGCTTCAAAAGGATTTATTTATATTTCATCTTAGTTCTAAATTGCTTTCTCATCTAATATTTTCTTCTGATTTTTATAGCAGCTTGAGAGATACACAAGTATAATAATTCTTATTTTATTCATGAAGAAATAAAATCTCCAAGAGAAGATGTGGATTTTCAGTAGAACTGAAACTTCTGAATCTTTGCTTAGTGTACTTTTATTAAGTTCATTTACTTGAACATTTATTCATCAACACATAATTATTGAGTGCCTAACTTAGGCCAAACTATTGCAGGAACTCTACTGCCTATCAAGTTTGATTGTCACTGTTCTTTATAAGTGTTAGAAAGATTTCTAGTGACAAGAACTTCTGATATTAATTATGAAGAGAACATCTCTACTTTATTTTTTCAGTCTTAAAAACTAGTCTATGTTATTATTACAACTTGTTCAGACATAACTTTGATAATGCTTTCAGCCCAAGTTTATGAGAATTTAAATGTCAATATTTCTGTTATTGACAGCAATTAAGTCAATATTTGATAGCAAACATTTCAACCTTTTTCCTTTAATGAGGGATGAATTTGGCTTGAAAGGTTTTAAAGTCAGACCCTTGACTGTAACCTATGAGCAGCTTTAAAATTTATTAAACCACCAAATATTAGAAGCCCATCATTTACACTCTGATTTGCTCTAATATGCTGTTTGTATTCTCTTTCTCCAAATACTTAATATGATCAGACCCTTTCCTATGACACATTTAAAAATTCACTTTTTTCTACAAATATATACCACAATATTTATTATATAACATATAGCAGATATTCATTGATTTTTTTTGTTGGTGGTGGTGGTAGTTTTTAGTGTCCTGTGAATGCAAGGAAATAACACCAAAACGTGGTAGCAGGGAGGTAGTAGTGAGTTCAGCAGCTCAACTTCCCTACTGCTCTTTGTAGCCAAGAGCATCTCGGATCATTGTTCGTATCCCAATATGGCAGTTTCAATGTTCAGACACAAGGTGGATTTTTTTCTTCACAGATTTATCCAGTTGTTCTACATTATTGATTGAAATGACTTTCCCTTCACTTTTGAATTACTATGGCATATTTATATCAAAGATCAATTGACCATATATGTGTGGGTCTATGTCTGGACCCTATTCTGTTCTACTGATCTATTCTTCTATCCTTATGCCAATTCTAGATTATCTTGATTACTGTAGCTTTATAATTTGGCTTGAAGTCAGATAATGTAAATCCTTTACCTTTACTCTTCTTTTTCAATTTTTTTTTGCTATTGTAGCTCTTTTGCATTTCCATATTAACTTGTCATTTTCTACAAAAAAAGTTCATTGTGATTTTATGTAGATTGTATTCAACCCATAGATCAATTTGTGGACAATTGACATCTTAGCAATTTTGAGCCTTCTAATCCATTAACATGGTATATCTCCATTTAGGTTCACTTAAATTTATTTCAGCGTGTATTGTATCTTTATTGTAAAATTCTTGCCTATCTTTTGTTAATTTTTTAACTTAAGGATATGTTATAAATAATTATGTATATATTTATTGCAAATAATTTTTTAATTTAATTTTTCCAATTGTTGCTAGTATATAGAAATACAATCAGCTGATTTTTATATTAATTTGTATTTTGCCACTTTGCTAAGTTAACTTATTGGTTTTGGGACTTTTATAGATTCCTTTCCATTTTGTAACTAAAAAAAATGTCTGTAAATAAAATTTAGTTTAACTCTTTCATTCCTTTTTTTATTTCTTTTTATGCCTTTGTGTTTCCTTAGGACATTGTTTGGTACCTTCAATATGACTTTTTTTTTGTTTTTTTAAATTATTATTATTTTACTTTTTAAGTTCCAGGGTACATGTGCAGGATGTGCAGGTTTGTTACATAGGTAAACATGTGCCATGGTGGCTTGCTGCCCCTATCAACCCTTCACCCAGGTATTAAGCTCAGCATGCATTAGCTCTCTTCCCTAATGTTCTCACCCCACTCTGCCCTCCCCTGACAGGCTCCAGTGTGTGTTGTTTCCCTCCCTGTGTCCATGTGTTCTCGTTGTTCAGCTACCACTTATAAGTGTGAACCTGCAGTGTTGGTTTTCTGTTCCTGCATTAGTTCACTGAGGATAATGGCTTCCAGCTTTATCCATGTCCCTGCAAAGACATAATCTTGTTCCTTTTTATGACTGCATAGCATTTCATGCTGTACATGTAGCACATTTTCTTTATCCAGTCTATCAGTGATGGGCATTTGTGTTGATTCCATGTCTTTGCTATTGTGAATGGTGCTGCAATGAACATACGTGTGCATGTATCTTTATAATAGAATGATTTATTTTCCTTTGGGTATATACCCAGTAATGGGATTGCTGGGTCAAATGGTATTTCTGGTTCTGAATCTTTGAGGAGTCACCACACTGTCTTCCACAATGATTGAACTAATTTACATTTTCACCAACCCTGTAAAAGCATTCCTATTTCTCCACTACCTCATCAGCATCTGTTGTTTTTTTGACTTTTTAATAATCACCATTCTGACAGGTGTGAGATGGTATCTCATTGTGGTTTTGATTTGCATTTCTCTAATAATCAGATGTTGAGCTTTTTTTCATGTTTGTTGGCTGCATGTCTGTTTTTTTTTGAGAAGCGTCTGTTCCTGTCCTTTGCCCACTTAGTAATGGGGTTGTTTTTTCTTGTAAATTTGCTTAAGTTCCTTGTAGATTCTGGATATTAGAGCTCTGTCAAGTGGATAGACTGCAAAATTTTTCTCCCATTCTGTAGGTTGTCTGTTCACTCTGATGATAGTTTCTTTTGCTGTGCAGAAGCTCTGAGGTTTAATTAGATCCCATTTGTCAATTTTTGCTTTTATTGCAATTGCTTTAGGCAAATTCATCATACAACCTTTGCCCATGTCTGTGTCCTGAATGGTATTGCCTAGTGGGGTATTAAAGTCTCCCACTATTATTGTGTGGGGGTCTGAGTCTCTTTGTAGGTCTTTAAGAACTTGTTTTATGAATCTGGGTGCTCCTGTATTGTGTGCATATATATTTAGAATAATTAGCTCTTATTGTTGTATTGAACCCTTTACCATTATGTAATGCCCTTCTTTGTCTTTTTTGATCTTTGCTGGTTTAAAGTCTATTTTGTCAGAAACTAGGATTGCAACCCCTGCTTCTTTCTGTTTTCCATTTGCTTGGTAAATTTTCCTCCATCCCTTTATTTTGAGCCTATGTGTGTCTTTGCATGTGTGATGTGTGTCTTGAATACAGCACACTGATGGGTCTTGTCTTTTTATCCAGCTTGCCATTCTGTGTCTTTTAATTGGGGCATTTAGCCCATTTACATTTAAGGTTAATATTGTTATGTGTGAATTTGATCCTGTTATTATGATGCTGGCTGGTTAATTTTGCAGAATTGTTAATGTAGTTACTTCATAGTGTTGTTGGTCTGTGTACTTCAGTGTGTTTTTGTAATGGCTGGTAATATTTTTTCCTTTTCATGTTTAGTGCTTCCTTCAAGAGCTCTTGCAAGGCAGGCCTGATGGTGACAAAATCCCTCAGCATTTGCTTGTCTGAAAAGGATTTTATTTCTCCTTTGTTTATGAAGCTTAGTTTAGCCAGATATGAAATTCTGCATTAGAAATTCTTTTCTTTAAGAATGTTGTATATTGGCCCCCAATTTCTTCTGGCTTGTAGGGTTTCCACTGAGACACTTGCTGTTAGTCTGATGAGCTTCCCTTTGTTTCTCTCTGGCTGCCCTTAACATTTTTTCTTTC